>NC_000010.11:30922847-31227129 GCF_000001405.40 Homo sapiens | reverse complement strand
ACTAATATTATTAAGATGTGACATCTCCACAAGTTGATCTATAGAGTAAATGCATCTCAATTAAGATCTCAACAAACATTTTTTGGGGAGGATGTGAAAATCAATAAGCTGATTCTAAAATTTTTATGGGATATAAAATTCCAGAAATGCTCAAGATGATCTTGAAGAAAAGCTAATTTGAAATATTTACACTACCATATGTCAAGACTAATTATAAGACTACAGTAATGAAGTTAGTGTGCTATGTGCACAAGGAGAGACATACTGATCAATGAAGCATAATAGAAAGTCCAGAAACAGACCCAAACAAACATACAGTACTTTGATTTATGACAAAGATGACACTGAAGTGCAATGAGGAAAAGATCTTTTCATTTAGTGGTACTGGATCAATTGAATATCCATATTGTAAAAAGAAATTATACTCAAAATGAATTACAGGCAGATTATATATCTAAACATAAAAGGCAAAACCAATAAACTTCTGGAATAAAACAGAAGAAAAGTCCTCATGTTTTTGGGGTATGTAAAGACTTTAAAAGTTCTAAATGTAGTGATAAATAGAACACAAGCAAGCAAACAAACATACAAACAAATCATCATCAATAAATAAGACTATAAAAAATTAAGAAATTTTGTCTAATGACAACATGAAGAGAATGAAAAGACAAGCCAAGAAGGCAGAAGATAATTTTTGTAATACTATAACCTATCATGGACACATAACTAAAATGTGTAAAGAACTCGCACCATAAAAGAGACATAACCAATAAAGAAATGGACAAAATATGTAAACACAGGCTTCAAAAAAGAGATCCAAATGGCAAGTAAATATGTGAACAGATGCCCCAAATTATTAGTTATCAGGTAAATGCAAATTTAAATCATAAGATACCATTATATATCCACCAGCATTTTACCTCTTGAAAAGATTAATTAAATTGATAAATATCTAGCAAGATTGATTTAAAAAATAGACATTAGCCATTGCCATATGAAAAAGGAGACATCGCTACAGATATTCCAGACATTAAAATTAGTATTTCATTGTGAAAAAACTTGTCCCCAAAATTTTGATAATAGAGATATCTCAGCACTTTGGGAGGCCGAGGCAGGCGGATCACCTGAGGTCAGGGGTTCGAGACCAGCCTGGCCAACATGGTGAAACCCCGTCTGCACTAAAAATACAAAAATTAGCTGGGCATGGTGGCACATGCCTGTAATCCCAGCTACTCGGGAGGCTGAGAAGGGAGAATTGCTTGAACCCAGGAGGTGGAGGTTGCAGTGAGCTGAGATCGCACCATTGCACTCCAGCCTGGGCAACAGAGCAAGGCTCTGTCTCAAAAAAAAAAAAAAGATTTCTAGAAAACTACAACTTTTCAAAAACTCACCTGAGAAGAAACAGAAAATTAGAATAGTCTTGTAGTTTCTAAAGATATTGAAACAGTAATTTAAATTTGTCCCATAAACAAAACCATGTCCATATGGCATCAACACTATATTCAATCAAGCATTTATTATTATTTTGAACAATTAATAGATTAAGAAAGAATCCACTTGATCTTACTTGGTCCTAGCACATTCTCTTTTAAGGAAAATGGTATTGCGTTTTTGGAACAAGAGAGAAGAAATTTAACCCTAGAATGAAGAAGAATTATATAGCCATGATAATACTAACATTGTTTGTTGACTTCCCGTATTAGAATCAATCTATAGGCAAGCCTTGAAATACTTAACTGTGCATAGAGGCAAAATGTACATAACATGTTTTGACAATATGAAATAAGATCTATAAAAGGTAGAAGGTTAAAATTCATAGCAAAGGGTAGTGGCAGTAATATTCTCATATTGCAAAATAGGGCATCAAGATACACTGTTAAAAACTGATGGAACAGGAAAAAGAAGTTTAGATACTGTATAGCATTTTAAATCACAAAGATAACCAAAAGAGGAACAAAAACAGCAATAAAACTATCAAATATTGAGGGATGAAGAAAAGGAGATAAAATAGTACAAATGTGCTAAGTCTTTACTAGTCATAAATTGAATTTATCTATTGAATTCATTGGCAGGAATTCAATAGATAATGACTAAGGCCATATTTTATTATTTAACTAGATAGAGTTAATATCAGAAAAAAATAAAAACAGAAATGGTTAAAATTGTTTCCGGTGAACAGGACTATGGGTAGGAAAGGAAATATTGGAGGGAGAGGGGAGTCAATTTTTATTATAAACATAGTCTCTACTATTTGATTTTTAAAAATGTGCACCTATATTACAATAAAATGTTTTTAATTAAAAAACACAGCTAGACTTGCATGAGAATAAATGGATAAGTACACTAAAATAACCCTAGTTTATGTCAAAATCTAGTATATGAAGAAAAATCACAAAGAAGAAGAGAAGGAATTTTTAAATAAATGAGTCTGGAACAATTTTTATCAACTGAATATGCTCAGTTCACACCATGATCCCAAACAATTTCAGGTGATTAATGAAACAAAGGTGACAATGAAACCATGAAAAGCTAGATGAAAACAAAGTGATTGTTTTCTCCTTCTTGGAGAAGGAATTTCCAAGCATAGAAGCAATGAAAAATAATTCAAGGGAAATAATTAACAACATAAAGTTTGAAAGCCTTGCTATTGGAAAAATAAGCCTAAATTGGATTAAAGGAAATAAGTAATTGTGCGGAAACAGTTGCAATAATAAGGAAAAAGTTTACTACCTTGATAATATACTAATGTGTATTAATAATAAAAATATATAAAGAAATTACTTTGTCTGTAAAATTTAAGAGAATATTTAAAATAGAAACTATGCAGTGCCTATGAGGATTGAATAAAATAGAGACTTTCATATAATGCTGGTAAGCTCAGCTAGAAACTTTTAAGAAAGCAAATTGTCAATATGTGTTTTGAACTCAAGAAGATCTATAATTTTTAACCTATGAATTTCATGTCTGAAAGTCAGTCTTAAGGAAAAAATCAGAAATTCTGATAAAGATTTATACATTTTTTTTAAAAAAATCAAAATGTTTAGAATAAGAGAGGGATGGTTAGTATGACATAACCATCACATTTACACATTCAACAAGTATTTATTGAGTTTTACTATGTGTGAAGCAATGATGATTAAACAATGAGCAAAAACAAAAAATTATGCCTTTATTCAGCTTACATGCTAAGAATATTTAACAATAAGCTAAACAGGAATCTGTTACGATCTCAATTATGTGAAAGAGTATGCAAAGAGAAGAGAAATACATCAAACTGTTACCAGTGTCACTTTACATGGTAAGATGTGTAGTGTTTATTGCTGGTACTTCTTTAGTATTTTCCAATTTTTCCACCATGTGCATGTATTACTTTAGCAATTAGAAAATGATGGAAATAAATGTATATATACTTAAAGGATGGTCATGAGGATTAAATGAAATGAAGTATAACAAGTGTCTGACAAAGAGTAGACTTTCAATAAATGTCAGTTTTCCTTTTCCTTGCAATCTGAATATTGATTTTGTCCTTTGCTGTTTTCCCTTTTTACTATGGATTGTTTAGCCCATTGCCATCATATTTCTACATTTATTTATAGTAGGTATATTTTAACTTTCAATCAAAATTGCCATGCCTCTTATTAAATGGGTTGTGTATTATTTTAGAGAATTCCCTTTGCTTTAAATAGTTCAGACCTATAGGAGAGCTCTTTAGGCAGAAGTACTTGCTAGAGCACCTCAAATCATTCCATGGAAGGAATTGCTTTCTTTACTATGGAAATTAATAAATGCTATGTTTCTATGGTTACTACACTGTCTTTATTAATGCTAAAAATCTCCAGCTTTAGCCTCCTAAATAAAAGCCAGGAGGTATGCTGATCTTTAATGGCATGAGTATATCACTGCCATTTTCCAGGCTACTTTTACTTATGGTGCTATTCTTTCTATAGTGTAGACAATACTATGTCAGACTTGATACATAAACCTCAATTTTTAATGCTCTATTAAGCAACCATAAAATCACATGCTTGGCAGAAACTTGCCATTAAACATGCCGTAGGTGGGGGCCTTTCCTAAATTTCAATGATTAGTTAGACTATTGCCTTGAGATTGCTTGTATATATAACATATATGAAGTAGAATCACTCTCCTCTCTACCTCAACTAGTTCCTTGAGACTTTTGCTTATCATGAGAACTTAATGATGTGGATTATGTCTCAGCCTGGAAATTCTTGACTCTGATCAACGTTCCTTTACCTTTTACCTTATCACATGCAGGTTATCTGGTTATTGTGAGAAATGATAGGTACTTTGGGAGGGACTCAAGAGTCTGTAGGGATAATCATTACATTTACACTCTAGTTAGGGAGTTAGTACACACGCAGACAACAACTGAAGAAAGGTGATAGGACAGTATGAAACACTTCAGCTGCAAGCAGGTCAGGCACAGCCCAGCACTGAAGGCTATGGAAAGGGCAGGCAAGAACGATAATGCTGGTTTTGAGATCATGATGGGAAAACGCATCATGCAGCCAGAAGGGATTTGCAAATGTAGCAAAACATACATAGGGATTGTACAAAACTGTGGCTATTTAGAAAAGACCTAAACTTAGAGGTATTGTGCACATGTTTTTTCTTCTTTGTCTTCTCTTAATCAGCAGGTACTCACTACTTGCTTTCCATGCACCGTTGTATGCTTTTAAGTTTGCTTCGATTAGAGTCTAAAGTTGACTGCCTTTTACTTTCTTAATGTGGACAAGGTGTGGTTTTTCACACACTCTAGTAAACTGGCGTGGGAATCACACACAAAACCCTACATTAGCTTTTGCTAAAAAATTTCAAGGGAATAAGAGTTGAAAAAAGTAATCATTAAACCACAGCAAGAATGCAGTGAGGTATGTTATTAAGGGTTTGAACTTCCTGGATGTGAAATCAAGTCAATGTTATAAGAATGGTGTTTTGTTAACATTTAAATCTAATCTTTTCTTTTCTTTTCTCTTTTCTTTCTGACGGAGTTTCACTCTTGTTGCCCAGGCTGGAGTACAATAGCGCAATCTCAGCTCACCGCAACCTCTGCCTCCCGGGTTCAAGCGATTCTCCTGCCTCAGCCTCCTGAGTAGCTGGGATTACAAGCATGTGCCACCATGCTGGGATAATTTTGTATTTTTAGTAGAGACGGGGTTTCTCCGTGTTGGTCGGCTGGTCTCAAACTCCTGACCTCAGGTGATCCGCCTGCCTCGGCTGCCCTCTTTATTAGTTTTCTATGGGGAAAAAGTTCACGACATTGCAGGACGTGTAAGACACACTTTAAAAAAAAAAAGAAAAAGAACAGAGTCATAGAATAATAGTATTCATAATGGCAAAATTCTGGAAATAACTCAAATGCCCATCAGCAGTATGATAAAAATACATAAATTATAGTATATTCATGAAATGGGATACTCCATAGAAAGAAAAGAAAATACCAACTACTGTTAGATGTAACCACAGGGATGAATTTCACAGACACAATGTTGACAGAAATAAACAGAAAAAAATTACATAGTGTGTGATCTCATTTACATGGAGTTCAATCACAGGCAAAAACAATTTATACTGATGAAAGTCATGGACTTCCACCTTTCCTCCAGCTATCACTGTTTAGAAATCATCAGCTAATGTAATTGCACTTCTTTGTAAGTGATCTGTCTTTTTCTCTGGCTGCCATTAGGATCTTCTGTTTTTCTTTGGTTTTAGTGTGATTTTACAAAAATGTACCCTAGTTGGAATCCATTGGGCTTACTGCATCCAAGGATTGTCTTTCAACAACCCAAAAAAGTCTATCCTTGAAGAGTTCACATTCTCTGTATTCTCTCACTCTGGAACTGAAATTAGGTTTATAGTAAACCTTCTATTTTTTTTTTTTTTTTGAGACAGGGTTTCGCTCTTGTTGCCCAGGTTGGAGTGCAATGGCGCGATCTCTGCTCACTGCAACCTCTGCTTCCCGGGTTCAAACAATTCTCTTGCCTCAGCCTCCCAAGTAGGTGGGATTACAGGTGCCTGCCACCACACCTGGCTAATTTTTTGTATTTTTAGTAGAGGCAGGGTTTCACCGTGTTGGCCAGGCTGGTCTCAAACTCCTGACTTCAAGTGATCCACTGGCCTTGGCCTCCCAAAGTGCTGGGATTACAGGCGTGAGCCACCGCGCCTGGCCTGAACCTTCTAACTTTATCCCTCTTGCACCTTAGCCTCTCTTTCATGTTTCCCATCCTTTATTCTCCAGATTTTATTCATTTCTTTGGATTTATCTCTCATTACCGTTTTTCTTATCAGTCATGTCTTATCTGTTATAAAGAAAGTCCACTGAATTTTCAATTTCAATTATTATATCAACTTTAAACATATTAAACAAGTTATTCTGTGCCTGATATGTCCAATATATAAGGTATTTGTGAGTTTATTTCTTGTTTTTTTTTTCCTGATGAATTTCATCAGTGATGTCTGTTTTCCTTGAATGTTAGTGAATTTTGCCTGATTGTTCTGGAAGATTTTCTATGTGGGAATTCGTTGAGGCCTAAGTTGAAGCGGTGTTCTTCTAGAGAGGATCTGCCCCTCCTTCTCAGTCACCAACCTGGAACCATTTTATTTTATTTTACTTTTTATTTTTGTAGAGACGAGTTTTGCTATCTTGTCCAGGCTGGTCTCAAACTCCTGGTCTCAAGAGATCCTCCTGCCTTCACCTCCCAAAATGCTGGGATTACAGGTGTGAGCCTTCCAGGTTGAGTTTTTCTGTGCCACTCAGGAAGCGTGAATTTAGACTGCTGGCTTGTGCTTTCGAATTCTCAGAAGGAGGAAAGGGATTTATTTTTCCCCACCTCCAGTTCAGCGTAGAGACAAGCAAGTTTTCTTTCTGCCTCCTTCTGAATATCAGGGTTTACTGCTCGTTCATCCTTGCTTTAGGACTATGGCCTTTAGCAGTCCAGATAATTATGGGGTCTCCTATGAGATCCCCCTTTGGGCAGACCCTAAGGTTAATCTTTTGTCCTCTGAACTCTATGTAGTTATCAAAGAAGACACTTAGCATCTCCAGGGTTCAGCCACACTTTGGGGACATAAGTGGACTCTTACACTAGCCTACCTTCCAAGATTCATGTGTTCATTCCCTTTGGGGCTCTGCACATTTCTTAATTTGGTGCCAGCTCAGTAATGCATTTAAATTAATGTTCTTTCAACATTTAATCTTTTTTTTTTTTTATTTTTAGTCATGAGGGTCACTTAGGGTATCTAATCAGCCACACTTCTGGAAATGGAGTCCCCAGATCTATTCCATAGAAGTTGGTTAGTTTCTGCTAGGTGCTAAGCCTAGCGTTTTAATAATGGTGTAATTTAAATATTGACTAGTTCTATGAGCTATATGCAAGTTGCTACTTAAAATTAGAAAAAATGATTCCTTTTTTTTTTTTTACCTAACATCAGAATTTAATTAGGCACACAACTGAGACTTATTTGGGGGAATGTTTGAGTGGCAGAAAGCTTCTACAATACTGGAATTAGATCTTCACATTTTAAATCAGTCCAAACATTCTTCACTATTTCCATTGCTGAAACAGTGGGAAGCTTGGAATGGGTTTTATAATGCAATCATTCTTCCAAATGCATAACATGGCACCAGTCCGAGCACTTGTAACCATCTCCAAAATGAGCAGAATGAGTCCAAATTCTACTGTAACAGTCTGACCTGTGGGAAAATGATTTGTTGATTTATAGGGATGGATGAAGACCATTAAAGTTATTGTTCAAGTTTATTCTGCAAATTGTCTTTTCCTTTCCCTCCCTCCTGCTTCTTATTTCTACCTCTTTCCACAGTATATCATATTTTTATAAAAGTCACTGATTTGGAAATTCCATTTAGAGATCAATAACCACATTCATAAGTCAAGAAAGATAAAATAACACATCCCAGATAGTTATTTTTCAGAATTAGAATTTTCTCTTGTATAAGGAATTCGTTTCTAAACAGCTCTTCTATGATTATAAATCTAGTAGGCAATCCGATTAGGAAAAATGAAAAAAAGAAATATTTTATAGTAAGTCTCTGCAAATGGGAAATGCACAGACGTAATTAATGCTAATAGTATTCTTTTAGATCCTTTTTTCTTTTTTATTCTTCTGCATGCCTGTGAACTCACTACTAACCCATTACTCATAACTTGGATTCTAGCTCATTGAAGAAAATAATGAGCTGTGTTTAACAATGAGATTCTATTATTTGCAATGCTGCATGGGCAACATCAAAAAAGAAAACAAATAATCTTCAATAAATTCAGCCTAATACTCTGAGTATGGCTTCAATGTTTGGCTGCTGAAAATTCTTCAATTGATGATGAAAAGTCTCACATAAGCACCTTTATTATTGCACTCCCACAGACAAGCTTCGTGAAGTCTCTGGGATCGGACTTCTTCCTCCCTGTTGAAAATGTGCCTTCCTGCACTTCAGTGAGATAAACTTATGACCTAAATTCTGGGCCTGGAAGACGAGGAATCTTAGAATTTCTTTTTCCTTTGGAAATGATCACAAAGTTATTCTGTAGGAGAAATGTCCTCTTAGCGTTTGCCATTTGAATATCCACTCTTGCAACTAAAAGACAATGCCCCTTAGGGATCCTGGGTATCAGTGAATTTTCCACATTTGGCTTGATTTCCTAACAGTTTAGAGGTAAATAGCAATGCCTGGCTCTCTGCTGAGTGAGAATCATACTAATGATCGACACTTGCTGAGCATTTACCTCTCTTCCTAAGTGTTCCCTCTTTCTATTCGCAACAACCAGAAAAGGCAGCTGCTATTATCCTTATCTTACAAAGGAGGAGCTGAGGCCAGAGAGGTTCAGGTTGTTCAGTTTGTAATCTTAAGGTTGGAGGGCGGGGGCGGGGCATGGTGGCTCATACCTGTAATCCCAGCACTTTGGGAGGCCTAGGCGGGCAGATCGGATCACTCAAGGACATGAGTTTGAGACCAGCCTGGGCAACATAACAAGACCCTGTCTCTACAAAACATACTAAGAATTAGTCGGGCTTGGTGGCATGTGTCTGTAGTCCCAGCTACTCAGGAGGCTGAGGTGGGAGGATTTCTTGAGCCCGGGAGTTTGAGGGTGCAGTGAACTGTGATTGCACCACTGCACTGCAGCCTGGGCAACAGAGAGAGACCCTGTCTCCAAAAAAAGAAAATGTGGAAGGGACCCCCATTCCCATTGAAGGAAGTCATTTTACAATCTCCCTGACAAGCCTTTGGACTCAGCCTGAAAACCTTTAGAGACAAGGAGCTTTGACAGGTGTAGGAATATCATGGGGCAAGTGATGGCATCCCAGCTGGGTGCTGCTGTGGGCAGTGGGTGTCTTAATACACCAGCGGGCAGGCTCAGGGGCCCCTGAGGACAGGATGAAGCCCCAATTCCTGACTCCCTACATCCCACCCACCCTCATCCACCCCTCCAAAGACGAAAAGGGTGTCATGGACCAAATATTGTTGCTTGTTTGTTTATTTGTTTTAAGCTCCATTCAACCAGGCACTGAAAGAACTCTGAGCCTTATGAGCTCACCCCCAGGGAGGACATAATGATTGGGCAGGGAAGAAAAGTTTTGGGTAACAGCAATCAGTCTGGAATTGGCACTGATTCACTGCAACATTTTCTGAAGCACTAATTGCCTGAGCCCTTTCCCTGCCTCCTCTCAGCCTGACCACCTGGCCAAGAATTAATAACCACCTGGCCAAGAGGGGCTGGCCCTGGCCACCTCATTGTTCACCCTGCCCCCTGGTTGGGGTCCATGGGGAGTGAAGCAGCCCCTGAAATGCAATGGATCCTGCACAGAAGCTGCATAGCGGCCCGTGAGCACCCTGCAGGGAGCTGCAGTCCTCTCTGTGTTTGATTTTTCTCAGGCGCTGTCACCCAGGTGCTCTCAGATATGCTGTGTCATTTTGAGGGCTTGGGCACTGAGCAGATTTACTGAAAGGCAATAATCATGAAGAAGAAAATGAAAATAACCTTGATTAAAGGCATGAAAAAACTCTCCACTTTCATTCCTCTTTTTATTAGTCCTTTAGGTATCATCATTTTCCACTGTGAATAAGATTTCCTGTAGCAACCAGCATCCAGGAGGCCAAGATCTCCACTTAGAACTGGTTTACCTTAAAGGATGTAACATTTTGAATATGTCAAGTTTACTGCTTTTGGCATGGTGCGTGGGTTCTCTCTGAAATGTAAACTGGAAGTTGTACCTCTAGAAATCTTCTCTCACCACTGAGCAAAGCTCTGCTGCTGAGATGTGCTAAGGCTAGGAGTTCCATAGAATGTTCTCTTTCCATTTACCAGTATCATTATCCCAGGTTTATTAATTAAGTTCTGTCTGCACACGATGGTGTCCCTTGATAATAGTTTTACCTTCCATTTAGGAAAAGGTGCCAGAGTTTTTCTTTGGGATACCCTAATTTGTAAATTATTTGCTGAAGATAATAACACAAGGATTTGGCAACAAGCAATGGTTTGGGAAAGGCTGATAGACATGGTTTAGTCAACTGAGCATTCCGGAAAATGTTTGGCAACGTCGTTTGAACCAATTTTCAAAGAATTGGGGTTCCAGATATAGCAAAATTGTGTCAAAAACCATGCAACCATTTGTGGATAAAATCAGGAAGTGTTTGAGGAGCTTGCTGTGAAAAGCAGCTGTCATTGCACATGAGAATAGGTGGGGAGTCAGCCAATGCAAGAAGGTACATGACTGTTCAGAACTTAGTGAGGTCATCAAGAAACTATCATTTGATGAGGGAGACATTTTGGGAATCTTGGAGAAAAGCAGTCAGTCATCTAGTCATCTTAGATTTCATAATAGCAAGAACAGGATGCAGTTTGCAAAGGAACAAGCCATTCCAGAGAGTGGGATGGGAAGTCAGAGCCTGGAAGCTGCACAACAGGAGGGGAGCAGGAATGCCAGGGGGCTCCCAGGGAAAGGCTGTGGAAGAAGTGGAAGAGCAGTCAGGGCCCCAGGAGCATCCTACAAGGAGAAACGTGGAAATTTGGATGTTTAGTGGGGCCCATCTAAGAGCCAGGCTCCAGACCCTGGAGGCTCCAGCCTCCCGGACAGGAGAGGGGAGGACAGGAGCAGAGACACTTGGCCAGGTTTTGGGACACAGATGCAGGCATGAGGCAACCCTGGGAAAGGAGTACGGTTGGTGGAAGGGGCACTGCCGGGGTCAACCAGCTTGATACGAAGTGCCAGGGAGTGAGTACGTTCCTAGGAAGGTGCCCAGTGGGTGCAGATGAACGAGTGATCATGAATACTATAGTCGGTTTCCAGGACAGTGAAGAGTCAGGCCTGCCTTGGGGTAGAGGCTTGTGCCATGTTGTGCTGTTGTCTGAAATGCTCCCTGCCATTGTTGCAAAGGCTCAGTGTGACCTCTGCAACCTTCGCTGCTGAAGTGGGCCTTCAGTAGGGTCAGAAAATCAGGCACATCATTACAGAGAGAAGAACACCAGTCACTACCTAAGGCAGAGATCAGAAACTCAAATGTCTACAACGGCCAGGCAGGTACAGAAAATGCGTGAAGCATGCAGATGTATGCAATGGTAGGAAGAGGTGGGAGCAAACAGGGAGCTCAGATTCAAACTTCTGTAAATAACACATCCGCCAAATCAAATGTGTGTAAGCTGGGCCCAGACTGGGGCTGTAGGCCACAGTTTACAATGCCTAGTTTCCACTGGGCCCAAGATTTAGGAAAAGAAAGTTCAAAGATTGAATACAAAGATGCTCCATGCCAAGACTAGCAGTTCTAAAAGGAGAAGTGGAAGGACTTAGCCAACAATATAACCACAAATGAACCTGTAAAGGACAAAAGAGGGAAGAGATCTAAAGAAACCATGTGATTAGAGACGTAGCTCATCTACAAGTTCATAGTTTCAGTGGGCAGGCGAAAAGGAGGGAAGCAAGGGAACCTGACCAAGAATGAATATGACAGAGTGGCCTAAACCTATAAAAGTCAAAGAAGGGCAAAGGTTTGGTCTGAATTCAGACCTGCAAAGATCCCAAAGGCATGACAAAGGCATTTAAAGCCATAACAGCAAGAAAAATAACGAGCAGATTCTTTGCTTGTGGCTAGGAGTAAGAGTAACAGAAGATACAGAAAGCAGATACAGATGGAAGTGCCCATTCCTGTTTTACTTCCCTCTTTACACTTAGGAGAATATTCTCCACATCTAGTGTGGAGAAATAGAATCCCACATCGTCAAGCAGGATGAGGCCTAAAATAGGAAAGGACATAGCAAGCCCCCACTCAGCAATGGCTCCTTTTTCCAGGAGCACAAGAGTTGCCGTGTGGCACCCACCTCCACACTCTGCTCTAACCAGGCACCTGGGTGGTGTCTGAGGATGAGTGAAGCAGGTGAGAAGGCCCCTGGCACATGGGCCTGGGCCACAACCAGGTCCCCAGAACCCTTTTTATGCCTCTCCAGGCTTGGAGCCTTTTCTTCCTGAGACCTGCCCAGCCTTGGCCCTGTCACAGTCACTCCCTTTGTTCGACCTGTCACACGTGTGAGGTTTTGGACTTGCCTGTTCTGTGATCCAGTGGGGGACCTGTGCACCACACAGTTCACCTCTACTTACCTCCGGCTGCCCATGGGCACGGCGGCAAGCTTGTGAAAACTGCCGAGGCTGGCCTGCCACCCCACACGTTGACGCAGAACCTCTCAAGTTGGGGACTGGGCCCCAGTCTTTTAATTCAAATATGCCGTCAGGGTTGGAGACACAGAGGAAAGCAAGCTGGGTGTTAGTCAGAAAAAGTGGTCCAGATCATATTTGCCATGTATGCAACTTTAGGAAAGTCAATGAGGCTTTCTGTTACTTTCTCCATTGGTAAATTGAATAAGAACAATGACCTTGCCTATTTTAAAAGGTTTTGTCATGAGGTCAGCTGAGATAGCGTAAGTCAAAGTCATTCATGGATTGCATCATGCTATTATTATAATGTTTATGTATTTCTTAGTACCTATAAACAGAGAGAGAAAAGAACAAATGAAGTTAAGTAATCATTGTGATGAAAAAGGGTATCATGGAGCAAAAGTGGCATTGTTCAGGCCTCTTTCTTCCATTTTTGCACACCAGTGGAAGTATAAAAGGTAATGTATGCATGGAGAAAATAAAACCAAGAACAGTTAGATCCCCTTTGTGGAGAAGATTTTAAACATATTCTATTGTTTCTAGAGAGTGAATGACCCTAGGATAAGTACAGAGTGTTAACACCACGGTGTCTTGCCATAGTTAAATATCACAAAATGTGTTCAGGTGTGGCAAGACGCTTCACTTCGGATTTTACAATGGTCCTCACTTTGTGTCTCAATATGAAGCACATCTTAAAGCTGACAGCTTCTAATATTTCATGTTTCTTCTTTTGGGATCAGGTAAAGTTTAACTGTTAAAATGAAGATATAAGAATTCTTATTTTGGCAGTAGCAAGGAGGACTAAAAAGACTCCATAATTTAAAAATACATAATATGCCCAGATCTTGGTTTCTAAACACCATTCCCCAGTAAAAGGAACTAGGGCTCCTTGCAGAAACAGTTGATTCCAGGTATAGGACAAAAAGAGCCCATCATGAGCCTGGAACATAGTATTGTGTTTAAAGAATGATGGAGGTATGTCAAAAAGGACACAGGAGCCAGCTTGAAATGGGTCCCACTGACCAAAAATCTGGGACATTTTTGAGCATCAAAATATACAATGACATTAACAGATGATAGCCTGGTGAACAGATGATAGCCTGGTGAGCAAAACAGGAACACATGAGTCCACATTCATATAAATAAATTTCAAGGGAGAAGACAAAGCTTCCTTACAATGGAGTACCAATTAATGAATGTGGAATGAGTGACAGGGTTCGTAAAATCCCCGTTTTACAACTATCATAGTAATAATTGATTCAAGCAAAAGTTTCCATGTATGCTTAGGATAGCAAGTAAAAGTTTGATGAGGAAAAGGTTATTTATATCATCTAAACATGCCTCCCCCCAAATTACTTATTAATTACAGAAGGAAAAGCAATCATTTACCATGGAAAAACCTGACAGATACCACCTAAAACCAAGGCATTTAAGTTAACGCACTCCACGTCAATTCAATAGAAAATGCTGTAGGCTCCATCTTCAAAACATATCCAGCCAAACTGCCCTCACCTCTCAAGAAGAGGTCGCAGTTCACCCCCGTCAAGGGTGTCCCTGCTTCCCCTTGTGGATCTAGAATCTATTGTCAGCACAGCAGCCAGAGAGATCTTGTTAATATGTGAGTCAGGCGGTGTCACTTCTCAGCAAAACCTGCTTCTGCCCCATCTCACCGACAGGCAAAGCCCAAGTCCTTGCAATGGTCTCAGGCCCTCAGGGTCTGGCTCCTGCATCTCCAGCCTCCCATTACTGTGGCCCTTTTGGACTCTACATTGCCCTCCTTGCTGTCCCCTTAATGTATCTGACATGCTCGCATCTCAGGGTCTTGGTACTTGCCGTTCATGCTGCCTGGCCCCTCCAGATATTTGTAGAGCTGGTTCTCTCTTCTTTGAGTCTTTGTTCAGAGGTAATCTCTTCAATGCAGCTTTCTGCAGAAACTGTTTAAAATCACAACTTCAGTCGTTTCCATATCTTGGCTATTGTGAATGCTGTAATAAACATGGGAATGCAGATATCTCTCCCACATACTGATTTCATTTCCTTTGGATATATAGCGAGAAGTGGGATTGCTGGATCATATGGTCGTTCTATTTTTAATTTTTTGAGGAACATCCATAATGTTTTCCATAATAGCTGTACCAATTTACATTCCCATCAACAGTACACAAGGCTTCCCTTTTCTCCACGTTCTCGCCAACACTTGTTATCCTTTATATTATAACAGAATTGTGATTATATATATAAACACACATAATGGAATGTTGTTACCCCTTTAAAAAGGAGATTCAACCATTTTTGACAACATGGATGAACAGGAAGGATATTATGCTAAGTGAAATACACCAGACACAGGAAAAAAAAATACTGTGTGATCTCAGTTATATGTGGAATCTTTAAAAGTCTAATACATAGAAACAAAGAGAAACAAAGAGTAGAATGGTGGCAATCAGAGGTGGTGGAGTGGGGGAAATGGGGAGAATTTGTTTAAAGGGTACAAAGTTGCAGTTATATAGGATGAATAAGTCTAAAGACCTAATGTTCATTGTGATGATGATAGTTAATTATACTATATTATATACTGGAAATTTGCAAAGAGAGATTTTAGGCGTTCTTGCCTACACACAAAAAGGAAACTGTGAGGACATGAATATGTTAATTTGCATGATTGTAGTAATTATTTCGCTATGTATAGACATACCAAAAATCACATTGTACACCTGAAATATAAACAATTTTTGTTAATAGATACATACATAAAAATAAAATCACAACGTCCCTATGCCTCCAAGCTGAGGATCTCTTTAGTCTTCCTACTGTATTTTCTTGGTATTTGCTAATACTTCCTAACATACCATGTGATTAGTCATTTATTTTTGCTAATTGTCTGTATTCCAACTAGCAGTTAATCTGGGAGAAATATATCCCCAGCCTCTAGCACATAGCAGGTACTCAATACATATTTGCTGAATGTTGAGTGAATCTATATACTAATTAAGTACCTATTCTGTCATGAGAACTATGCTAGGCATGGAATGGGATAATACAAACCCCAAAACTAAACGGAATTAAAAAGTATTTGCCATGATCCCCAGCCCTTCAGAACCTGACAGTTTAGTTAGGGAAGTAGAACCAACATAGAGGGGATTACCATAGCATCGGGTGCTAAATTCTTGGTACCTTCTGTAAATGCAATGTAAGTTCCAGAAGGCAAGTGTTCCCAGTAGTAGTCTGGGAGGGCATTCTGGAGGAGGAGAGGGGGCTGGCTTGGTTGGGCAGTGGGGAGACAGGAGGAGCCAGTGCTGAGAGTGCTTCCTCCAGAGGCAGGTGAGGGAGGCCCTGGGGAGCTCTGGAGCAGGGTCTCAAAGCATGGGTGGGTGAAGCAGTGGAGGGTTTGCTGGCTCTCAAGGGCCTCCCCTACTTGTCCTAGGCGGAGCTTCATGTCTTAGTTTGCATCCCCTGGAAGCACACCTGAGACCAAGGATTTGAGGCTGATGACACATTGGGATCATCCCAGGGAGCAGCAGGGGATGGGAAATGAGACAGGGAAGGGGAGAAAGCTGACATTGGTGCATAAATGAGGGGGAAAACACTGCAGGCACTGGGCTAGTCTGGCAGGGGCCTGCGGGAAATGGCGTGGAACAACCTCAGAGTTGTCTCCCTGAACTCCGTGATCATTTGCAAAGAGCTGCTGAGCTATGGGGCATCAGCTCCCTCTTATCTCTAGCCTGCCCCGTGCAGGACCCAAGAGACAGCCATGGGACCGACAGCTGCAGGTGACAAGGAGGGACCTCAGGTGTGATTAGGAACAGCAAGCATCTAGAGGCTGAAGGCCAGCACCAAAGCATCGGCACCCTGCAGTTCATGCATTTTATAGCAAGTAGAAAGGTTAAGCTGTGGAAACCATAAGCATGATTTTTTTTTTTAATAGAGGGGAGTAAGAATTCTTTTTGCACCACCACAATGCTTTGCCCAATTTAGAATTCCTACAAAACCTACTTCCTAATTCTTGTAATACTTTGTAAAGACATGAAGACAGTTGTCACATCTAGTAAAGTGGACTCATGGAAGCCGCTGATCGCCGCCATTGTAGTTGAGTCACTTACCAATCGTTCCTGCGAATGACTCTGCAACTGAGTATCAGTACCATCAAGCCTTTAAAAAATTTTCTCCCCCATGGAGACTGAATGCGGGGCGAAAAAGCAAAACATAAGCCATGGCCCAATTCATTTACAAGGGTAAATGACACTTGTCATTTAGTATCTAAATTCGTTGCCATAATTTCTGGGTAAAAATGTAAAGCAAAAGCCATGTGCCTCGTGCCTCACAATACATTTTGGAGACGACGTAAGTAAGCTCCCAAGGCCTCGAACAGCATTACATGGGGAGAGAAATGCCCTTGACTCAGGGCTTCTCTATGGAATCATTCCAGAGCAAATTAAAAGAGAGGGCTACACACAAGGCTTTCTACCATCGTGGCGGCCAAGGGTGTTGGCAGAGGCCAACACAGGTGAAAAGAGTGAGGACTTCATAAAAAAAGGGAAACACATCCCCACAAGAACATAACACAGGGTTTCTGAGGAACTGCCTGGCAGAGCCCTGCCTGCTGAGTGGGAAACACCCTTGAATTCTGCACGTCTGTAAAAACCATTTTCATCCGAACAGCCCCACCTTCCACCTGCTAGGAACTGGAGAACACCCAGGCACTTCTTGTTCTGGTGGATTTTTCTCTCAACTCCTAGACCTGCCAGGAACGCGGGGCAGGGGAAGCCAGCCAGGCTGGGGAAGTGGGAGGCTGAGGCATTTCAACAGCTGCTGGGGCGGGGGCGGGGGCAGGGCGGGCAGCACATTTTAATTGTCTTGGGGCTGTTACCATAGAGTTTAGTTTTGCCCCTCTAACCTTTCAAGAGAGTGGTGTGTAAAGGGATTCTCTATGGTCCTTGTTTAGGAATTCAGTGAATGAGTTGATAATTAGGACCATTTACTTAATCTGGCAGCAGAGAGGGAGAAAGGAAGAGCAACATTTTTTGTCTTTCTCTTGGACCCTCTGTGAGGCTCTGCCCGGGAATTGCCCTCCTGTCTGCAGAGTCCTGTATCTGGAGCTACCCAGAAGCCACTCCACTCCTTCCACAGCTGATGCTGGAACAAAATGGGGTTTCCCCAAAAAGAATGGCAAAGGGATGCCACTGCTGAGGACAGTCGCCTCAGCACCCCTTCCTAGGCCGGGGTTCAGGGCGTTCAGGAGGCACTTTCCCTCCAGGCAGCCACACCCAGGGCACCTCTTGGCCTGGGCTGGGCTTTCCCACCTCTGCTGATGTCTTGGGCCTTGTTATTGCCCCATCGTGGAAGCTTGCCTGCTCCTTCTCCTTTCCCGTGCATTCAGACATCTCGCTGGTGACAGGTTGTGAGCTGTTCAGGGGAAGGCGGGCGGCGGGGGGCAAGGCCAAGATTCGAGGTCAGGGCTTTTGTCTCCAAACCTAGGGCTCTTCCCATTTCACTCTGGCACCCTGCTCCAGGTCTTCCACAGAAACCACTGTATTTCTATGTTTATTTTTGTGTCAGTTTAAATTTATATTTCTAAAATTAATTTAATTTTAGATTCAGGAAGTACGTGTGTGTGTTTGTTACATGGATATATTGTATAGTGGTGGGGATTGGGCTTCTGGTGCACCTATCACCCAAACAGTGAACACTGTACATGATAGTTAATTTTTCAACCGTCGCCTTCCTCCTACTCTCCCTGGCTTTGGAGTTCCCAGTGTCCATTATTTTATTTTTATGTCCATGTTTACCCATCGTTTAGCTCCCACTTATAAGTAAGCACATGTGGTATTTAATTTTCTGTTTCAGAGTTAGTTCTTTTAGGACAATGGCCTCCAGCGCCATCCATGTTGTTCCAAAGGACATGATTTCTCTTTTTTCTTTCTTTCTTTCTTTCTTTTTTTTTTGAGATGGAGTCTCACTCTGTCACCAAGCTGGAGTGCAGTGGTGCAATCTCGGCTCACTGCAACCTCTGCCTCCTGGGTCCAAGCCATTCTCCTGCCTCAGCCTCCTGAGTACCACAGGCACGTGCCACCATGCCCGGCTAATTTTTGTATTTTTAGTAGAGACGGTGTTTCACCGTGTTGGCCGGAATGGTCTCGATCTCTTGACCTCATGATCCACTCCCCTTGGCCTCCCAAAGTGCTGGGATTACAGGCATGAGCCACCGTGCCCAGTCCATATTTCATTTTTTTTTTACTGCTGTATCGTATCCCATGTGTATATAGACCACATTTTCTTCATCCAGCCATCCATTGATAGACACTTAGGTTGGCACCATGACTTTGCTATTATGAATAGTGCTGTAATGAACACATGAGTGCAGGCGTCTTTTTTATATAATGATTTATTTTCCTGTGGGTAGATACCCAGCAGTGGGATTGCTGCGTCAAATGGTAGCTCTGTTTTTTAAATTCCATGAGAAATCTCCATACTGTTTTCCAAAGAGATTGAACTACTTTGCATTCCTATCAACAGTGTGTAAACGTTCCCTTTTCTTTACATCCATGCCAGCCTCTGTTGCTTTTTGACTTTTTGATAATAGCCATTCTGACTGGTGTAAGAGGATATCTCGTTGTGGTTTTAATTTGCATTTCTGTGATGACTAGTGATGTTGAGCATTTTTTCATGTGTTTACTGACCACTTGTATTTTTTCTTTTGGGAAGTGTCTGTTTATATCCTTTGCCCAGTTTTTCATGGGGTCGTCTGAGAAACAACTATCTTAAAAGTACAAACCCATCATCACATATTAATAGGAAAAGGAAGGGTGTTTCCCCTCACTTTCCCTATGTAGGTTGTCTTATCCAAAGTGGTTCTAATGTGTGGAGTGATTTCCAGATGGGAAAGATGGTGATGATGATGATAAGATGATGAAGAGTGCAAAGAGTGCATACTCACTGAGCATGTGCCAAGTTACAAAGATAAGCAAGTTGTAAGCACTTTTTCAAAGCCTTTCAACAATCTTATGATTTAAGTAACATCATCATCCCCATTCACAGATACAAAAGCTAAGGCCTGGTTAATTACCAAGCCCAAGGTCCCAAAGCCAAAAGGTGGCCAACCTCACCAGGGCACTTCTCACCCCACCCTTTGCTGTGTCCCATTCATGGCATAAAGGGCCTCGGGCATCTAACTTGCTCCACACAGGCAGCCACCTCTTCTCAGGCTGTGATAAGTGAAGTCCTCAGCCAATGGAGCAGTGAGAGTTAACTTAGGAAGTCCAATGAGGCGCTGAGGACTGTCCTGATCCCTTTCACATATTAGCTCATTTAGCCCTCAACAGCTCAATGAACCATGAGCGATTATCATTTCTCCCCATCATATAGGCAGACAGCCTCGGGCTCAGCCTCAGCCTCGGGTTCAGCCTCGTTACCTGCAGGGTCTGTGTAACCTACCCCAGTGTACCAGCCACAAGGGTGGGCTGGAGCCGAGATCTGGTGATCCAGCTACCACACTCACTCCTTCTGCTGCAGACTTGGCAGGTAACAGTTCTCCTTTCACTCTCAGGCTCAAAAGGTGAATGAAGGTAAAGCCAGTTTAACAGATACCTGTTTGGGTCCAAGTGTAGTGGCTCATGCCTATAATACCAGCACTTTGGAAGGCCAAGGTGGGAGGATCGCTTGAGATCAGGGGTCCAAGATCAGTCTGGGCAACATAGCAAGACTCTGCATCTAAAAGAAAAATTTTTAAATTAGCCAAATGTGATGGTGTGCACCTGTAGGCCTAGCTACTTGAGAGGCTGAGGTAGGAGGATAGATTGAGCCCAGGGATTTGAGGCTGCAGTGAGCTATGATTGTGGCACTGCACTCCAGCCTGGGCAACAGAGCAAGACCCTGTCTCCAAAAAGAGAAAAAAAAATACATAGCAGTTTAGAAACAAGACACTATTTGGATTGATTTTTTTTTTTTTTTTTTTTGGTTATTTTTTGAGGCCCTGGTTCTTTCTGGCAGGGACTTGAAAGAGAATCTACTTGATCCAGCCCCAGAAGCCACTGGGAAGCTGCTTATGGAACTGGGCAAGAGGGCAGTATAGACACCTGCTTCGCTGATAGTGCTGCTGGCAGCCCCGCCTGCTATTCCTAGCGCCTTTTGTGCTATACTGCAGGACCAAACAGAGACTCCAGCTTTGGTAATGTCATCCTATTGAGACCGGGAGTTGCCTGATGCCAGTACAAAATGTTTCCTGAACCTGCAGTTGGTGGAGACTTTCAGAAATGACCAAAGCACATCCTTCTCCAGCATGTCACTTTACATACGACACAATTTTTTTTAATTTTATTTTTCCATAAGTTATTGGGGGTACAAGTAGTATTTAGTTACATGAGTAAGTTCTTTAGTGGAGATTTGTGAGAACCTAGTGCACCCATCACCTGAGCAGTATACACTGCACCATATTTGTTATCTTTTATCTCTCGCCCCACTCCCACTCTTCTCCCAAGTCCCCAAAGTCCATTGTATCATTCTTACGCTTTTGCGTCCTCGTAGCTTAGCTTTTGTGTCCTCATGGCTTAGCTCCCACATATCATAAGATGCATAACAAGCATACGATGCTTGGTTTTCCATTCCTGAGTTACTTCACTTAGGATAATAGTCTCTAATCTCATCCAGGTCATTGCAAATGCTGTTAATCCATTCCTTTTTATAGCTGAGTAGTATTCCATCATATATATATATCAGAGTTTCTTTATCCACTCATTGACTGATGGGCATTTGGGTTGGTTCCACGATTTTGCTATTGTGAATTGTGCTGCTATAAACACGCGTGTGCAAGTATCTTTTTCAAATAATGACTTCTTTCATACGACTCAATTTTAAAGGCTGCATTTACAGTTGACATTTTCTTCAGTCATAATTCAAATTTTTCCTCTTCAGCTGTGAGCAAAGGGAAGCATTTGGGCACCACTGCCAACCTATAAGGTCCGAGGAACTCAACTCAAACACTGAGTCATGCATTTCATGGGGAGCATGGGGTGTTTCTCTACATAGACTACACAGAATCCAGGAGTGCCATCTCTCAGAGCCAGACCTGCTTCCCAGGACTCCTTCCTACCTCCCTCGGGAATCGCTCAGAGCGATTTCCTTTTCATATACTTTGGACGTTTTGTCCTGCCCCCAAATCACATGTTGAAATGTGACCTCCAGTTTTGGAGATGAGGCCTAGTGGGAGGTGTTTGGGTTATGGGGGCGGATCCCTCATGAATGGCTTGGTGCCCTCCCCATGGTAATGAGTTAGTTCACGCAGGAGCTAGTTGATTAAAAGCACATAGCATCTCTCTTGCTCCTTCTCTTACCAGGTGATGTACCTGCTCCCCCTTCACCTTCTGCCATAATTGGAAGCTTCCTGAGGCCCTCACCAGAAGCAGATGCCGGCACCATGCTTCTTGTACAGTCTGCAGAACTGTGAGCCAAATAAACCTCTTTTTAAAAATAAACTACCCAGTCTCAAGTATTCCTTTATAGCAATGCAGAAAAGACTAACACACCTTTCTTGGGAGAAGAGGACAGAAACATGAATGCCTTTCATGGACCATGAACCATGTGAGATGCTTTCCAAGTCATTGTCTTACTGTTCATAGAATTGTCTCACTAAATCCTCAGAAGTCTTTTAACCTGGGAGTTAATTATTCCCATTCTACAGACTCAGAAAAGTTAAGCAACTTATCCAAGGTCAAGCAGCTAAGAAGTGGAACCAGGCCCTTTTGGATAACATTTTCATCACACTTGTGGCCTTCTTAAATCTCTATCCCCCAAAATAATTTTGGCATACACACCTGCTCTCTGCCATTTGCCAAACACAAGGTAGGTGCTTAATTATGGCTTTGTTAGTGAATGAATAAATGAATGAATTATATATTTTTTAGTTAACACTCACTTTGCCATAAACTTCTCTGAATTCCCATATCAGGCCATTCAGCTACTCTCCAGTTGTTAGCAACTCTCCCAGATAGTTATCTAGACTGTACAATTCCTTTTGTGCAGGGTTCCAACAAACTTAGACTTTAAGTTTTCCTTTTCCACCCCCGCCTCTCAGTTGAATCTTTTGGGTTAATGCGCTTGGCTCCCACTGATCAAGTCAAAGCTGACAGGATTGCAGACCTGGCGAACCTCCAAATCTCCAGTTCCAGAAATAGATTATGAAATAAGCAAGGGTGTAAGACAGTTATAATCCTGATGCTATTAATACCCAATGAATGGAATTCTTAACACCCGCCATTGTTGGTCAACTATCATGCAGCATCATTCCTGCACTTTAGAATTACAGAAACATTGAAAATAACTTATCCACCATTTAAGATCCCTTGAATTGCTCATAAACACATTGTCTAAGCCCTGGCAAACCTCAGTTTCCCACTATTACGTGTGCTGTATCTACTCTTTCATTCTGAGGGATGGATATAAGTAGTGCAGTGTTTGCTCTGTTCAAGATTCCATAGTTCTGCACCACAAAGTGTTCTCTAAGTCCAGCGTTTCCAAAAACATATGTTTCTACAGAAATTTTTCCTTTACCTCAAAATAAGAGAAAGGGAAAAAATTCTTTCTGCTCATGGCCCAGATTAACCATGAATTGCTAACATTTCCTTGTGAGAGGATGGGAACATGGAATAGTTAAAACTGAAAATAGCTACAATAACCCAGCTATAAATGTATCCTACACTCTTGGGTTTTTGAGGCTTAAAGAAGTTAAAAATGAAAGAGAAAAATTTAACTGGATTAATTTTTCTAGGAGTATGTATTTCCGCACATCCATTAGTAAATATAAGAATGGTATTAGGGTATCCCAATCATTATACAATGTTTATTGGACAGACGTGATTTTCAAATGGTGTTTTAGAATTGAGCTTCTCGCTTTCACCATGGAGAACACAGTGCTTCTTTACCCTGGTAAGCTTCTCCTGAAAAAAGGCAATGTTTTTCACATATATCCAAGAAAACTTTCACTGACAACATCAATAATTAACTTCTATTCCTTATTTTTATCCCCTGAGAAGGGTACATTTAAGGGAAGATTGTCAAAAGACAAAAAGGAAATCTAGGTAGTGGTGACATCACAGGACTCTAGGACTTCCCTAGAGAAGATGCCTCTTGAGGTTTGAAACACATTAGGTAGACTAACTCCCAAGATCAAACTTATCAATATTTGATAAGTGCTGAAGCTGACACACACAAAGCTAGGAGAAGCTCATCTTGCCTTCCTGGCTGCAAAACAATGACAGCAAAGATCTACAGTCAAGCTATGATCCATTTGAGTGTGTGTTCAACTTTACTTAAATTCATTCATTCATTTATTTTTTCTTTTATTGATTCAACAAACTTATTAAATGCTACACAGGGCACTTTCCTAGGTGCTGGAGGTATAGCCAGGAACAAAAAAACTCCCTGCCTCAATGGCATTTATATTTTAGTTGGTGAGGGAAATAATTATGCATGCATATGTAGACAGACACACATATAAATACACACATGCATATATATACTGTATGTATCCATACATACATTTAATATACGTATATAATATATTACATAATTATTATATATTACATCAATATATTATATACAGCCACGGCTCACTTAATGATGAAGATATGTTCTGAGAAATGCATCATTAGGCCATTTTGTCATTGTGCGAACATCACAGAGTGCACACAAACCTAGATGGTCTAGCTTACTACACATCTAGGCTGTGTGGTGTAGCCCATAGCTTCCAGGCTGCATACCTGTACAGCATGTAGCTGTCCTAAACGCCATTAGGCAACTGGAACACAATGGTAAATATTTGTGTATCTAGGCATATGTAAACATAGACAAGGTACAGGAAAATAATGATATAAGAATCTTATGGAACTAATGTCCTATATGTGCCCGTCCTTGACCAGAATGTCATTATGGGGCATAGGACTGTACTAGTATATAATGTATTATATGTAACTGAATAATATTACATATATAAAACTCAGATAATGATACATGCCATGGAAAAAATATAAGGTAAAGCGAAGAAGCAGGGGTGGGGCAGAGCAGGAGGTGCTTTTTCTTTGTGTTGGAGGGTGTCAGGAACACCACCTTGATCAGAAATCTGGAAGGAGAAGGGAACAAGCCACACCAGCCTCTGGGGAAGACTGTTCTAGGCAGAGGGCACAGTCAGTGGACAGAGGCTCTGAGGGAGAAAGGTGCTTGGTGAGTTTGAGAAGCCGCCAGGAGGTCCGAGGCTAGAGCAGAGTGAGCCCAGGGCGTGTCTGCAGATGAGGGCAGGGGCCTCAGGCCATTTTTTACAGCACTTGAAGGCCCCTGAGAGAAGTCTGGCTTTTACCTGAGTGAGCTGAGAGGTGATTAGAGTGTGATTAGCTGAGGAGCAACTTAATCTGACTCACTAAAACCAAAATGAAACAGAAATCTTCCACTGCCCAGTAGAAAATAGACTGCACGTTCCCAAAGGCAGGAGATGGGAACCCAGTTAGAGACATTTTGCAAAAATCCAGACCAAAGATGGTATCTGGTGCTACCAATAGGTCAGGTAAGATGAGGGCTGGAAACTGATGACTGGATTTAGCCTTGGGGGACCCTTGGTGACTTGGACAACAGCAGTTTCAGGGGAGAGGAGAGGACAAAAACCCTACTGGAGTGAGTTCAAGAGAAAATGGGAGGAGGAGAGGGGTGCAGACATCTCTCAGGGGGCAGAGGAGTAGGGCAGGGACAGAGGGGGATGTGGGGCCCAGAGATGGTTCTTCTAAGACAGGAGAAATAGCAGGATGTCTGTATGCCAATGAGAGTGATCCAGTGGAGAGTGAGAAAAGTGTTTTCATGGGACCAAAGGAGACAGAAGCAGGAGATGTGACTGGTGAGTCTTCCCTGCAACGGGGGGGCGGAACTTCCATAGATGCCCTCACCAGTGGTTCACAGCTATGGGAGGGAAGACGTGTAGGTGGGTGAGCGGGTGTGTAGGGTCGTGGGGATTTAAGGAAGTCTTCTTCTGATCATCTGTTTTCTCAATGGAATAAGAAATAAGGTTACATACACACAAAATCAGCAGAGAGTGAAGACAGAGAAAAAGAATTTGGTTATTTCCAGAGAGAAGACAATTTGTGAAATAGTCTCCTAGGAAAGTTAGAGAGGGAAGGATCATGAAATCCCAGCAAGAACTTCCTGGCACACTAAGATCCCACGTGATATTAGAGTCAGGGACTGAAAGTGAGACCAATCAGATTGGCTGTGTGTTGTTTTCAACCATGTTCAACTAGCAGATTCAAGTACAAGATAGGAAGAGGGTTGGATTTAATTGAATTACTCTGCAGTTGAGAGCTGCAGGTGAGTGATTCCAGCACTTGGTCATCGAATCTGAGCTGCTCAAGTAGGAAAAACAGAGGGGAGTCGAATGAGAGGCAGTAAAAAGGTTATAGGATCAATGGATTGCAGGAGTTAGTGGGATCAAAATGTTATCAGAGTTGGGTACTAGAGGAAGTAAATTGCAAAAATAGAGTGGGTTGCATGAAGGCAACCTTGGCCTCATCTGCTAATGAAAGGAAGGTGTATGTGTTTCCTCCTGCTGCTGTAATGGATTATCATAATTTATTGGCTTAAAACAACACAAATGTGTGATTTGTAGTTCTAGAGATCAGAATTCTGAAATGGATTTCACTGGGCTGTAATAAAGATGTTGACATGGCTTTGTTCCTTTCTGGATATTCTAGGAAGAATCCATTTCCTGGTCCTTTCCAGGACATAGAAGCCAACCACATTCTTTGGCTCATGGCCGTCTTCCTCCATCTGCAAATCCAGTGATAGCGGGTAGAGTTATCCAGAACAGCCTTCTGACCTCCATTTCTGCCTTCCATATTTAAGGACCTTTGTGATTACACTGGGGCCACCTGAATAATACAGCATAGTCTCCTTACTTAAGGTCAGCTGATTAGCAACCTTAATTCCATCTGCAACCTCAATTTCCCTTTGCCATGTAATGTAACATTTTCACAGATTCTAGGGATTAGAAAGTAGACATCTTTGGTGAGGGTTGGAGGGGGGGTCCGTTATTCTGCCTACAACAGAAGGATTGTAGTTATTGGTAAAGACAAGGTCTAGGTTTGACCATGGGAGGTGGTGGCTAAAGTGGAGTGGAGGACAAGATCACTGGAAAAGTGAAGGTCCAGGAATAAGGAGCCAGGATATTAGAAGCAGCATCTGCAAGAATATTGCAGCCACCAAGAATTATAGTAGGAAGAGTACTGGGGACAATGGTAATTAATGAGGACTTAAAGTTGCCAAAGAATGGAGAGTAATGAACAGGGGATAAAGACATTTTTATTAACAAACTATTGGGTGAGAGGTGGTATTGGAGATCAATGCTGCTGAAGTCAGTCAAGGGAGAAGACGTTTTCCAAGTTCTGCTGCTCTAGAATAAGATTCAGGAAAGGTAATAAAAATGATGGGGAATTCTGGAAGTGCAGAATTTCCTTATCGCATCTCTCAACATGGGCTATCATATCCATAAGGTATTGTTTTTAACTTTTCAAAACTTTGACACATCTATTATCTTCATATATGTTCATTACATCTGTGAGATGGAAATAGAAAAGTTTTTGTCCCTCTTCCATGGTTTGGAAAATAAGATGTTAATTGATGGCAAATAAGTGAAAACATTAGATCTGTCCTGTGCCCATTTAATTACTCAGCTGAGTTATTGAAGATATTGTGAAGAATATAATGAAGCATATCATATAATTACATTCCTCCAGGAGACTAGACTCTTGGGTCAAAAATCCCTTTGAGAATCTGATAACAATAATGAATTTTGCCCCTAAAAAGGCACATTGGTGCATACACAAAATTTTACATATAATTTTATGATATAACCAATTTCCCTAAAGTCCCAAGGGAGTCTACACCTCTCAGAATCAGAACCTCTTGTCTGAATGTTGAGGTAAAACTACAGTTGACCCTTGAATAACACTGGGGTTAGGGGCACTGAGTCCCGCTGCAATAAAAAATCCATGTATAACTTTTGACTCTTCAAAAACTTAATCACTAATAGCCTACTGTTGACCGGAAGGCTTACTGATAACATAAACAGTCAGTTAACACATATTTTATAGGTTATATGTATTCTAGACTATATTCTTACAATAATAGAAGCCAGAGAAAATAAATTGTTATTAAGAAAATCATAAGGAGAAGATAATATGTTTACTATTCATGAAGTCGAAGTGGATTATCATGAAGGTCTATATCTTCTTGGTCTTCACGTTGAGCAGGCTGAGAAGGAGGAGAAAGAGGAAGGGTTGGTCTTTCTGTCTCAGGGGTGCCAGAGATGTAAGAAAATCTACATATAATAGGATCCATGCAGTTCAAACCCATGTTGTTCAAGGGTCAACTGTAAAGACAGTAGAAATTGCCTAACAGTGTAAGTTACAAGAGAAATTATAATCAGGTGCCAAATGGGTGATATGGAAAATTAGTTATAAGTCCAGAAAAGCAATGCATCACTCAACTTGGGAATAATTATGGAAAAACTGTAGAATCTTGAAGACAGGAGATGATTCCATGGAAAAGAGGAGGAATGGCATTTAAGGTAAGAAGATGGAGAGAAGCTGGAAATTAGGTTGGAATGTTTCAGAGCCAGTGACTAGGCCAATTTAACCATCTGTGAAATGTGGGCAAAAATGACTTCCAAGGTATAGTTGTAAAAAATAATTAAAGCTCTTGATGAAATGTGTCCCTCAAAACATTATTAATATGATACATGGGTCTGTTTCAGGATGAGCAAGGCATAAAATTATTATTATAATTGATTTAGCAGGAATTTCTAAATTTGTGCTAACACTTACAAGGTCTCTCTATCTTTAAAATAAAATACTGAAGCAGAAAAAGTAACTTTCTCATATTCTCAGTCAGAAGGTTCTCATAAAATTATATAACAGCTACTTGAACCATACATTTTTTCCTGTGATTTTTATGTATTTTACATGTTTTTAGCTCTTTAAAAAAACTGACTTACGAAGATAAAACAAAGGCTCTTCTTTATAACTGGGATAAATAATGCTTCCCTTATTTCAAGAGCGGGTGTGAGATCCCAAACCCTGTTTTTCTCAACCTTCTTTTGCTCTCTACAAAATGTAAGCTGCCATGTGGAAGAGAGTAAGTAAAAATATCAATACATTGCAGCTACTTGGACAGCATTTAGAGAGAGTCAAATGTTTTAAGAACACTTAATATTAAATGGAAAATAGATGAATGATGATAAATAATTCTATCTATAGGTCTGAGTTGCCATGTTGGAATCTAAATCTGAGACATTGCAGGGAAAATCCTGTGCACGACTCATCGGAGGGCTGAATTACACCAAAATGAGATCCAGGTTAAGAATGTGGAGACTGGAGCAATCCCCTAAAGCAGTTTTTTCTGAGCTATATTCCCCTTGGCAATGTAGACATGCAGAATAATCACGAGTATCCTGGAACCGTAGAGTGGTAGGACTGGGCAGAACCTAACAGTTCTCAAGTCTGACTCTAACGGATGCTGGGGTTTCCTCTCCAGCACACCTGCCTCTTCCCTGAATAAGCATATCTGGAGACAGGCAAAGTCAGAGGTGTGCTGGTAAATGCTTATCAGCTAATCTCCAGAGAAAAAAAAGGACCCTGACTGGTAGCATTTGCCAAGATCCGAGGTGTAAATACTCCCACCGTGGCCAATTCAAGCAACTAATGTTATATCAACATTATGTACTATTTCCACTGCACAGATACGATGGCAGTAAATAACCTCAGAGGCATATATAAGAAGACAACATAGTAAAATGATCTGGAAGTGGTAGATTTTAAATGTTTTTACCTTTTTGGAAATATTATTTATTTAATTATAATGTAATAAGATTTAACTTATAAGAAGGTTGTATAACATATAACACATAATAAATTGGCACTCATGAGCCAGTACATGCTAGCTCTGGCACACACTGATAATAGCCCTGGAAAATGACCCTGGACCACCTTCCCCATGAAAGAAAACCCCTTAGTAGGTCCTGATCAATGGAAACTCCCCAATATCACTACCCAAGCATTCAGCACATTTTTTTTTTCTTTTAAGAGACACGGTCTCTCTGTGTTGCCCAGGCTGTAGTGCAGTGGCGCAATCACAGCTCACTGCAGCCTCAATCTCCTGGGCTTAAGGGATCCTCTCACCTCAGCCACACCCAGCTAATTTTGTAATTTTTTGAAGAAATGAGGTCTTGGTTTATTGTCCAGGCTGGTCTTGGATTCCTGGCCTCAAATGATCCTCCTGCCTTGGCCTCCCAAAACACTGGGATTACAGGCATAAGCCACCGACTGGTGTTCAGCACTTTTAAGCCAGGCTTGTCTTCTTTTCTTCACTCTCATTTCTTTGTAGTTTCTTCAAACACAACAAACACCAATAAACTCCAAATGAATTAATGATGTAAATGTAAAAATGAAAGAACTAAGAGAAATACAGATGGATATTTTTATAAAATTGGAGAATAGACTTCTCAAGCATCACATAAAATTCAGAAACCAAGAAAATAAATGAATAGAATTGATTTAATAATGTAAAACACTTGTATAAGAGAATATTTCAGTATTAGTAAACAAAGTTAAAGAAAAGTCACAGAATGGGAGGACGTATAAGAACCACACCTAACAGGTTAATAGCCATACCCTATATAAAAGCTCTTGGAAACCAAAAGGAAGAAGACCAAAAAATCCCATAGAAAAATTCGTCCAGGATAGAAACAGGTAATTCATGGATGAACCATAAATGACTATAAATATATGAATAGATGCTCAAAGAAACACACAATAAAATAATTAAACACTTATTTCACCTAACAGATTACTAAATATTAAGATGTTTGGTAAACCCATTGTTGAGGAGGTATGGGGAACCAGGCATTCAGACACTGTTGGTAGAAGTATAAGTCAGTGCAGCCTATTTGAAGAGGAAAAGACAGTAGTGTCTAAAAGACAAAAACAAAATGCACATACACCTTGACCCAGCAATTCTGTTATGATTTAAAATTTTTTTAAATGACCTAAAATATATGTACAAAAATATTTGTCACAGCATGGTGGTAACTGCATAACATTAGAAACAACTGAATGTTCTCTAATAGGGGACTGATTAAAAAACGCGTGGTGTGCCCCTGAAATGCAAGGCCACTAAAAGCTCTGTCTATGTAAGTATCAGTGTTCTCCAAGATGCAACATTAAGTGGGTAAAAGTGCCAAACATCGTGTATGTTTTTGTTGTTGTTGTTGTTGTTGTTGTTGTTGTTGTTGGGATGGAGTCTCGCTCTGTTGCCAGGCTGCAGTGCAGTAGCTGGATCTTGGCTCACTGCAACCTCCGCCTCCTGGGTTCAAGCGATTCTCCTGCCTCAGCCTCCCGAGTAGCTGAGATTACAGGCAAGCGCCACCACACCCAGCTAATTTTTGTATTTTTAGTAGAGACAGGGGTTTCACCATGTTGGCTAGGATGGTCTTGATCTCTTGACCTCATGATCCGCCCGCCTCGGCCTCCCAAAGTGCTGGGATTACAGGCGTGAGCCACCTCGCCCAGCTGCATCGTGTTTAGCATTGTTCCATTTATGTAAATGTAAAAGGATGTGTGTATATATATATTTGTATAATCATGTCTCTTTCTGGGAAGAAATGAAGGACACTATTAACTGTTATTACCTTTGGGTTAGAAGATGATGTTTACTTTTAATTTTCTTTCTTTATAAAAAGAAAGACTTTTTTAAGTATAAACTTAAAAAAACGAAGTATATGCATCAATTTTATTTAAAGAACAAAATTTACTTTTTTTCATAAATAAATAAGAGTTTCTTAGTTTTGGTTCCCCAGAAACAGACCTTGAAACAAGGATTTGAGTGCAAGCGTTTGTTTGGGTGGTCATCCTAAGAAATATCAGTGGGGTATTAAGGAAGGGAGATTGGGCAGGGGAGGGAGTGAATGAAGAGTGTGCTGTCAATCAAGTTACCACTGTGGGCAACTGGAAACTGTGATCCAGCATAAAACATGCACCTGAGTTAACCCATTAACCCACCCAGCCAAGGAGGTATTTAGCCATCAATTCCTGTGGGTCATTGATTGAAGGCTGCTCGGGGGGCCTTAACTCCATGGCTCAGACACAGACAGAACAAACTCTGCGGCCAGAGAAAGCCTCAGGCAAAGAGCTGGGACAGACGCAGGAGACAGGAGCTGGGAAAGGATGTGGGTTGGCTGCAAGGCATGTCTGCTACAGAGACCACAACCCTAGTATCAGATTATAATAAATAAACAGAACATGCATGTTTGCTGACCTAGCAATTTCACATTTAGGAATCTCCCTCCTGACGTCCTTACATACCTGGGCCCCAATCAACAATATAGAAAGATAGATTGATTGCAAAATTGTTTGTAACACAGTACAGCCAAAACAAAACCAAAAAACCAATGTGAATGTCAATCAGTAGGAAGAGATTAAATGCACCATGATGTATCCCGCATATGCAAGTCAAGAAAAACAGTGAGGTCCATCTTAGTAAATTTCATGAAAAAAAAAAATCTCTGAGACACATCACCTTGTGGAACAATATATATCATGAGACCTCATTTTTGTAAAATAGCAAAAACAAGAAAGAAGCAAATAAAAACATACACAAACTCCAGGTCAACTATATGTATGTGTATGTGTACACGGCAAAAGTTCTGAAAAAATAAACAAGTTGCCAGAGTGTGTGCAATGTAAAGTGTACATTACTGATGTTTTAATGTATTATTACATATTTTCATTTACTATAAGGACCCACATTACATGAAAAAGGGTGCTAGAAATAGTACCTATTTCATAGGTTATTGTGGAGACTGAGATAATACACGTAAAATAGCTAGCACTGCACTGCTCATAGAGTGAATCTTCAATGAATGTTTGCTGTTAAAAATGATGGCTTTACTCCATCTCAAAAAAAAAAAAAAAGGATGGCTTTATATGTCACGAAGAAACTAAGTATAAAGTGAGCCAGAGTTTGATTGTCTCTTCACACCTCACTCTATTCACTTATTTATTTGTTTGTTTATAGACTCAGGGTCTCACTCTGTCACCCAGGCTGGAGTGCAGTGGCATGATCATGGTTCACTGCAGCCTCAATCTCCTGGGCTCAAGTGATTCTCCTGCCTCAGCCTCCCAAGTACTTGAGACTACAGGTGTGAGCCACCATGCTTGGCTAATTTAAAAATCATTTGTAGAGCCGGGAGTCTTGCTATGTTGCCCAGGCAGGTTTTGAACTTCTGACCTCAAGCAATCCTCCTGCCTCAGCCTCACCGCTGGGATTACGCACCCATTTATTTAACAACTATCACTGAGGTCCTCCTACCAACTAGGCATGGAGAGGCATCAAGTGACAAGATCAAATCCCTGCTCCCTCCAGCAGGAGCTCACATTCTGCTGGGGCAAACAATGAAATAAACATGCAACATGTCAAGTGACAATCAATGCTGCCAGGTAAGGAAATGGGGTCTTGGAGTTAGGGTGCTGTCATTTATAGGAGGGTCTCTGATAGAGTGCTATTGGAGTGGAGATCCGATGAAGTCATTGGGGAAAGTGCATGGGCCTGGGCAGGTTACGGGAAGGAAGAAGAGTTCACTGAGTGAGAAGTAAAATGATTGGAGGGGGTGGTTAATCCTGGCCTGATATTTTAACATCACTGCTGCTGCAGCATAGAAATTGGATTAGCGGAGGGGAACAGGGGCAAGGTGGATCATGTGTGTGACGTTTGCCTTCACAGTAGTAAGACAATGAAGACCATGGCAGTGAGTGTGGGACTGGAAGGAATGGGATGATGGGAAAATAGTTAAAAGACGAAAACAAGAACCTGGTAATTAATTAGATGTGAGAAGAAGAAGAAAGAATTGTGAATGAGGCTTAGGTGAAATTGCTGCAGGGCACAGCTGTGAGGAGGTCTTGAAAGAAAGGGCTGCCCAGGATGGAGCCTCCAGCCTCCCATCCAGCCACTTCCCTCCTTCCAATCACATGCTTGAGTGCTCACCCTGCACCAAACACTGTGTTCCCTAGAATGTCCTTGCTCTGGGTGGCTGCTGCTATGGTTTGAATGTTTGTGCCCTCCGAAACTCATGTGGGACCTTGGTCCCTGAGGAAGAGACCTGAGCTAGCATGCCATGATGTCCCGTGCCACCTCAGGACTCTGCAGAGACCCTAGCGTCAAGAAGGCTCTCGCCAGGGGCGGCCCCTCGACCTTGGACTTCTCAGCTTCCATAACTGTAAGAAATATATTTCTGCCCGGGTATGGTGGCTCACACTTGTAATCCCAGCACTTTGGGAGGCCATGACAGGAGGATTGCTTGAGGCTTTGAGTTCAAGGCTAGCCTGGATAATAGAGGGAGACCCCATCTCTGCCAAAAAATTAAAAATTAGCTTGGCATTGTAGCACACACCTGTAGTCCTAGCTACTTGTGAGGCTGAGGCAGGAGGATTGCTTAAGCCTGCAAGTTTGAGGTTGCAGTGAGCCATGATTGCATCACTGCACTCTAGCCTGGGCAACAGGGTGAGACCCTGTCTCGAAAAAAGAAAGAAAAGGAAGGAAGGAAGGAGGAAAAGAAGGAAGGAAGGAAGGAAGGAAGGAAGGAATTTCTGTACTTTATAAATTACCCAGCTTCAGGTATTCTGTTTTAAGTAACAGAAAACAGACTAAGGCAGCTGCTTAGAGAACTCCTATTCATACTTCAAAACCCAGACCCAGCTCAGGCATCACCACCTCCAGGCAGCCTGATGCTACAGCTCGAATGAATCGTTTATTCTTCTGCATCACTTCCAGCCTCGTCCACAGCCTAGCCACACAGCTTCCCAACCAACAACAAGCAACACAGCCGTGGGTCCAGATTATAGCCCAGTGGGGAGGGGGAATAGGAAGGTCTCGAAAGAACCTGTGAAGACCCTGCACTTGGCATGTTGCAAATAGGTTGTGCTTGCACCCCTAGGCCTTGAGTTGCCCACGTTGGGCAACTGGAGCAGGTGGAGCTCCTGGCCAGTTAGCTCTCACCATGAACAGCACATCCATTTACCCAAGAGCACCACACAAATATCATCATTTTCTATATGTGCTATGTCCTGAAACAAAAAGGGGGGATGCTCTATCTGTACTAGGTGTTAAATTGGAATTATTTTAGTCTCAGTTTCAAGTGAGGCCCCAAAGAAATAGCTAGAACATTCCAAAGTGAGATGCAAGACTTGCAAAAAGTGCTTATGGAAACCAGTTTTGTAGTCTCAGCCAACCACCCACCTCCAGACTATAAAAGATGAGAGGGAAGCCAAGAATTGAAATTTACAGTAGGGAATTTTTGGAGGAAAGCCCTGCTGTGGGCCTCACCTGGAAGAAAGAATGAGGTCACTTGCCCTACCTCAAGCCAAGGTGTAGGGGTGCCTCCTGACGCTCGGGGGACACAGTGGGCTGGTGTCTGGCTGAGAAGTGGGGAGCCTGGCTTGTTGGTTGCTCTGTGGTGTTGGGGTCAGCTTGCACTCAGAATTGGGTACAAAGGACTCGTCATGCTTCCCATGAATGGTGAGGGCCATTCGGGGGAAGGAGGGAGTAAGAGGGGCCAAATAGAAAGTGAGGCAGCCCCGGTAGGAAGTGACTTCAGATTCCCCGGGGCTGAGGAAGAGCCATAAGCAAGCAGCCAGAAGAGATGCATTCAGGGCCCCAAGGGGCTCCAGGGGAGACAGCCCCAGGATCGTGGCCCAGTAGGGAATGGAGAGTTGGAGGGTCTCAGAAGAACCTGTGAAGGCACCGCACAAGAGAAGGGCTGCTGCGACCCTGGCCTCCGGGCCTTTGCTTATCCTCCTTCTCTCCTCCCCGATCTGATGCTGGGGAACTCAGAAACCAGCTGGAGTGAGCACCTGGCTGCGGCAGCCATTAGCCCTGTGGAGGCTGAGGCAGGAGAATCGCTTGAGCCTGGGACTTTGAGGTTGCAGTGAGCCGTGACCGTACCACTGCACTCCAGCCTCAATGCAATGGGGGTGGGAGCCAGAAGTTTTACCCTTAAATGAAGCATGACGCTTTTGATTATTACACTTGATTCAATGTATTAATTACTGGAAAGAGCTGATGTTTTGAGATTTAAGCAACTGGGACACTTTTAATGTCTAAAGGTGACCAGGAAAGCTATGGGCCCCTGAGCTTTCCCCCAGGACTGCAAAAGGGTGGGCCTTAGCAAATAACTCTGAAAGGAGGTGGAGGTAAGAATAAACTCGCCTTCTCATCGCACCCCGTGGGTCATGGTTAGTTCATCATAACAAGTGCTTTTCTGTCTCCATTCTTTCCCTCTTCTGGGAGCTCCTTGAGAGCAGGAACTTACACCTAGTGTAAGCGTAGTTTGGCCAACAGCAGGTATGGGTTTTTGCAGATTGATCCAAAGTCCGCTGTGACATGCTTCATTTCTGTTTATTCCTTCCCAGTCTTCTAAAATTGAGCTCCTCAACTTAGAGCCTTGAATGAATTCCAAGTGTGAGGAGAGAGTGACTACCCTTAGCCCCCAACTTAACCCTTAGGGCATCCAGGCAAGTGCCCAAGGGCTGAAACCCAGAACCTCTTGCCTTTGGCTGCAAGCAAATCTTTATCCAAGAGGGCCTTAGAAAAATGATCATTTCTCCATGGAATCAACCCAAATGCCAAGTTTATCAATGATAGACTGGATAAAGAAAATGTGGTACACATACATCATGGAATACTATGCAGCCGTAAAAAGGAATAAGATCATGTCCTTTGCAGAGACATGGATGAAGCAAGAAGCCTCATGTTATGCTCCTGTTACATGTTATCCTCATGCCACATTTTGTCCTCAGCAAACTAACCCAGGAACAGAAAACCAAACATGGCATGTTCTCACTTATAAGGAGGAGCTGAACGATGTGAACACACTGACACATGGTGGGGACACACACTGGGGCCTGTGAGTGGGGACGAGAGGACGGAGAGCATCAGGAAGAACAGCTAATGGGTGCTGGGCTTAATACCTAGGTGATGGGATGATCTGTGCAGCAAACCACCTTGGCACACAGTTACCTATGTAACAAACCTGCACATCCTGCACTGTACCCTGGAATTTAAAATAAATGTCAAAGAAAAAAAGAAAAATGATAATTTCTCTGAATGCCATGGGTTAGCAAAAGGCTGGGAAGCATTGCTCTAAGATAGCTCCTGGGACCTTTGCATTTTGCTTTCTGACTTTCTGCTCTATGTACAATAATTTTTTGTCATGCCTCCCCGAAAGTTCACCACTCTTTACCACTGCCAGCTACCCTGTCACCACATGAAACGATACTTCGTCTACATGAGCTGAATATTGCATCCCTTCTTCTTCATGTTTGTACACAGCCACCGTTGAGTTTCACATTTTGTGAAATGCAGGCATCACTACAGTTGATGTACAGAAGAACCCAATGAGGCTGAGAATGCTTACGCGCATCACCTCGGAACTGCTGCATGCGTCAAAAAACATGGAATAGTTGCTCCCTTGCAATTGCTGTCAGGTGCCTGCTGCTTCCACCCACTTTGACACTCCAGGCTGTGGGTGCTGCTTGGGGTCCCCAATGGGCCCAGCCTCCACAGGTAGGATTCCAGTTGGCCCTGGCGGGAGGCATGTGACAGCCATGGGGCCTTTCCCCATCCTCTCCCTGGCTTATTCCTGGCTCCCACAACCTGTGTTTGTTACCTAGCTGCATCTCTGATTTCTGAGCTCCTGGATTGTGGGTATTGCCTTCTCGGGTTTGCAATATCTGGCTGATGCCAAACCCCTTGGCTCTGCCTCTCCTAGGGTACAGCCATGGTTTGGGGGCTCAACTTCTCAGGGTCACCGAAGCTCTAATCTGCTAACCCAATTTCAGTTCCTGGATCTTTCTGGCTATTCCTGTTCAGTGGATACCCAACCCTGGTATCATCTTACTAGTCCCGGAATCTTGAATTGAGAGCAAAAAGTAATTGTGTTTTTGTTAGAAAAGATGGGGACAAAGTTAGAGGGTGGGAAAAAGCATCTGATGCCCAAGACTGTGAGCTGAACTGGAAAAATAGAGTGTCTGAGGAACTCCATCAGAAAACTCTGCATGAAGTCTTTGGATTTGGGTTGTCTATCTCCAGTGATAATGTGCTGGTGATGACTAATTAGGTGCACCATCGTTCGGAGACTCAGTAAAGACTACAAATGAAAAAACATAGTCGATCAAGGCATGATTCACACTCAAAGGACTCTTGAAACAAGCAAAGAACTTTGTTGTTTAGTCTGGCAAACATTTCACTTTGAAAATAATCATAAATGAAAACCATGCTCCCTGAATCTTCCAGCTATCTATGTGAAATGCTCTTAATTTCATAGGTGGTTGGTAAGGGACCAATTACTTTCGACATGTGAATGAAATGACATCATCTTTGCCAAACAATGTGCAGTGAAATGAGAGACCACCTTCCTTATGGCATGTTTCATATGTTCTCTCTCTCTCTCTCTCTCTCTACAAATTGGCCCATGAGTATTCCTTCACTTTCTCATTATAACAAAACAAAAGAAAAATCCAATCACATGTATTGCCAGCTGCTTCTCCCTTGTGGCATAATTCTGCAGAAGCAGTGAGAGGACATTTTCAGTGGGAGGCTGCTACAGGACCACCAGAGAGTGCAGGAGGCCTGGGCCAGGGGTCTATGAGCTGCTCCAGAAGCTTCTGACTGCTGCTTCTGGAGCCCAAGTTCTGGGATCTGAGCAAGGTGACACTGGTTCAGCTGGTGGCCCTCTCCCCTTGCAGAGGGAACAGGTGCTTAGTGGAGAAGCTGAGGCCTTGGGCACTCCGTTTTCTTCTCCCCTGGCCCAGGGCAGGCACTTGGGGTGTCCTCTTCCATGGGTGGCCCCTGCTGGGGATTTCCAAGCCCCCAACAGAATTACATTCTTCTTCCTCAGTCCTTGCACTGCCTCTGTTTTCCCACAATAGCAAAATACAATGGCAGCCTACAGAGCACAGCACAAACTAGCATCATGACCTCAGGGCCACTAAGAAGGCCCTAAGACCCCTTGAATCCTTTCATGGAGGGCAAAGGCTTTCTTTCCTCCCTTAGGGATAGGGCCATAGATCCCTCCAGCCCTTGGGCAGCTGAGTGGAACCTGGAACCCCTCAGCCCATCCCGTTCCAGTACCCTCCACCCTTGAGTTGTGGTCCCAGTGACCAGGCAAACATTACCATTTTCTCCAAAAGCTCTGCCAGGACCGGGGCTGCAGGTGACGGCCGCAGATCCTCTCCCAGTGAGAAGATTCTGATGGAGGGAGCACCCACGTTCCGCGGCAGGCATCCTCCACCTGCCCCCTCAGCCTTTGAGCCAGAGCACATCACTCATCCAGTGAGAGAGGTGGCCAGCCCAGGGCAGGAGGGGGGCTCCACGACTTCGGGGCTGGCCAGGGCGTAGTGCTGAGGATCTAGAGAACATTGGCAGTGAAGATTTCCCTATAACTCCAACTACTCTGGAATCCATCCTGACCACTTTTTGTTTTCCCATTTTTACCCAAGGGTCGGCTCTGCTTCTGCAAACATCCGGCCCTTCCCCTCCTCTGGCCTGTGCTCAGAATTCAGAAGCAGCTGTGGGGGCACGCGGCTGTGCCCTTTAGCCCATGGTCACAGGAGAAATGGCCTCAGCAGAAAGACTCCAGAAATGACAGCCATGCTCAGCCTTGGGAGGTTTTACAAAACAACAGCCCTTACCTCCCCTTCCCCTGAAATAAAAAATGCGGAATATTTTTAAATAAAATGTGTCATTTTTTAAGCAAGAGGTATACCATTTTCCCAGTGGCAGTTTTCAAACATTTCAAAAATGTTAAATGGTACGTTAATTCTCCCTTTATTCTTCATGCTTTCTCTCACCCTGGAAATATATGTATATATATGCACACATTATCCTTGGAGGTGTATTTTCTAGGATGCAAATAACAAAGGAAAGTGATGGCATTTGGAATTCAGGTGCTTGAAGAGGTGGACATGTGCTTTTCATTCCAGCATATAATTGAGGACATTGTCACTTGTCTTACACACGTGTATCCAGTTCTGTTCATCTGCCACCCTCCTTGCCTGTATTTGCTGATCTGATCAACTAGGTGTTTGGGTGAATATCCCACTCTCATACCACCACCATGCTTGGAGTATTTCCAAGAACAGTGAATCAAACTTGGGGCCAGGGCATGGCCTACTTCCAACAAAATACAGTCTTATACATTTCAGGACCATTTTACTGCTGTTTGCTATAACCAAATGAGCAATGGGCAGGTTTAGGGACCACAAAAGCAAAGCAGCATAACATTTGGAATTTTCATGTATGCTTATTTCTTAAATTTGAAGAACTCTGTTGTTATTTCAGGACTTGTGTGCTAGTCTTTGATTCTTCTCCCACAAAGCCCGAGAGGAAATCTCCCCTTTCTCTTGCTGTTCTGGCCTTGGCCTTGCAATGTATGGTCTCACTCCCCTTGCACCTGGGCCATGTCCCTTGAACATGGTAGGGTTGTACCAGAGAAGCAAAGCTTGTATTGAATGGCACATTCCATCGCAGAGGCTCTCCTAGCAACATGGCAACAATAACAAACCTAACAATAGCTTTTTGTTTTTAGCTCTATAAAGTGCTGTGGCCATTAGTCTCACCAGAAAATTCAAAGGATAATTTTGCAAGTGACGAGTGGTTTCTAGCTGAAGCATTGAAATTGGAGCCCCTTGATTGCTTTCCTCCAATCTGCTAATATCTAAGTAGGCAGGCACCAGAGTTTCATTTGAGGAGCAGGATGTGCCAAAGGGGGGCGCTGCACAGGGAAATAACAGGGCTGGGGTGGCTCTAGCCCTGGCTCTGGTTGGTGAACTCCCCACATACCATTGGCCAAGTCATGTTAACTCTCTAGATCTTACTCTCCTCATCTTCAAAATGAGGAGTTATTTCAGTGCTGTGAAAAATCCAGATTTTTGGGTCTATACTCATCTTGCTGAATCAGCGTCTCTAGGGCTGTGCTCCAACAATTTGACTTTTAACCAAAGGTAAATGGACGACTTTGTTGAACAGTTCTAAAAACGTTTATGTAATTAGCTTCCCAATTTGGCTTGCTTGGCAATAAAGGATCAATGCATACTTTAGGGTTGGTATGTTATGTATATTTTCTCTGATAGATTTTATAAAGAACTAAACTAACCCATTTTCTTTGCTGTTTCTGATTGTCTATTCGCTGTAAAAGACTACATATCACGTGCCCCATCAGAAAAAACTTTTGAGCATGTGTTTCTAATATATTTACTTTTAAAATATTTCTTATCTAACATCTATATTTATTTACCTATGTCACCAGGCTTTAATACCTACTATTTTATGTTAAATATTATATATTAACATATTATGAACATTATAAAATGTAAAAAATAAATATTTTTAAAGAAAAAGTTGAAATAAGATTTAAAAATTTTGATTAGTGAAAATCTTGGTGTAGTACTTTGTGGCATAGCAAGATCAAACACAATTTGTGATATTGATTTTGAGTTATCTCTCTCTCTATATTTTTTTCTTTCTTTTTTTTGGGGGGTCGGGGTACAGGGTCTCACTCTGTCACCCAAGCTGGAGTACAGTGGCAGGATCTTGGCTCAGTGCAACCTCTGCCTCCTCCTGTCTCCACTTCCCAAGTAGCTGGGACCACAAGCGCACGCCCCGGCGCCTGGCTAATGTTTGTATTTTTTGTAGAGACTGGGTCTCACCATGTTGCCCAGGCTGATCTCAAATTCCTGGGCACAAGTCATCTGCCCACCTCAGCCTCCCAAAGTGCTGGGATTTCAGGCATGAGGCATCCGGCCAAGTTCAGTATATTTTAATAGTTATAATAGATTCAAATATGCTTCACAAAAATACTGTATGTAGATTCACGTACAAGAAGTATCTTTTTAGAAGACTCTCCTTACTAACTTATAATACTGATTTCTAAATTCCATCCACTAATTATGCCAAAGTGTCTTATGAGCTGGTAAATTTCTGCTTTTCTAGATATCAAATAGTGGTTGTTGCAAACTAATTGGAAGATTTGGCATTTTTAATATTTCCAACAAACATTTTCAAAACATGATAAAATTCTTCACATGGAAAAAAAACTGGGGCAGGTTAGAAAATTATATTTCCAGGGTTTTTAATGTGTACAGATATGAGTTTTTATATTGTTTTTGGCAACAAAACCCACATATATTTGAGAATATTTCCAAGCATCCATTTCCAAAGAGCTCTTTCCATAGCATGAATTTCTTTCAACAATTATTACTTTCTCCCTCATTGTAACACTATTTTCTCCTCGCCTTTATCTCAAATGGACAGATCAAACATAGTTTTGGAAATATCTGATGAATAGTGTATTGGCCTCAGAAAGAGTCAGCCAAATTGGAACCTTTGTATTTATAAAAGAATAACGCGTATCTGTCTCAAGTTTGACAATACTTTTAAGTGCTTTGCCATGAAATAACTTTTAACCCTCCAAGGGCACAAAAGATTGTCACCATTATTCCCCATCTCATTAAGATTCTACTTCTATTTTTCAATCAAGTAACCACACCGATGACACCCTGTAACATTTTGTGGATTTCTGGTTCAACTTTTTACAGCAATGATATCCCTATGGCTGATGATGCAGTGAACAGATGTTTCAGGAGGGGCCATGCCTGTGGATTTCCCCTTGATGTCTCTTTTTTTTTTTTTTTTTTTTGAGACGGAGTCTTGCTCTGTCGCCCAGGCTGGAGTGCAGTGGCAGGATCTCGGCTCACTGCAAGCTCTGCCTCCCGGGTTCACACCATTCTCCTGCCTTAGCCTCCCGAGTAGCTGGGACTACAGGCGCCCTCCACCACGCCTGGCTAATTTTTTGTATTTTTAGTAGAGATGGGGTTTCACCATGTTAGCCAAGATGGTCTCGATCTCCTGACCTCATGATCTGCCCACCTGGGCCTCCCAAAGTGCTGGGATTACAGGCGTGAGCCACCACGCCCAGCTGATGTCTCTTCTTTTGTAATTCCATCAAAGCAGCTACTCCCTGAGTGGTTAGACTCATATGAGTAAACCCCCACTCCCCATTTCCCCATTTTTTAAATTAAAGAAGTCATTTACTGTTGAGAATATCTTTTTCTGGTACATCTTTTCTTTGGCAAGCCATATAAAAGCATTTCTTCATGTATTTCATTATTCAAACAGAATCTAGCAGCTCAATTATGGAATCATGTTGGAAGCATCTCAACTTTTATTCATTCAGCAACAACCCATTCAGCAACCACCCTGTGGTTTATCATTTTTACTAACATTTTGTGCTTTGTGTCTTCCAAAAGATTTTTCTAACTAAAGAGGGCACTTTAATTTTTTACTATCCTTTTATGTAAATGATTTCACTGGTTTATACTGCAGCAGTTTCTTCAGCAGTAGCTTTGCTATTAGATAAGAAATCTCAAAAGTGGTTGCTAAATATGTATAAATATTTCATAAGAAGTTTTAAAATACTGGCCTGAGACTCACACGACTTTACTCTTGAAACAAAACCAGAGGCTCATTTTAATATTGTGGGTTCTTCATTTCAAATTAGTTTATAATATTGCAAAGCAACACTATCCATGGCTCAATGTTTGTTGGTAACAATAATGCATGTTAAAAAGCTATATTTCAAATATACTTTTAAAAGAAATTTTAATTCAAAAGAATTTTAGGTTTACCAGAGGATTGCAAAGATAGAACAGAATTCCCATACACCCTTCACCCAGCTTCCTCGAATACTAACATCTTACATAACCATAGTATATTTATCAAAACTAAGAAATTGACACCAGTACAGTACTATTAACTAAACCACAGATTTAATTTGCATCTCTCCAGTTCTTCCATCAATACATTTTTTCTGTTCCAGGATCCAATCCAAGACACCATGTCACTAAATAGTCGATGCCACATAATAATTTTGTCTAGCTAAAACTAAATAGGCCAGGTGCGGTGGCTCACGCCTGTAATCCCAGCACTTTGGAAGGCTAATTCGGGCAGATCACCTGAGGTCCAGAGATCGAGACCATCCTAGCTAACATGGAGAAACCCTGTCTCTACTAAAAATACAAAAAATTAGCCGGGCATGGTGGGACTAAACCTGTAGTCCCAGCTACTCGGGAGACTGAGGCAGGAGAATCACTTGAACCCAGGAGGCAGAGACTGCAGTGAGCCAAAATCGCGCCACTGCACTCCAGCCTGTGTGACAGAGTGAGATTTCATCTCAAAAAAAAAAAAAAATTGGGGGGCAGGCGCAGTGGCTCACACCTGTAATCCCAGCACTTTGGGAGGCTAAGATGGGCAGATCACCTGAGGTCAGGAGTTTGAGACCAGCCTGGCCAACATGGTGAAACCCCGTCTCTACTAAAAATACAAAAACTGGCTGGGTGTGGTGGCGTGCACTTGTAATCCCAGCTACTAGGGGGGCTGAGTCATGAGGATCGCTTGAACCCGAGAGGTGGAGGTTGCAGTGAACTGAAATGGCACCACTGTACTCCAGCCTGGGCAACAGAGCAAGACTCTGTCTCAAAAAAAAAAAAACCTAAAATCTAAAAAACTAAATAATTTTGGCAATGTAGTTCTCCAGGAATGAGTGAAGGGCAAAATATTACAAGAAGCTAAAAGTGGAGCCATCTTTGTCCCCTCCATCTCTGTTGTGGTATTAGGGCTTTTCACTGCAGCTCTCCTGTACTGTCCTTGAAATAAGACTGTCTGGCTTACAGACCAAATAAGGGAGCCTCCATATGTTTATTAAATATGATACTAGAAAATCTATTTCTTCCTTGCTTTTCTTTTTTTAAAGGCAAAAATGTGATGTGTAGAGGGTCTCAAATTTCTTTTCCATTGCAAACGTCTATACTACCAAGAAAGGGCCAGCGGATGTCTTTTGCGCCCCATCAAGTGCACACAACCCATTTTGTAGAACATTTCTCTGTATTCTATTCATGCTCCTTTGGTTGTCCAGAGAATTGACCCTAAACTCCTACTAATAGTAGTAACGTCTAAGCTGGAAAAACTGGACAATTTCAATGTTTTGTTCTCTACTGGCCAAGTCCATGTTTTTCTGAATTATTGATAGATAAGAAACAATTATTGAGTAACCTATTAAGGCAGTTAATGAACAAAATAAATTTCTCCAGGAAGAACTGCCTTAAGTCATCCCTTAACAAACTGTTAAAACTTCATGTGCTTTTGGCAGGGTAGTGCAGAAAAAACTTGGGGGAAGGGCAGATAGCCCTATGGCACCCCTTAAATCACATCACAGAGGCTACCTGCTCCCCATAATTGGGCTAGCTCTGTGTTTTCACCATTGACACTGAAAATTAGATATTTGATAGTGCCGGGAGTGGAGGCTCATACCTGTAATCTTAGCACTTTGGGAAGTCGAGGCAGGTGGATCACCTGAAGTCAGGAGTTCGAGAGCAGCCTGGCCAACATGGTGAAACCCTGTCTCTATTAAAAATACAAAAATTAGCTGGGTGTTGTGGCACATGCCTGTAATCCCAGCTACTCAGGAGGCTGAGGCAGGAGAATCATTTGAACCTGGGAAGCAGAGGTTGCAGTGAGCCAAGATCACGCCACTGCACTCCAGCCTGGTGACAGAGCGAGACTCTGTGTCAAAAAAATAAAATAAATAAAATAAATAAATAAATTGACAGCTATGTTGTTCATTTATTGAAAGAATGAATGATGTAGTAGATTCTGTAATGTGCCACATGGTCTCCCTTTAGGAAGGAAGAGTTTACCTGCCACTTCCTGGGGGTGTTGCTGGAACAGGCTCTGGACGGTCAACTCTCTTTGGGCATTGCCTTAGCTGAAGAAAATCTCTCTCAGGATTTGCCCCCTTCCAGGGACAGCTTGCAGCCAGTGACTGATCAATTGGAGGTAGGAGGGCTTGGCCCCTTGTCCCATCTTGGGACAACTCCGAGGGGCTATCCCAGCTTCAGAGCTCCCTGAGGCCTTGGCTGGCAATACATAGTAGATCAACTTCTCCATCTGCCCAGTCCTGCTTCCTTTTCTTCCCCTCTACAGGTTTTGATTTCAAGAGCAAATAATTTTCTGACACACTAGTCTCAACTCAGAATCTGCTTCCTAGAAGACGATCCTCCCACATATTCAAGTGGTCAAAATTCAAACAGTAAAAAGAGTGTGCAAAGGAAAATAGGCATACCAGCACCTATGGATGCTTCCAGGCTGTGTGTGTGTGTGTGTGTGTGTGTGCATGTGTGTATACATGTATATTAAAATACTTGTACATTTTATACCCATTTTGGCCATTTTCATATAAAGTTTGTGGCACCTTGTGCATGCTTTTTTCTATCTTATTTTTCATTTTAACCTATTTTTACATAGTGATACATAAAGTTTTACAATTACTGTCTAATATTCCATTTTGCATGGATGTACCATAATAATAGCTACCATCTGCATGACATCTATTGGCTGGACACTCTGGCCAGCTCTTTACATTTATTCAACACATATCTTTTGTTTTGTTTTGTTTTGTTTTTTTTCTGAGACAGAGTCTCATTCTGTTGCCAGGCTGGAATGCAGTGGTACAATCTCTGCTCACTGCAACCTCTGCCTCCCGGGTTCAAGCGATTCTCCTGCCTCAGCCTCCTGAGTAGCTGGGACTACAGGTATCTGCCGCCATGCCCAGCTAATTTTTGTATTTTTAGTAGAGATGGGGTTTCACCATGTTGGCCAGGATAGTCTCGATCTCTTGACCTCGTGATCCGCCCGCCTCAGCCTCCCAAAGTGCTGGGATTACAGGCGTGAGCCACTGCACCTGTTTCACATATCTATTGTGTATCTATTATATGCCAGGCACTGTTCTGAACACTAGCGACGCTAGAAACTGTATCTCACACTTCACTTCAACGTTAAGACTTTGCCACTATTTTTTTTTTTTTTTTTGATACAGAGTCTCGCTCTGTTGCCCAGGCTGGAGTGCAGTGGTGTGATCTTGGCTCACTACAACCTCCACCTCCCAGGTTCAAGCGATTCTCCTGCCTCAGCCCCCCAAATAGCTGTGACTACAGGCTCATGCCAACATGCCCAGCTAATTTTTGTATTTTTAGTAGAGACAGGGTGTCACCACATTGGTCAGGCTGGTCTTGAACTCCTGACCTCATGATCCACCCATCTTGGCCTCCCGAAGTGCTGGGATTACAGGTGTGAGCCATCACACCTGGCCAAGTTTGCCACTATTGTTATCCCTATTTTACAGATGAGAAAACTGATGTTCAAGTAACTTGCCTAAGGTGTGACTCGTAAGTGGTGGGACCAGGAGCCATCATGAGGCAGCTGGTTTCCACCCTCTGTGCTCTTAACCCCTCCACCAGCCTCCCCTCATCCTGCAACTTATTTCATCAGTTTCCCCCAATGGACAGTCAAGCTGCATGCAGTTGGTGGCTATTATAAGCAATGCTGCCGTGATCAGCCTTTTCCATTTATCTTTGAGTACCATCTCCCTACTGCTAAACAGGGAACAAGCGAGCTTATTATTCAATAGGATACCTGTTAGCAGTCCCAGGTCATTACCCAGACCATTTTAAAAGGTGCCTTTCTTCAAAATTAGGGTTTTATGGAATCAAAAGATACGACATTCCATTCTTAATATGAAAATCTTAGGTTAAGCTTTTAAAATACTTCCATGCAGTCCCCGTGTGTTAGATGCATATTTGCAGATAGGGTAATACCTGAATTACCATCGTCAGTGTCCCTGGTGGGAAGTGGAATGTTTTTATTGAAATTGTTCTTGTTTGTGTTTCAGGAAAAAAAAAAAAAAGAAAGCAGACCTACAATCTGGGTCTGGTTTTCATCATAGTGCAATCTTTATGAGACAATGTATGGCTGAGAATTTTTTAATCTGATATTTCTTTAAAAAATGCATGTTCAAAAATGATACAAACCAATCAGAGTAAGAAGAAGAACCGTGGAAAAAAGAAATCCCTTACATAAAAGAGAAGCAGGAAATTCCAGCGAAGTTTCACAGGGAGGAGGGAAAATCCATCTTTATCGCTATTTATTAGGTTGTTATTTCTTGGTATAGTGTAATAGTTGGTTTTGTCGAACAATGAAAATTCTATTTAGAGGAAATTGGACAGTTCACATTCCCTGAAGTGAGAACATAACATTTCACTGAACATTACAAACCCATCATGTGTCCCATGATCCACTGGCCCTATAAATAAATATTTCACTTTCTTTAGAGAATCTTCCTGTTCTGGTCATAGATCCATCTTATATCAGATGATTGAATATCTATGTGATTTGTAGTGTCTCTGTGGATATTCTTGAAATTCTCATATTTTCATTTAATGGTACACTCCACTAATTGGGGGCAAGAAGTAATTTGGCATGACTTCAGGGTTAGTTGTTGAAATTTAAAGGCATTTTTATATAATGCTCTGAATACTGGGAATAGTGAAACCTCAATCTTCCAATAAACTGGAAAACTATTAATGGATTTCTAGGTAGTGTTGTTTAGTGTTAATACTCAGTGGAATATATTTTTCATTAAATATGAAAATAGTCCAAGTATGTTTTATACCAGGTGTGCTAACTTTACTGCTTCCTGGAGTGTCCATAATTTCAAAATTAATCTAGTCTTCTTTTATATGTTTTTTCATGAATTTTGGCTTTCTTTTAAACAGTCATAATGATTCAACTATGGAGAATAAAAACTGGCCAGAAAAAGCCAATAAAACTGTAAAGAAAGTAAAAAGTTTCAGGGAAATGAGATTTACCAAATGATATACAGTATAGTTCCCTCTGTACCAAAGCTTTCAATCTTAAATTTATTCTAAAATGCCTCATTTAGTGTTTATTTGTGCCAGTTTCATAGCATGAATCAAATCATGATGGTTAGGTGAGTAAATCAAGCACCATATTAAAATTCATCCTTGGATTATAAGAGTATCTTTTTTCTTATTCCCATTATCTTGCCTCTTTCCAAAGCAAGAAATTTAAATTTTTATGTGACTGAAATAATCATATGTCAGAATACCTGAGGACTTAAAATTTCAGCTGCTTTGGCTTACACATTTCAATTTCCTAAATCCACTGTGAAAAGAAACAGAACAGTGGATAAATTAAAATATCTAATATTTTCCTATTGTTATTCTCAATTTCTTTCTCTTTGCTATAAATTATACATGTTTACTAGAATGAATACAATTGCCTTTTCTCCTGTTGCTTAAATCTCTTTGTCTACAGAAAGTGATAAGAGCTCATCCATTATTTAAGTTACTATTTCTATAACTGAATTAATACATACACCTACCCAAGCAAATAGGTTGGTAGAATGAAGGTGAACACAGATTTTCTGCTTAAAGTCCCACTTCATAATCTCTGTTTAGATGCTTAATAGTGAAAACACATTGCCACAAATACCAGGGTTTGTTAATGGTGATAGTGTAAATAGTACTGTAAGAAAGAACTCAAATATTTTTTAGCAAAAGATTATTCTCCTTGTTGAAAAGATTCCTTTCTTACTCTCTTAATTTTCTAGGCCCTGGAGTGAAAAGGCATAGCTATTAAATCCCACTTTGCGAAGTGTAAACCAGGCTGGTGGGTATAGACTGCCCTGGATTTTCAGTCTAAAAAATTTGTGACTGAGTGCAGTGGCTCATGCCTGTAATCTCAGCTCTTTTTGAGGACGAGCCAGGAGAACTGCTTGAGGCCGGGAGTTTGAGACTAGCCTGAACAATACAGCGAGAACTCATCTCTACAAAACATTTAAAAAATAAGATTAGCCAGGAATGGTGGCACACGCTTGTGGTCCCAGGTACTCAGGAGAGGCTGAGGCAGGAGGATAGCTTGAGCCCAGGAGATTGAGGCTGCAGTAAGCTATGATCACATGACTGCATTCCAGCCTGGGTGACAAAGTGAGACCTTGTCTCTAAAAAGACCCAGCAAAAACCACCCCCAAAAATTGGGACTTTATTTTTCCTTCATTATCAGTCCAACCTCATGCCACCCCTGCTTTGGTCTCCCAACTTTGCTTTCCCAGCCCAGACGCCTAGATTTTTCACTAGGCCCAATGTCTGCTTCAGTGAAGGGAGAAGGTGGAGGGGAAGAAGGTTTAGGGGCAGTCCTATTTAGAAAGGAAGTATGCAAACTTGAAGTGAGTGAGAAAGTAATATCTGTCACTTGTCCATATGGCCTCCACTGTTGAAGCTGCATGCACGTATTTGTTTAATATAAACACCGACATACTTTAGGAGAAGATGTGTTTCATTTTAAAAGATGGACTTGTACATTGCAGCTTATGAATGATAACCTTCTGGAAGCAATTTAATGAAATCATACATACATACATAGTTTGCAACACTTATTCGTAAGGTAAATACATGGTAGGGAGTATAGGAAAGTAACTGAGAGAGAACAAAAGAACTGTTAATAGCAATTGTCCTGCTTAGTGCAGGGAATCTGCTGTCACACATTTAACTTGTCCACGTCTGGATATTTTAAAATTATTTATTGACCCCCTACTACGCATCCAGCTCTGCTTAGATGCTGGAGTTAGAGGAGTGAGCAGAATGGGCATAGTCTTTTTCCTTGGAGAACTTACAAGTTTATAGTAGGATAAACTGCCAACATACTTGTAAGAATTATTTATCTATAAGATACATCTAGATTTATCCACATGGAGATACATTTCAGGAATTGATTCAAATGATTATGGGGTTGGCAGGTTGGCAAGTCCAAAATTCACAGGACCGGCTGGCAGGATGGAAACTCAGACAGCATTTCCAAGTTACAGTCTTGAGGCAGAATTCCTTCTCTGAGAAACCTGTTTTTGCTGTAAAGACCTCAACTGATTGGATGAGACCCACCTATAATACCAAATGTAATCTCTTTCAGGTCAACTGATTATAAATGTTATTCATATTTATGAAATACCTCTGTAGCAACATCTAGACTAGTGTTTGCCCAAACAACTGAGCATTATAATCGGGGTACCTAGGCAGATCCTAGTATTCTATCCAAGTTGAAGAGCCAGAGATGAGAGTCTGGGGAGGCCAAGGTGATTAACTTGGCAGAAAAGAAGGGATCTATATGGAGAGAGAATTCCAGAAACATGTGGAGGGTCTCCCATGAGGCTTCAGCTGACAACTGATCAGCACATGGATGTGAGGAAATGTCCAAGTTCAGTGAAAGAACTACCCAAAAGGATTAAAATGAACACTTTCCAGAGTTCACACAGGGCCAGAAACGGTTCCTGTTCCCACCAGCTAGAACAAAACATGTCATAATTCATGAAGTGCTAGGTAGAACACTCAGAAGTATTTTGCCTCAGTGGTATGGCAAAATTAGACCCAGACTACATTGCTCTGGTTCTGCCTAACAAACCTTAGAAGCAAACCTGAAAGGCTCAAACTGTTTCCAGGTAATGTCACTGTGCTTCAGAATAAAGTTTAAGAGTAGTTCCAGTCATACAAAAATATATAGCACCCAAAAAGGTAGAATTCACAATGTCTGGCATCCAATCAGTATTACTAGGCATGCAAAGAAACAGGAAAATATGACCCACAATCAGAAGAAGAAATCAACCAAGTGAAACTGACCCACAAATGACATTGATAACAGAATTAGTAGACAAAGGCATTTAAACCATCATCTGTTTTGCTATGTTGAAGAAATTGGAGGAAATATCATGTGTGATAAGTAGAGACATGGAAAATAGAACACAAAAAGTGAAATTCTATCAAGATTACAACATCTGAGATTTTTTAAAATGCACTGAATGGGATTAAAACAGATGAGACATTATGCAGGAAAAGATTAGTAAGGACACAGCAATAGGAACAAAACAAAAGTAAATAGAGAGGAATAACACTAAAAAACAAACAAACAAAAACCAAAATACAACCCTTCCACCAGCATCCATGAGTTGTAGTGCATCTTTAAGTGGCCTAATATATGTATAATTGGAGTCCCTAGTCTCAGCAAACTGGGAATCAGAGAGAATGCCCTCAACTGAAAGAGGTTATCAATGAAAAGCCTATAGCTAACATTTATGGTGAAGGAATGAATACTTTCCCTTGAAGATCAGGAACAAGACAAGGATGTTCACTCTCACCACTTCTCTTCAGTATTTTATTGGAGGTTCTAACCAGATAAATGAAGCAAGAAAAAGAAATGAGGGCATTCAGATAGAAAAAGAAGTAAACCTGTCTTTATTTCCTGATGACACTATGTAAAGCCTCTTATGGAGGCTATAAAAAGTTACTCAAACTAATGAGCAGCTTTAGAAATATCACAGGATATAAAATTAATATACAAAAATCAGTTATTTCTGTATGCTACCAATTAAATTTTTAAACATTTAATTTACAATAGAATAAAAATGTGAAATACTTAGAGATATATCTGACAAAATATGTAGAAGACCTGTACACTTAAAAACACAAAACAATGCTGAGAGAAGTGAAACATCTAAATAAACAGATTTACCAGTTTGATGTGTCAGATGCCCAGTCTAGCTGACATGTCCAATTTCCCCCAAATTAATCTACAGAAACATAAATTCACAATCAAAATCCATTTTGTAGAAATTTTTTGTTGAAGTTGACAAGCTGATTCTAAAATTCATTTGAAAATGTAAAGGAACTAGGAAAACCAAAACAACTTGGAAAAAAATGGGAAGAAATATTTTACATTATCTTACTTTAATATTTATTATAAAACTACAGTAATTAAGATACTATAGTATTGCATCAAGAGAGATAAATAGATTAACAGAACAGAGTAGAGTAATTAAGAACAGAGTAATTAAAATAAGTACAATATTGGTGTCAAGACAGACAACAAGATCAACAGAGGAAAAAGGAGAGAATCCAGAAATAAACCCATGCAAGTATGAGGACCATTCAAGGAAGAAAGTATAATGTTTTGAACTAGTGGAGATAGAAAAATAAGATATCCAGAGGCAAAAGAATTAATTCTGGTTCAATCCTTGCACCGTATACAAAAATTAAATCAAAATGGATCAGAGATCTAAATATAAAAACAAAAACTAGAAAATTTCTAAAAGAAAATTTCTCTTCTAAAAGAAGAGAAAATCGTTCTGGCCTTGGGTTAGGCAAAGATTTCCTACATATAACACTACAATCACAATAACACAAACACAATATATAAATCTACTGCAAACTCTGCACAGGAAAGAATGGAATCAAATATGAGCTATATATTTTTTATTTTTCACCCAAGAAACTGAATCACTGATCTAAGCGTACTGCCAGTCTTGGTATAGTTGTTTCAGATGCTGCTAATACACGAAGTTCAAGTTAGCAGTTCCGGTGATTTAGCGCAATATACTTGCTAATGACTTAGAGGATGCACTGAATGGCCGTGTGGAAAAATTTGCTGATGACACAGAAGTGTTTAGGTTGGGGAGAGCTAAGGAGGATGGTGAGAAACCTAAGATGGATCTAATAAAGCTGGCTGACTGAACAAACACTAAGACTGATAACATTTTACAGAGAAGGGCAAAAGGTAATAGATATTGAGAGAAATAATTTAAGCTCTACATAATTTAGTGTGTGCAGTACACAGTGATGGATTTAGGATTTATGTTAGTCCCAAAGGAAAAGGACTTGCTGTAGGAATCAAATTAATGAAAATATTTCATGAAAACCATCTAATCTGCAGTGGTCTTGAAGAGAAGGCAAAAAAATGGAGGAAAAAATTTAAAAATATATATTGTAGATGAAGCTGGGTGCCTGCCTAATAAGCTTTCTCTCACTAACTCATTTATCCTAATGCTTTTTCCTAGTTCCCCCAACCTTGACTCTGCTTTCAGAGCAGATTTCAGTAAAGGTGACTTTTCCCCAGCACTAGAAAATGAATCAAATCAATCTAAACCAGTGGTTCCCAAAGTATAATTCCCAGACTAGCCACAGCAGAATTGCTGGACAACTTACCAGAATCTACTGACTCAGAAACCCTGGTGGTGGAGCATTGCAATCTATATTTTAGCAAGCTACCCCACAAGTATATTCCAATTCATGCTGAAGTTTGAAAATCACTCGTCTAAATCAGTTATGATAATTTCATTCCCCTTAGTCAATGATTTTATTAGGAATAAGAATTGATCTTGTTCAGGCCAATGAGATACAAGTGGAAGTCTACTGGGAGATTCTGACAAAGATCTTTCTCTTTGATAAGAGGAGAAAAAACATTGCAGCTTTTAGCAATAGTTGTGTGAGGATGTGATGTCTGGAGCTGCAGCAGCTATCTTGTGGCTATGAGGGGGGAATGCCTGAGGACTGCCGAGTAAAAAAATCATGTCTTTGCACCACTGAATCAACTAACCTTGGCACCACCTTACCTCCAGGATGTCTGGCTATGTGAGGAGATAAACCCCATTTTTGGTCAGATGTGCACATTTAAAAGCATCCCCCCCAAAGCACCTCCCTTCCTTCTTCATTGTGGTACAGAGAAAGCAAATCTGAATGCACATATGTTCAGAAATAGTGAAATAGAAAACAGGAATACAGATCTTATCCCTTTCATTGAACATTTGAAATCTACATTCCCTAACCTTAAAGCAATTGTATTTTTTAGCCTTGTTGCTTTTATACGCCGTGTTGATGTAACATTTACTTTCTCACAGTTATTTGTAAGGCAACTTTAGCAATAGAACATGTAAAAACATAAAGAATCTTTCTGGGAGTCAGCACACAATCCGTCTATGTCAGGACTATGTGCGACTAAAGGATACCTTGGGAAGAACATTCAGAGGCATGCAGTTCTTGGTTGCAACCTCAGAAAGTTAAAGTTGCACATCATACACTTTGGTTTCCCATAGAAATCCGTTATGAATTGACCATTTATTAATCTCCCCAACTCTTAATGTGGCTCTTCACTTTATGAATTATGATCACACGGTGGAGGCCAACTTCATCTCTAAGATCACTTTCATGAAAAATAAAATACCAAGACAGATGGCTGGATGGAGATCTACACAGAGAGAGGGAAAAAGGCGTTTCTTGCTAAACGTGTCCTGGATATCTTGGCAACCTGCATTGCTTGGTCCTGGAGCAGACTCACAAGAGGGCAGGGATTGGGATGATTGGTCAAATAAATGTATCCTTTTCTGTGCACCATCTCAGCTTAATGTTAGACAAACGTTTTACAATTAAGCCCCTCAAATGACTAACTGCAAAAGCAGACGGGTTTGTCATTATGCCCCATAGGTCAGGAAACTTGGGCTTTGCAGGACTGACAGCAGGAATTGCTCCAAAATCAACTGGCCTCCACTGAGAATTCCCTGTCAGCTGTTATAGAAGGCAGTGTCCATTGAAATCCACCTTCAAATAGTGCAAAAGGGGAGAGAAGATCTCTCAGAGACAAAAAGCAGACCAGGCAGGATTTCAGGGCTTAAGACCAATACCTTGCATTGCACTCAGAGCTATTAAGGAAGCCAGGAGCATATGGATCCCAGATGTTCCAAGCTGATCTCCCTCTGGGAAGAGGTTGTCCTAGCCTGCCCTGAAACTCAGAGCAGGTCACGAAAGAAGACACCACAGGCACCCAGCCAGAAAGGTGGAGGGGCACACAGAGTCAAGACATTCCAGGCTTCCTTATCCAGGCTTCTGTCCTGCATTCGAGGTTTCTGTGATTCCATTTCCTCCTCTTGTAAGGCAGGACTATTCCTGTCTTATGACGGTGGAGTGAGGAAAAATAGCACAGAAGGTGGGAAAAGGCATTTGGTCACGTGACTTTTAAAGTCCCTGTGCAGAGACATTGTTATGCACTCACCAGAACCTATTTCCCAGACTCCTTTGCAGCTAGGTGGGGGTCATGTGACTAGGTCTCAGCCAATGAGATGCAGGCAAAAGTGATGTGCATCCCTTCCAGGCCTGGCTCCAGGAAACAACCTCAGCCATTTTCCACCATCTGTCTCTCCTGCCTACTGGTCACATACACTGAATCTAACAGAGAACCTGAAAGCCCTACAAGATGGTCAAGATGGTGGAGCCACAAGGTGGAAGGAGTGTGGATGCCTGAGTGACTACATGGAAAGCCACCTGCCTAAGAGGAACAAGCCCATCAGATTTTGCTTGAATGAAAATAAAACTTTTATTGTGCTAAGCCATTCTGGAATTTGTTTCAGAATCAAACATTACTTAACTCACCCTACCCAATATAGTCTCTATCAAGCTTGTCCATCTCACCTTATTTTGTTGTTGTTGTTCTGTTCTGTTTTGTTTTAGGCTTTTAGCAGCCTGAATCCATGGTTTTAGTTTCTGTCTCTAGTGATGAGTGGAAAAGAGGGACGAGGAAGGGGCTTTACTGACCCAACCAGAAACAGAAACTAAGAACCTGATATGGTTAGGCTTTGTGTCCCGACCCAAATCTCATCTTGCATTGTAATCTGCAGGTGCTTAGGGAGTGACCTGGTGGGAAGCGTTGGAGTAAGGGGATGGTTTCCCCCATGCTGTTCTCGTGACAGTGAGTGAGTTCTCACGAGATCTGCTGGTGTTATAAGGCAGTTTTCCCTGCTCCTGCTAGCTTCCTCTTTCCTGCCACCATGTGAGGAAGGTCTTTGTTCCCCCTTCTGCCATGATTATAAGTTTCCTGAGGCCTCCCCAGCCATGTGAAACAGTGAGTCAACTAAACCTCTTTTCTTTATAAATTACCCAGTCTTGGGTATGTCTTTATAGCAGTGTGAAAATGGACTAATATAGAACTCATGACTATATTCTCTTCCTTGGACACTGCTGAGTCTTAGATAAAGGAACTGAGAGGTAGCTGGGATCTGGGGGAAAGGAGGAATGGGAGGCAGGAATATACATTTAGAGAGATGACTCAAAATGTCCTAGCAGTACACGTATCTCCCATCCACTTAAGGATTCTCATCATCAGTGCTTTCATGCTCAGGGTGAAACTGCAAGCTTGCCTGGGCCTCGGTATGAGGGGCTGGGGGCCTCCCTGCTTTTCCAGCTGGCTGTCGGTGTCTAAACAGACAGACATTGAGGCACATTAAACAGACCTTAGGCACCTCAGGATCTGAAGGAAATCAGGCCAGCTGAATCACCATCAAGTAAGTTTGTTCTTTTTTAGAAAGCAAACAGTGGTAAATACAACCCACACCATCTCTCCAAACTACATGTTCACTGCCATGTAAACCACCCATAATAGATTGTTGACAAGTGTAGGGAGGTTTGGTGAATGTACGCCAGATGAATACTCATTTTCTTTCTTTCTTTTTTCTTTTCTTTTTTTTTTTTTTTGAGACAGAGTTTTGCTCTTGTTGTCCAGGCTGGAGTGCAATGACACGATCTTGGCTCACTGCAACCTCTGCCTCCCAGGTTCAAGGGATTCTCCTGCCTCAGCCTCCAAAGTAGCTGGGATTACAGGCATGCACCACCAAGCCCAGCTAATTTTGTATTTTTTTTAAGTAGAGACGGGATTTCTCCATGTTCGTCAGGCTGGTCTCGAACTCCTGACCTCAGCTGATTCACCCATCTCGGCCTCCCAAAGTGCTGGGATTACAGGCATGAGCCACTGCGCCTGGCCTAATTCTCATTTTCATTGGCTCAGTAATCTGCGAGATTTTTTTGGATATACGTGTGGTTGGTGTGAAGTAAGATCTGTAGAATTCTTATTCAAGAGATTGTGATCATTTTATATCTGTTTTTAAATTTAGAGATAGGTTCTCACTCTGTTGCCCAGGCTGATCTTGAACTCCTGGACTTAAGCAGTCCTCCCATCTCAGCCTCCTGAGTAGCTGAGATTGCAGGCACGTGCCACTACCCCTCAGCTGTTATGATCATTTTAGTAAATATTTTCATGTAAAAATTTCTGTCAGAAATTTTTATGCATGAAAACCTGATCTGGACAAATTCATTTCTGATGCTCAAATCTTACCTTGCTCTTTTTTTCTATTATTTGTGGTAAAATATACAGAACATAAACTTACCATTTTAACAATTTTTAAGTGTACAATTCAGTGGCATGAATTATATTCACAATGTTGTACAACCATTACCAGTATTTATGTCCAAAGCTGTTTCATCATCCCAGATAGAAACTTGAATATCATTAAGCACTAATACCTCATCCCCCCTCCCTTTCCCCAGCTCCTGGTAACCTCTAATCTACTTTTTATCTCTATAAATTTGCCTATTACGGATATTTCATGTGAGTAGAATCATAAACTATTTGTCCTCTTCTATTTGGCTTATTTTACTTAGTGTAATATTTTTAATGTTCACCCATATCGTATCATGTTTTAGAACTCTTTTCTGTTTATGGCTGAATAATATTCCTTGGCATGCATATACCAAAGTTTGCTCATATATTCCTCTGTTGATGGACACGTGGGTTGTTTTTACCTTTTGGCTATGCTGAATAACACAGCTATGAATATTGACTTACAAGTATCTGTTGAGTCTCTGCTCTGAATTCCTTTGGGTATATATACCTAAGAGTGAAATTGCCAGACCATACAGTAATTCTCTGTTTAGCTTTTTGAGAAACTACCAAACTGTTTCCCATTGCAAAACTGCAGGATTTTCTTTTCTTTCCTTTCTTCCTTTTTTTTTTTTTGAGACAGAGTTTTTCTCTTTTTGCCCAGGCTGGAGTACAGTGGCATGATCTCGGCTCTCTGCAACCTCCGCAACCTCTGCCTCCTGAGTTCAAGCAATTCTCCTGCCTCAGCCTCCCTAGTAGCTGGGACTAGAGGCATTCGCCACCACGTCTGGTTAATTTTTTGTATTTTTTTAGTAGAGACAGGGTTTCACCATGTTGGCCAGGCTGGTCTTGAACTCCCGACCGCAGGTGATCCACCTGCCTTGGCCTCCAAAAGTGCTGGGATTACAGGCATGAGCCACTGTGCTTGGCCAAACTGTTAAGATTTTTTTAAAAACAGGTGAAATTAAAAATGTGAAAGAGGGCTTTTGCTATGCAATAGCAAGGACTGAGTGATAAGAGTTTGCTCTGGATCTGGAAACCTCATTAGCCCAGAGCATGTCTCTCTTTTCCCTCAGCTCTCTCTCCTGAACAGTCTCATTAAAGGGTTCACATCTGAGTGACTCCTAGATACAGGGGTGAATTGACCAAGAAGCTAATGAACCTTGAGCTTACCCTGGCTCCTCCTCACTTACCCTGGCTCCTCCTCACTTACCCTGGCTCCTTCCAAGGCCCTGAGAAGGACCCGCACACTGTGGTCATACTTTTTTTTCAAAAGTAAGATATTTTAACTAAAATCTGTCAAGGCAACTGCCTCTTTCGACTATCATGCTTCCCCTTGTTTTGGATGGCTTTAAAGAGCTCATGGACATTTGGGGCATCTGGTTAAGGGGAAGTTGAACTGGGGATACATTTCATTTTGGTTTAGGGGCTTATATATGTAGATTGTGGTCTTTTGAGTACAGCTAAGTTACTACTAGTCATCCCCATATGAGAGTACTGCAGGGAATACTTCTACCACCCAATGTAGAAACTCACCAACATCGTGACATGAAGGAGATATAACTGAGTCCCACACTATCTAGCAGGATAAATAAGGTTTGAAATGTTCTGAGCCATGCGCAGGTAAATTATTTCAAACATCAGATATATAAAACCGTCAGTGAAAAATTTGCTTTTCCTAATTGCTGAACCCAAATGGAAAGTCTCTCCTGTCAGGATTTATGCTTGATAATGAAGCATATACAATGATAAGTGCATCATGCATTTTGTTCTTTTTTAATGAGAATTGCACAAAATAGAAGTGATCAAAATTCCTGTAGTTTCAGGGCTAGTTTTAGTTTTAGTATCATGGTGCTGTAAGTAGGGAGAAAATACAGTTTTAATAGTCCATATATGAAAGAGACTTGAAAGAGGATTTTTGTCAAATTTGACACCTATCCTAAAAATGTACATAGTATTATTGCCTATGTTGCCAATAGTAGTTGCGTAGATGAAAGAAACCTCTCTAAACTATCAATTATGAAACCACATTTTCATCCATCATGCTAGAGGACATGTCTGAATTAGCCATCTCTTCATGCTGTAGAAAATACTATAAAATTGTTTTACAAAGAGGTGTTCAAAAAGTATACAGACATGAAATTAGAATGACAGCGTCATAAAGTGACATCAGGCAGTTAATAAAAGAATGTTTTTTTTAGAGCATATATGTTTGTGGTACTTGTCAGCTTTTCACAATTTATGATTTCTTTTCTTTTTTTTTTTTTAGATGGGATTTCACTCTGTCACCCAGGCTGGAGTGCAGTCGTACAATCTTGGTTCACTGCAACCTCCACCTTCCTGGATCAAGCAATCCTCCCACCTCAGCCTCCTGAGTAGCTGGAACTACAGGATGTGCCACCATGCCCAGCTAATTTTTTGTATTTATATTTTTTTTGTGGAGGCAGCATTTCGCCATGTTGCCCCGGCAGCACAATTTTTGATATATTGTGATTTTCTGTTCTTTAAAAAAATTCACATTCCTACTCAATTTTGTATATTAACTTTGCGACTACTGTTCTTAACAACATTCTCAAGGTAATCTAAGCTACAGTCCTTACAAAATCTGGATCTGCCTGTCTACATCATGTTTTGTCACCAATGAGTCACCTTTATGCAAACCCATGTTTTTTTCTGGGCTTCTCTGGCACTCAGAGTCCTAATTCTGAGAACATTGCCCTGTACCATGAAACCTTTCAATAATTTTCTTCCTCCCTCATCCCTTCACTCCACATTTAACCAGCCACCAATGTCTCCTGCTTCCATAGCCTGTTCCCCTCACAGCAGCACTCCACTCCCATGTGAATTAGCTCCTGTGGGAGGCTAAATGGCCCCCAAAGATATCTAGGTCCCAATCTCTGGAATCTGTGAATACTACTGTCTTAGTCAGTTCAGACTGCTATAACAAAGTATCACACATTGCAGGGAGCTGGAGTGCGGGGACTTATAAACAAGAGAAATTTATAGAGGCTGGAAGTCTGAGATCAGGGTGCTAGCATGGTCAGGTTCTAGTGAAGGTCCTCTTCCAAGTTGCAAACTGCTGAATTCTCATTTTATCTTCACATGATAGAGAGTGAGAATGCTTTCTCGGGTGCCGTTTTAAAAGGGCACAAATCCCACTCCTGAGGGCACCACCCTCATGACCTAATTACCTCCCAATGGCCCTGCTTTCTAATACCATCACAGTTGGGGTTAGGGACTCAACATATAAATTTGGGGAGTAATGTCAGCAAGATGGCAGAATAGGAGATCCCAGACCTCACCTGCACACAAAAGCAATAATAAAGTCAACTTTGTATGGATGAAGATAGCTTGGGGAGAATCCCAAAGTGTATTTAGGGTGTGAATCCTAGAATCCTAAAGTGATGCAGAGGAGTTCAGAAACAGTGGATGGATGCATAGAAACGGGTAGAAAACATTCTGCCTGCATCACTCCATCCTCCAGGCTGGCACAGGGCCAGAAAGAATCCTTTTGCCCATGAGTTCCCCTTATGGGAGGAGAGTGAGAGTAGGGAATCTCAACAATTTTGCCACTGAGGATCCCAACAGCCCTAGTTACAGAGGACTCCAGTGATCATTTTTGATGCAGATTCCAGCTGCCGGCACTGCCTGGAGCCAGAGCCACTTTACCTCCTGGAGCTGGAGCCACCATGTGCTGCTCCTTCCTTGACAGAGTCAGAGCTGCCACTCATCCCCAACCCTAACCCTGGTAAGTCCATGTGTGCCCATGCCTGGGAACCAGCAGCAGCTGCAAAGCACATGCCTGCACAGCAATCCCAGTGCCTGCTGGTGCCACTGAATATGCATCCATATGTACATGAGAACAGGCACCCACTTCAGCTGCACACTTGCAACCATGGGACCAGGTGCCCCGAAGCTGTACCCACTGCACATTAGCCTGGGCTCCTACGTGCTCACCGTTGCCACAGTGCATGCACACCACATCTAATGGACCAGGTATCTGAGTGTATGCCCATGATGTGTCCAACAGACTCAAGCCCTGGGTGCACTCCTGGAACCAGCATACCCAGACATAGACCCAGATCAGAAGCCACTGCACATCTTACCCAGTTGGTGCCCTTGTGCCTTCCCATAGAAGGAGCTCTTTCTCTACCTAGGCCAGTCCCTCAAGTTTGGAATGGGTGACTGCCTCTTTAAATGCAAAGACAACAACACAAAAGCTATAAGAAACACACACACACACACACACACACACACACACACACACACAAACAGGGAAACATGACACCACCAAAAGAACACAATAACTTTCCAGTAACCAATCCCAAAGAGAGATCTATGTATTGCCAGACAAAGAATTCAAAATAATTGGTTTAAAGAAGCTCGTATCTCTAAACACAGATCTCTAAACAACTCAACTAAATCAGAAAAGAATGCATGAACAAAGTGAAAATTTCAACAAAAAGATAGAAATCAGAAAAGAGCCAGAAATTCTGATGCTAAAGAATACAATGAAATGAAAAATAGAGAGTTTCATCAGTAGATGTAGTCAAGGAAAAGAAAGAATAAGTGGACTTGAGAACAGATCATTTGAAATTGTGCAGACAGAGGAGAAAAGAATGAACAAATCTTCTGGAATTTAAGGGATACCACCAAGAGAACCAATATAGTCACGGAATTTTCAGAAGAGGAGAGAGAAAAGAGGCAAAAAGCTTATATAAAGAAATAATGGCTGAAAACTTCCAAAATCTTGAGAGGGAAATCAACATCCAGATTCATAAAGCTCAAAAGTTCCCAAATAGGATAAACCAAAAGAGGACCTCATTTTAAGATATACAATTATAAGTGCATCATATAATGAAACACATTACAATCAAATTATCAAAGCCAAGGACAAGGAGAGAATTTTGCAAGCAGCAACAGAAAAGTGGCTTATCTCATGTAAGAGAACCTCAATAAGGCTACCAGTAGATTCCTAACCAGAAACTTTTCAAGCCAGGTGAGAGTGGGATGATATAGTTAAACTTCTGAAAGAAAAAAAAAAAAACTGTCAGCCAAGAATTCTACACCTGGTAAAATTATCTTCTGTGAATGAAGGAAAGATAAATTCTTCCTGTGATGGTTAATACTGAGTGTCAACTTGATTGGATTGAAGAATACAAAGTATTGATCCTGGGTGTGTCTGTGTGGATGTTGCCAAAAGAGATTAACATTTGAGTCAGTGGGCTTGGGAAGGCAGATCCACCTTAATCTGGTGGGCACAATCAGCTTCCAGCGAATATAAAGCAGGCAGAAAAACATGAAGAGGTGAGACGGGCCTAGCCTCCCAGCCTCCATCTTTCTCCCGTGCTGGATGCTATCTGCCCTCAAACATCGGACTCCAAGTTCTTCAGTTTTGGGACTTGGACTGGCTCTCTTTGCTCATCAGCTTGTAGACAGCCTATTGTGGGACCTTGTGATCGTGTAAGTTAATACTTAAACTCCCCTTTATATATATATATATATATATATATATATATATATATATATATATATCTCCTATTATAAATATATATTATAAATTATATATTATATATCCTATTATATATAATATATATCCTATTATAGATATAGATAATATATATATATCCTATTATAGGTATAGATTATATATATATCCTATTATAGATATATATATAATATATGTATCCTATTAGTTCTGTCCCTCTAAGAGAACTCTGACTAATACACTTCCCTAGACAAACAAAAACTGAGGAAGTTCATAATCACTGGACCTACCTTAGAAGAAATACTTAAGGGAGTTATTTGTTGAAATTATGCTAAACAGCAGTGTAAAAGCATATGAAAGCATAAATCTTATAAATGAAGGTAAATATAGAGTCAAATATAGAATAATGTAATACTGTAATAGCAATGCGTAAATTTCCTTTAACCCTAATATAAAAGTTAAGAAATATATTAAGAATAACCAGAATCGACTGGTCACAGTGGCTCATGCCTGTAATCCCAGCACTTTGGGAGGCTGAGGTAGGCGGATCATGAGGTCAGGAGATCAAGACCATCCTGGCTAACATGGTGAAACCCCATCTCTACTGAAAAAAAAAATTTTTTTTTAAATAAATAAAAAAAAAAATTAGCTGGGCATGGTGGCGCGTGCCTGTAATCTCAGCTACTCGGGAGGCTGAGGCAGGAGAATCGCTTAAACCAGGGAGTCAGAGTCTGCAGTGAGCTGAGATCATGCCACTGCACTCCAGCCTGGGCGACAGAGCGAGACTCCGTCTCAAAAAAAAAAAAAAAAAAAAAAAAAAAGTAAAGAAAAGAAAAGAAAAAGAAAAAAAAGAATAACCAGAATCACAAAAGTTTGCCAATGGCCACCCAATATAAAAAGAAGTAAACTCTGACTACAAGAAAACAAAGTGTGAGAGGAGGGGAGTAAAAGTGTAGAGTTTTTTAATGCAATTGAAGTCAAGTTATCAACTTAAAATATGATGATTATAACTATAAGATAATTTATGCAAACCCTATGGTAACCACAAGGAAAAAGTCCATAATGGATACTCAAAAGATAAAAAGAAAGGAATCAAAACAAATCATTACCAAAAACTATCAAATACCAAAGAAAGACGGCAAGAAAGAGAGGAACAAAACAATAGCAAAATAGATGAAAACTATTAACAAAATGGCAGTAGTAAGTCCTCACCTATTAATAATTACTTTAAATATAAATGGATTAAACTCTCTAATCAAAAGGCTTAGAGTGGCTGAATGGATTTAAAAAACAAGATCCATCAATTTTCTTCTATAAAAGACTCACTTTAGATTTAAAAACACACATAGGTTGAAAGTGAAGGGAAGGAAAAATTATTCTATGTAAATAGTAACCAAAAGAAAACAGGGCTGGCTATACTTGTATCAGACAAAATAGACTTTCAGTTAAAAACTCTCTAAAGACAAAAAAAGTCATTGCAAAATGATAAAAGGGTTGAATAATCTAACAGTTATAAAAATATATACACCCAATACCAGAGCACCTAAATATATAAAGTAAATATTGACGGATCTGAAGGAAGAAATTGACAGCAGTAAAATACTGATAGGAGAATTCACTGCCTCATTTTCAATAATGGACAGAACATCCAGACAGAAAATCAATAAAGAAATAGCTGACTGAATAATGCTCTAGACTAAATGGACCTAACAGACATATTTAGAACTTTCTACCCAACAGCAGAAGAATACACATTCTCCTCAAACATATATGGAACATTCTCCAGGATGGATCACATGTAGGTTCCAAAACAAGTCTTAACACATTGAAGAAGACTGAAATCATTCCAAGTATCTTTAAGACCACAAGGGAATGAAATAGAAATCAATAACAGTGAGAAAGCAGGAAAACTCACAAATATATGGAAGCCAAATGGCATTTCCTTGATAATCATTGAGTCAAGAAATCAAAAGAGAATTGTTTAAATACCTCAAAATAAACAGAAATGAAAATGCAATATATCAAAACTTATGAGATGCAGCAACAAGACTACTAAGAGGGAAGTTTATAGCAATAAATGCTTGTTTCCATTACAAAAAGAACACCTCAAGTAACCTAATTTTATAGCTCAAAGAATTAGAAAGAAGAACAAACTTTTCCCAAAGTTAGCTAGAAATAATAAAGATTAGAGTGGGAATAAATCAAATACAGAATTAAAAGAAAGAACAGAAAAATCATCAAAGCTGAACTGAGTTTTCGAAAAAAATAAACAAAATTTGCAAACCCTTAACTAGACAAAATCAGAAGTGAAAGAGAAAACATTACAGTGGATGCCTGAGAAATAAAAAGGATCATGAGGGACTTTTATGAGCAATTGCACACCAATAAATTGGATAGCCTAGCAGAAATGGATGTGCTGCAATAAATATGTAACCTATTAAGACTTAATCAAGAGGAAATAGAAAGCCTGAAGAGACCAATAAGATATAAGAAAATTAAATCAGTAAACAACAACCTTCTAACAAAGAAAAGCTCAGGACCTGATGGCTTTACTGATTAATTCTATCAAACAGTCAAAGAATAATTAATAGCAATCCTTCTCAAACTCTTCTGAAAACTAGAAGAGAAAATACTTTCAAATTCATTTTGTGAACCCAGCATTACCCTGACATCAAAATCATACAAAGACACCACAAGGAAGAAAAATAAAAACTAAAGGCAAATATCTCTGATAAATAAAAAGCAAGAACCCTCAATACCAGCAAACTAAATTACTAGCAAACAAAGTCCAGCAGCACATAAAAAAGATTACACACCATGACTAAGTGGGATTTATCCCTGGGATACAAGATTGGTTCAACATATACAAATCAATCAACATGATACACTGTATTAACAGAATGAAAGATAAAAATCACATGATCATCCTAATAGATGCACACAAATCACTTAACAAATTTCAATATCCATTCTTGCTAAAAACTCTCAAAAAATAGGTATAGAATGAACTTACCTCAACAGATTAAAGGCCATTTATGAAAAACCCACAGCAAATGTCATAATCATTGAAGAAAATCTGAAAGCATTTCCTGTAAGGTCTGGTACATGAATGTCCACACTATGACTTCTATTCAACATAGTACTAAAAGTTCTCGCCAGAGTGATTAGACAAGAAAAAGAAATAAAAGGCATCCAAATAAAAAAGAAAGAAGTAAAATTATCTCTGTTTGCAAATGATATGATTATATATGTACAGAACCCTAAAGACTCTATAAAAAACTGTTAGAACTAATAAATTCAGTAAAGTTGCAGGATACAAAATCAACATGCAGAAATCAGTAGTGTTTCTTTACACCGGCAACAAATTATCCAAAAAGGAAATCAATAAAAAATCTCATTTATAATAGCATAAAAAATAATAAAGTATTTAGAAGTATATTTAAACAAGGAGGTGAAAGATCTATTACATAGAAAACTATAAGATATTGATGAAAGGAATTGAAGAAGACACAAATGGAAAGATATTCTGTGTTTGTGGACTGGAAGAATTAATATTGTTAAAATGTCCATACAACCCAGAGTTATCCAGAGATTCAACACAATGCCCATCAAAATTCTAGTGGTAATTTTCACAGAAATGGAAAATATAATCATAAAATTTGTATGGAACAACAAGCGATCCTGAATAGCCAAAGCAGTCTCGAGAAAAAAAAGAATGAAGCTGGAGGCATCACACTTCTCAATCCCAAAGTATATTACAAAGTTATAGAAAATAAAATCAGTATATTGAAGAGATAGCTACACTCCCATGTTCATTGCAGCATTATTCACACTAACCAAGATGTGGAAACAATCTGTGTCTGTCAACAGGTAAATGGATAAAGAAATTGCTAGATAGAGAGATAGATAGATAGATAGATAGATAGATAGATAGATAGATAGAATAGATGGATAGATAGATAATACATAGATGCATGTGTGTGTGATACACACACACACACACACACACTGGAATATTATTCAGCTTTAAAAAAGAAGGAAATTCTAAATCCTGTCATTTGCGAAAACATGGATCTCTACAGCTTCTAGGGGCTGAGAGCTGGGAGAAATGGAGACGTTAGTCAAAAGGTATAAACTTTCATTTATTTGAGATGAAGTAGCTTCTAGAAATCTAATGTACATCATGGTGACTATAGCTAATAATGCTGCATTGTATACTCGAAATTTGCTAAGACAGTGAATCTTAAGTGTTCTCATTACAAAAATAAGGTAATTATGTGAGGTAATGGATATGTTAATTAGCCTGACTATAGTAATCATTTCCCAATACATATGCATATCAAAACATCAAATTATATCTCAATAAAAGCAGTTATTTAATTTTTTAAAACCATGAATTTTGGGGGACACATTCAGTGTATTGCAGTTACTTTTTATGGCAAAATACCCCATCCTTTGTGCATTCCTTGGTCCTGCCTCCATCTCTTTCTTAAGGAGTCTCTTATAAAGTAGCTGTGTATTTCCTTAATCTCTTATGCACAAGAACAAAACAAAACAAGAAACACAAAATAAAATTCTTAAAACCTTCCTAGGGGAGCATAGGTTGTATTCATTCTCCCACCTTGTTTCTCCCCAGTAGGGGAATGTTGATTATCTATTCTGGAAGCCACTGGAAGAAAAGACTCCTAGTTTCCGAGTCAAGAAAATCTCCAAATATCTATTAAGTAACTATATTCAGGTGACCCTGGGGAGATTTAAAGATGGATAAGACATAACTTCTGCCTTTAAGGAGCTTAGAGACTGGGGTGAGAGGAGAAGCAATAGGATACTGATTAATATTTGTAGTAAAAGCCAGAACACTCAACATGCCATAGCGAAGTAAAAAGTGAGGGGAGGTCACATTGAAACAGAAGTTAGGAAAGTCTCCATGCAGAGGGTCCCCCTGAAATGGGCCTGGAGGGTTGCATTTCCCTAAGCAGAGAGTGTATTAATGAAAGCCAAGGCACGACAGCATGAAAGCCCAGGCTATAAAGAAATAAAACCACTTTGGGGGGCCGAGGCGGGTGGATCACGAGGTCAGGAGATCGAGACCATCCTGGCTAACGTGTTGCAACCCCATCTCTACTAAAAATACAAAAAATTAGTTGGGCATGGTGGCACGTGCCTGTAGTCCCAATACTACCGTTTGGGTGTACTTATTTCCCAGCTACTCGGGAAATAAGTAGCTGGAGAATCGCTTGAACCCGGGAGGTGGAGGTTGCAGTGAGCTGAGATCGCGCCACTGCACTCCAGCCTGGCGACAGAGCGAGACTCTATCTCGAAAAAAAAAAAAAAAAAAAAAGGAAAGAAAGAAAACCAGAAAGGAAAACTGGAGCACAGTTTAGAGCAGAGGCCAGCAAATGTTTTCTGTAAAAGGCCAAATAGTATTTTAGGCTTTGAAAGCCATGTGGTCTCTGTCACAATGACTCAACTCAGCTATCATAGCACAAATGCAGCCATAAGCCATACGTAAACAAATGGATGTGGCTATGTTCCAATAAAACTTTATTTATAAAAACAGGCAGTGGGCCAGAACGCACAAATAAAGAAACTATAGACCATGAGAAACCACTGAAGATTTGTGAGCAGGAGGATGATATTATAACATTGCCAATGCTATATATTTGGAAAACTAATCTGACTACCGGGAAATGCTATAATAGAATTGGAGGAAGTGGAGTTCCGTGTGGAAATAACAGCTGGGAGGCTGTTACAATGGTTGGATAAGAGGCCTGAATTACAGTATCGAGGGCAGAAATGAGAAGGCCAAATGTGTAGGATATGGTAACTTGTTGGACGCAGAGACAAATGGAGGGAGCAGAATTAAAGATCACTGCCAATTTGGAGCCTGGGGGATGAGGAAAAATTTGTGAGCAATGTAATAAGGGAGATCTGGGGGGCTGGATGTGCCACCGGATTCTCTTTGTCCTCTGGATGCTCAGCAAATAAAGTCAAGGAAGCCAGCCAGACAGAGTGGTTGGGCCGCTCATGTCAGGTCTCTGAGTCTCTTTTGTGCAGAGGCGTCACCGCACATGTCCGGAGGCCATGTGGGACATGGGGCCGACGTGGGGCTCCAGTGCAGCCCCCACGGCTTCCCAGCAGACAGCACCTGACACTCTCTAAGTCTGGCCAAGCCTGGGCTCCGAGCAAGCGAGGACGAGGATCACTGAGCCGCTAGACATCTAGGAGGCCAGCCAAAGCAGAACAAAACCAGCCCCGCCAGAAGGAGGCTGAGGCTGTGCCAAGTGACCATGGAAGCTGCGTGTGTGGGCCAAATTGCTTTCTAATTACATTGCTCTCCAGACAAGACAAAATTGTGCCTCTTGAAAAGCATGTATGTGCTGTCAGAGTGGATCTAGAGAGGTCAGGCTACGTGGACATCCAGAGCAAGGAGTCATGTTTCAGAATTCATTAACATCTCCTCTGCTAGGAAGGAAGAACTTGGAGAGGAGGCAGGGAGGAGACTGTGACTCAGTGGGACATTAGGGACACCTTCTAAAGAATCGAACACATTTAAATAGAGTAGGTGATTCTGCAAGAAAATGTGCCATTTCATCATGAATAGCTCATCATTTCTCTCTGAAACGTAATGTAATACCCTCCTGGAAAAAATAACATAAAGATTGTTTTTTTGCCTGTGTCCTATAGCAAACATTCTCCCTGCTGCTCTGCATGCTGAGACAATTTAGTCGAAAAGGAGTTGCCTTAGAATTTGCCACATTTATGTTTGACAAAGAGGCAGTTTACTCACTAGTTGCACATTTGCTTTCTGAGATGCAAACGTTCAGGTTTGGCAGATATTGAAAACACTATTTTGATATTTTATGCACTTTCTTGGGACTCTATTTCAGAGGCAGAGCAATAAGGGAAATATTCCTGACTTAGAATTATAAATATAATGCTACCATTTGGGCATATTTATTTCCCAGGCAATCAATCAGGAAATGTTAGGAAATATATTCAGAGTGTTTCAAACATGATTCCAGTTAAATGAGTAATCTTTCCCTTTTCTTTCCATATGTTAGATAATTTTTTAAAAGATGAAATAGTAAAAGAATTAGTAAAATTTAGAATCTTGAACTCAGATTATAAATATAAATACGACAGTCAATTTTTAAAGAAGAAATGGCTTTAATTATGCTGAAATAAATGATGGTAGTAAAACCAAATACTGCTCATTATATTTATATGCACAATATTTAAAATACAACTGGCGATTCTAGGACTTTCTGGCAACTCTTTTGATTTTGTCAAGATAAAGGCTGAACTAGCTGGTATCTAGTCTCTTCAACCAGGTCCCAGGTGGTCCAGACCAAGAAGAGTCATGCACTGTATAACAACATTGCAGTTAATAACAGACACATGAAGGATATTGATCCCATAAAATTATAATACCATTTTTTTTTTGAGACAAGAGTTTCAGTCTTGTTGCCCAGGCTGGAGTACAGTGGCGTGATCCCGGCTCACTGCAACCCTCACCTCCCGGGTTCAAACGATTCTCCTGCCTCAGCCTCCCTAGTAGCTGGGATTACAGGTGCCCACCACCACACCTGGCTAATTTTTTGTATTTTTAGTAGAGATGGGGTTTCGTCATGTTGGTCAGGCTGGTTTTGAACTCCTGGCCTCAAGCAATCCACCTGTCTTGGTTTCCCAAAGTGCTGAGATTACAGGCGTGAGCCACTACACCTGGCCTATAATACCATAGTTTTACTGTATCTTTTTTTTTTTTTTTTGAGACAGGGTCTCACTCTATTGCCCAGGCTGGAGCACAGAGGCAAGATCATGACTCACTGCAGCCTCAGACTCCTGGGCTCAAGGGATCCTCCCACTTTAGCCTCCTCAGTAACTGGGATTACAGGCACAGGCCATTACTCCCAGCTAATTTTTGTATTTTTTGTAGAGACTGCATTTCTCCATGTTGTTCAGGCTGATCTCAAATTCCTGGGCTCAACTGATCTGCCTGCCTCAGCCTCCCAAAGTGCTGGGACTACAGGTGTGAGCCATCACACCTAGTCCTACTGTACCTTTTCTATGTTTAGTTATGCAAATGCTTAGCATTGCATTCCAATTGCCTGCAGTATCCAGGACAGTGATACACTGTATAAGTTTTGTTACCCATACAACGGGTCAGTGCCATCACATGGCAGGTGGCAGTCCAGTGACCACAACCAATGGGGACTTAAGCAATGGGGACTTAAAGGGATTTTATTAGTGGCAACAAATGAGGAGGACATGGGGGATAGTTCTCAAAGGAGTGCCTCCTCCAATCAAAGGTGAAAACAGGCCTTTTGTTGGCCTGGTGAGCTGAGTCACTGTATGTCGAGATGGAGCAAGATATTAATAGCACATGTGCTGTCATTGATCATGCTTCTACATATGTCACATGTATAGAAAATGGCAAATAAGTTACTCTCTGGTCAGGGATTTTAGTACGGTTATGAGGGAAGTTCCAAAGTTCATCTCCAACTCAGGCACCTCTGGATCCAATGGGTTTTTGCTTTTCCAGGGCTGAGCTTCTTCCTGGAATTTTTGGAAACAAGAAGAACTTAAGGTACAACAGGTACTAGTGGGTACTTTTTCACAGTCCATACCCAAAAACCTAGGGACCCTGGGTTAAGTTTGCAGCCTGAGAACAATAGGCTATACCATGTAGCCTAGGCGTGTAGGAAGTTCAACCATGTAGGTTTGTGTAAGTGCACTCCGGTATGTTTGCACAATGATGAAATCACCTAACAGCACATTAAGTGACTTATGACTGCACATCCCCAGCTATTTCAATGGTTTAGGTACATTTATATACACACCATGTGCTCACTGTACTTTTGACCAAAATGATCAAGAAGTTTTTATAAGAAAACTTAGATGTGGGTCTCTTCTACTTCCTTCCCATCAGTGCCATCAAGAAGAGTAGACTGCGGTAAGAGCTTGCCTGGCTAAGTCAGGCAAAGAACGTAGTAAAGAAGAGAAGGAGGGGGAAAGTCAGGTTGGTCTTCTTGCAGAGCCCTTTCTGATAAGAAATTCCTCTTTCTGGACTGTCTAACTAGCTAAATGTTTTTTTGGCCTTTGGAGGATCTGATGGAAAGGGTGGTTGGGTCAAGAGAAGACTGTGCTTCAATATCAGTTCTCCTTGAATGGAGACTGTGGTGGTTTAGGTATGGTTTGTTTGTCTTCACCAAGTCTCATGTTGAAATTTTATCCCCACTGTTGGGGGTGGGGCCTGGTGCGGGGCATTTGGGCCATGGGGGTAGATCCCTCATGAATGGCTTGGTGCCATTCTTGCAGGAGTGAGTGAATTCTTATTCTTAGTTCCTATGAGAAGTGGTTGTTTAAAAGAGCCTGGCATCTCCTCCCCCCCTCTCTTCCTGTCTTTTTTATTTTTTTTGAGACGGAGTCTCGCTCTGTCACCCAGGTTGGAGTGCAGTGGCGCGATCTCAGCTCACTGCAAGCTCTGCCTCCTGGGTTCACGCCATTCTCCTGCCTCAGCCTCCCAAGTAGCTGGGACTATAGGTACCCATCACCACGCCTGGCTACTTTTTTTGTATTTTTAGTAGAGACGGGGTTTCACCACGTTAGCCAGGATGGTCTCGATCTCCTGACCTCGTGATCCGCCCATCTCGGCCTCCCAAAGTGCTGGGATTACAGGCGTGAGCCACTGAGCTCGGCCTCTTCCTGTCTCTTGCCACATGATCTCTACACATCAGGTCCCTTTCACCTCCCCTTCACCCTCTGCCATGAGTGGAAGCAGCCTGAGGCCCTCCCCAGATATAGATGCCAGCACCATGCTTTCTGTACAGCCAGAAGAACTGTAAGTGAAATAAACCTCTTTTCTTTACAAATTGCCCAGCCTCAGGTATTCCTTTATAGCAACACAAATGAACTAAGACGGAGACCCGGGTGGGCCCATGGATTCCTGCCCATGAAGGTGCATCATTGGCGAAGGCTTGAACACCACAGGGCCGAGTCACTGCGCCTATAACCAGGTGAATGAGAACTAGGCCTCACGACGAGGTCAGCTCCTCCCAGTTCTGCTGGGGGTGAGTCAGTGCAGTTCAGGGTGAACCAAACATAAACCCAGCTCTGGGTGCTGCTAGTCTTGGTGCCCAAGGAAGCTTGGGAGGCTAAGCCTCTGCATCGTGGCCTGAGAGGAGCAAAGCAGCCTCTCTCCTTCCAAGATGCCTGGCCCACAGGCAGACTCTGCTGACAGGAGAATCATCAACTGAGAGACTCAGCACTTTGTGGAGTGGGTGAAATTGTCCTCCTTTTCTCTATATGCTCCTTTTAGTGCACTTCCAGGCACCTTCTTCCGTGTCAGGGACCCCAGGACCTCCTGCTTCAACCATCCTTCCCCATCCCCAATATCAACTGCCTACAAAGCTTAGCTTCAGGCAAGAATCTGTATGATTCATTGAAATCTTGGTGGGAAATTTTCAATGAGCATCTTCTCCCATCACATTGGCATAGAGTTCTTATATCAGATGGTAGAATTAAAGATTCAGTTTCCCGTTCAAGGATTTCAGGCAGCAAACTGGCGAAGGAGCACATATGAGGAACATCTCCTCGTGCAGATGGCAACCCAAGTTCGGCCCTGCTATATCCACACCCTGGGCACACATCGTTGGCAATATTTGGAGACACAAAATAAAAATACGCTGATGCTTGGAAAAGATATTTGTGTGTGAAAAGCTAGTTCATCAGTGCTAATTTGGGTGAATTACGTGGTTGGAACCACAGTACACAGCCTTCAGAATTAGAAGGGAAATGGAGATCATTCCAAAATCTCCCTACACAGAGATGAGGTATCAATCTCATTGTGGATCATAGACACTTCTAAATAAGCCCTGCATGATTTCCTTCTCCAGCCAGTTCTGTGTTGGCCTACTTTTCCTAGCCCCAGTTGACCCAGCTCTGGTGGCTGTAGCCTGAGAAAGGAAGTGACCTGCTGTGATGAGAGGTTTTCCCTGGTGACATCTATCCAGCTGGACACAGTTGGGGATCGTCTGGGGCCCACACATGCAGGATGTCAGAATGTGCCAAGATCAGCAAAGATAAAATCTTGGCACAGAATTCCTCCATCCTGAGGGGCAAGGAGACAGGACCCAATGACAGGTCTGAGCCCAGAGCTTGCTTCTAACATCTTTGGTCAATGGAACTAAACTGCATTTGGAGAGTGGCCTGCTTGGAGAGACAGGAAGAGACAAGTCAAGGTCATAGCTGAAAATCATTGCATACTTTTGCAAATCAGACTGAAGCAGGTCTATCAGCTGTCCTGGAAAGTCAAGGCAGCCTATAGATAAGCTCCAAGTGGTTTGGATTCAGGAGAGTCACTCCTGCAGGAAAGCTCCACTGTGATCTGCAAGTGACAGCTTTTATCTGTTCAGCCCACACACTCCCAGACATTATCTTTATTCTCTTCTAATTGGTCTTAGTGCCAAGGCTAGGGACATAATGAAATTAGAAAAAGCAATTCTGAAGGGAAGGAAGAAAACTGACTTGTACACTGACATTTGATAAAATACCTGCCTAATTGAATATGGAGCTCTAGATCTGGTATTGCCTGAGCTTCTCACAATTGCTATGCAGTTGTGTGGAGTAAAATCCCATCTGATACCCATGTGAGCTCCCTGGGCTCCCCAAGAACTGACAGTAAAGATGGAATCTAGTAATCTCCAAGAGGTGGCTTTCCACTTGGCATCTCAAACTGTCTTCTTATTGGTTGACAAATTACCTGTTGGGTACAATGTTCACTATTCAGGTGGGATGGATACACTAAAAGTCCAGACTTCGTTACTTCATTACACAATATATGAATGTAAGAAATCTGCCCTTGTGCTCCTTCAATATATATTTTTTAGGCTGGGTGCAGTGGCTCACGTCTATAATCCCAGCACTTTGGGAGGCCGAGGTGGGCGGATCACCTGAGGTCGGGAGTTTGAGACTAGACTGACCAACATGGAGAAATCCTGTTTCTACTAAAAATACAAAATTAGCCAGGCATGGTGGTGCCTGCCTGTAGTCCCAGCTACTTGGGAGGCTGAGGCAGGAGAATTGTTTGGACCTGGGAGGCAAAGATTGTCATGAGCTGAGATAGTGCCATTGCACTCCAACCTGGGCAACAGGAGCGAAACTCCATCTCAAAAAAAAAATTATATATGTATATATATAGTTGAAAAAAAACTATCTTCTTCTTAGCTTCAATGAATACAGGTTCTTCTTACCTCTGAAAGGAGAAATATTAGACTGGGGTGGAAATGTGTGAAAAGATTCCTGCTCATTTAGACAACCAGGCTGTGCTTTCTGAGGTTTATTATTACAGAGAGCAGGATAATGGCCTTCTCTGGGTAGGGGACAGCCCTGGGATGCCCAGGTGTGATCGCTGACACTTCTCAACCAGTTCCATTGTCAGAGGAACCCTCCACTGACTTGTTCTACAAGCTGACTGGCCTGCTTTTCACTTTCACATTCTCAATCTCCACAGTGGTGGCCTGGACCATTTATGGTGAATTAGCCTCTCTGTGTGTGCTTCTTTTTTCTTTTTTTTTAAACAAAAAACAAAACAAAAAAAAAACCACGTTGCCTTTAGTTAGTGCTGTGCTGTACAAAACAAGGACAGAGAAAGTTGGAGGAGTTGAAGATTATACCTTAACTTTCACAACAGATGTTTTTCAATATATTTTTCCCCAGGAGGAGAGTAAATGCAAATTGTTCATTTGAGCAATTTCTATCCCTTTTGGACGGTCCCTATTTTCTTGCTGTGAAATGTGCTCAGCTCCTCAACCAAATTGCATGGGATTGTTCCGAAGGGAGCAAACCTAGTTTGCATACTTCAAATTAGAAGAACGCATTAAAGTATGCAGGAATCAGAGACTCAACCCACCCAACTAACAACCTACTTGGGCCCTTAGGGAAGAAGCTGTATGAGGCTTAGCAGTTCTGACACCTGAAAGGTGGAAGGAGATCTAATGGCACTTATTAAAAAATGTATAAATCATTATGAAATGGTTTGAAATTTTAAGTCCAGCATCTTTCTAAGGCAGATATACTAGGGATCAAAATGTAATCGCCTCCACCTCCACACAGGCCTGCCAGGGCCAACTCCTGGTGTTAAAAAAAGGGGGAGGAACTCTAATTAGGTTTTCCAAACGACCTTCTGCAGCTGAGCGGTGGGTGCTCACCTTCTCAGCAAGTTCAGTTGCCCTGGAACTCCTAGGCAAGCAGAAAACTCTGGAAACAGAAACCATGAAACCTACGGAGTTCCCAGAGGAAACTGGACCACCCGGAACCTTCCTAAAACCAGTGATAACTGACCAAATTACAAGTCAGGAAAATGGTCTTTGGTGAGTGAGCATTTCTGAGGTCTTGGAATGCTTTCACTTGACTGAGAACAGTTGGATTTGAGTTTTTGGTTTTGCATCTGGATTGGGAAAAAAAAAAGTGGTATAAATTTTTTGCCTTAGGAGGAAAGAACAGAAGAAGGATGACCATCCTGAAAGCTCCCAGGACGGCTGAGAAAGACATGGCCAGGGCCCTGCCCCTGATCTTCTGCGTCATGCATCATGGTTCTCCAGTAGCTCCTACTCTTCACAACCAGTGTGACTGGACAGCCACGTCACACATGTGTGCCACTGGGCCCGCCCTCCCGAAGTGCAATGACACAGACTTTTAGTAACAGGGATTCTTCAATTTAGCTGGTAAAGTTTCATGTTTTTCTCAAGTGGATAAAAAATCCTGACTTCCTCTGTTTCTAATTAAAGACCTATGGGCAGAGGATGGCCAGCTCCTTCCTTTGACCTCTGTGTGAAGGAGTGTGGCCCAATGGCATCTCAATTTGCCTGTCACTGGTTTGCTGAGCAGGTTTATTTTTGGTTTTTTTTGAGATGGAGTCTCGCTCTGTTGCCCAGGCTTGCCCAGGCTGGAGTGCAATGGTGCAATCTTGGCTCACTGCAACATCTGCCTCCCGGGTTCAAGCGATTCTCATGCCTCAGCCTCTCAAGTAGCTGGGATTATAGGCAGCTGCCACCACACCCAGCTAATTTTTGTATTTTTAGTACAGACAGGGTTTTGCCATGTTGGTCAGGCTGGTCTCAAGCTCCTGACCTCTGGTGATCCGCCCACCTCGGCCTCCCAAAGTGCTGGGATTACCGCATCCAGCCTGTTGGGCACTTTTAAACAGGCCACCTAATCTCTCTGCCACCTGAGAAGAATATGCACCTCATTGATTGGTGTCCTATGCTGTTTCACTGTTTGGTGATATCAAGTGGTCATAAAAATGCTTTAGAAGCAAGGCCCTGGGTTGTGAAAATGCCCATCCATCACCGTAAGCAAATTTATTCCATAACACTTCACGTCTTTAGAACTAAATCAAATAAATGCAAGAAGTTTCTGAAATAAAAGGGAGAAGCTTCAAGTAATAGCTTGGTCCGAATAGAGAGTTAAGTACCCTCTGGAAGTGGAGTTTTTTCCTACTTGGGAGGCTTTAGTTCTATGAGTGTGGAAGTGTTAGAACTCGTGACATGTTTCTACGCTCCCAAAAGGCAAACTCTCGGTTTATTTTATGGCCCACACTTTGGGCCTTTTCCCAAAAAATATGCATCCAAAGAAGTCATCGTTTTTGTACAGTAGTTCCGATTAATGCCAGATCAATCTTTCCAAATGAATCAAGGTGTTTAATTAACATCAGACGTTTTCAGGTCTATTGGTTGTAAATGATGCTGACAGCAGGAGGGGAAGTTAGCATTCATTGAGCACTTATTCTATGCCAGGCACTGTGCCAAGTCCTAGTGTGTGAGCTCATTCAATTCACAGGAACCCATGGGACAGGGAATTCAGTCCTCCCATTTTATCTTATTTTTTTAATTTTTTACATTATGTGTACACATTTGTGGGGTACATGTGAAATTTTGTTACATGTATATAATGTGGAGTGATCAAGACAGGGTGTTTAGGGTGTCCATCGCCCAAGTATAATATACTTTTGTTAAACTATAGCCACCCTACTCTACTGCTATCAAATGCTGGATTTACTCCTTCTATCTAACTGTAGGCTTGTAGCCTTTAGCCCACTTCTCTTCAACCTCTCCCTGACCCTGCCACTCACCCCACCTGGTCTCTGTTCTCCATCTTTTCATTCTCTATCTCCATGTGATCAGATTTTTTAGCTCCCACGTGTCAGTGAGAATATGTGGTATTAATCTTTTTGTGACTGGCTTATTTCACTTAAGATAATGACCTTCACTTCCAGCCATGTTGCTGCAAATGTCAGGATTTCATTCTTTTTTATGGCTGAATAATATTCCATTATGTATATATACAGCACATTTTCTTTATCCATTTGTCCAAAGATGGGCTCTTAGGTTGATTTGATGTCTTTGTGGTATTGAATAGTGCTGCAATAAACATGCAAGTGCAGGTATTTATTTGTTATATTGATTTCTTTTCCTCTTGGTAGATACCCAGTAGTGGGATTGCTGGATTGAATGGTAGTCCTATTTTTAGTTTTGAGAAATCTCCATTCAATTCTCCCATTTTAGTGAGGACATTGAGTTGCAAAGAGATTAAACAATTTTCCCAAAGCCACATTGCTTGTAGGTGACAGAATTAGAATATGAACTGGGCGGTGTGACTTTAGGCTTGTCTTTTTTTTTTTTTTTCTTTTTTTTTTTTTTAGAGATGAGGTCTCACCATGATGCCCAGGCTGGTCTCCTGAACTCCTGAACTCAAGTGATCCTTCTGCCTTGGCCTCTCAAAGTGCTGGGATTATAGGCATGAGCCACTACCACTACCCCGAGCTTTTTTTTTTTTTTCTTTTGAAACAGGATCTCACTCTGTCACCCAAGCTGGAGCACAATGGTGTTATCACTGCTCACTGCAGTCTCTACCTCCTGGGCTCAAATGATCCTTCCACTTCAGCCCCACAAGTAACGGGACTACAGGCATGTGCCACCACGCCCAGCTAGTTTCTATTTTTTGTAGAAGCAGGGTCTCACTATGTTGCCCAGGCTGGTCTCGAACTCCTAGGCTCATATAATTCTTCTGCCTCAGCCTCCCAAAGTTGTTATGATTACAGACCTGAGCCACTGTGCCTGGTCCCTGGGCGAGTCCTAACCATGTGCCATCCTCCCCTTGGGCTTCCTACACTAGTCTAATGGAGGAGCCCTGCTCAGGTGAGAATGCCATTTCCCTGGCCATTCATGAGCTGGAATCCAGTAGTCACTCAGAAAATACTAATTCCTTGTCCCTTCCTTTCCCATCAATCCTATCTTACAGTCATACAGGAGAACTTATTTTAAAGAAAGACTCTTCTTAGGGTTAGGAAAGAGAACAACCTATTTGAGGGGATCTTCCCCTTTAGTTGCATGAAGACTTAAAAGGGTAGAGCAGATCAGTATCTCTACAATGTATGAGTCCCCATATGCTGATGATGGTTGCATTATGTATTTCAGTAACGATCCTTGTCAGACTCTAAAACACTGGTGTGACTCACCAGATACATGCTCAAAGCTTCTCACATTTAATATCCTGGGAAAATAGCTCATCCACCCTGCTAATGGAAGCCCTCTGAAGTTGCCCCTGGGGATCCAGGGGTGACTATGTTGTTTCATCTTCCCGGGAGTGGCTTTTTGGTGTGTGTTTTTATTTGTTCTGGAAAGAGGTCAGAAGCAAAGAGGAAGTGTCTTTTCCATCCTAGAACACACCAAATCAGGAATGAAACCTATGATAATTCCAGCCAGCTGGACCCAAGTCCCCTGCAACAAAACTGTCTCACCCCACAGTGGACCCACTAAACAGATGGAAGGGCAGAGGAAAGACATACTGACACAGAAGGGTCAGAAAAGGGACTCACACATTAGTTGCACATCAGGTTGTCAGTCACCACTGATGAGTCGCTGCTCTGGATTCTGTCTGATCTTTCATGGACATAAACCTGGGGCTCTTGTGGCTTTGTCAGAGTAAATATCGTGTTTTTTGCAGTCTGGAGGATGGTTGTATATACTCAGAAGACCCTGGAAACCGTGAGTCCAGAGTGGCTGGCCACCCCAGATGAGATTATTCTTGATCCCAGATTTCACTGAAGGAAACCAAAGCCAATAGGCTGTTTGGGGGCTCTGCACGTGCGCGTGCGTGCGTGCGTGTGTGTGTGTGTGTGTGTGCGTGTGTGTACGCGCATGTGCGCCTAACCGGCTGTTCAAAACGTCCTTCGGAGGATTCCTGCTTTGAGACTCCAGCCCTGCAGGCAGCACGCAGCCCCTCCACCACATCCTGCCTCTCCACTTCCTCCCCTCCTTTCCCAACTCCGAAAGCCAAGATGGGAAGTCTCTCACGACCCTGTGGCTTGGCGGGGAAGAGGCCTGAACTTGATACAGCTGGCTTTTCTGGGGCCTGGTAAGAGCATTTCTCCCTGAGTCTGGGCTTCTTCGCTTACCTATTTTTAGACGTGTGCTGCAGACTTTTTTGAGGGCTCAGACAGGAGTCTCTGGCGAGGCTAGTCCACGCCAGGCATGAGACTCGTGCACAGCAAGGTCTGCTGCACACCTGAGCAGGGATCCAGGGAGCAGTTACATGTGGTTTGATTGAAAGTCAAAAGGAAGACAAATAAACAGCCTTTGGCAACTCCCTCGCTACCCCCCAAGAACAAAGTTCTGGGTTTTCCCTTCCACCTTAGCAGCAAGTCATGAAAGGTGGCTGAAGGAGCGTGACCTGGGAATCTGGGCACATTGAAGAGGCAGCATGGCAGGAATGTCACAGGCAGTAACTAGGACCTCTAACAGCTGATCACAGAGCACTTAGGCAGGCCTGGGCGGGGAGCTGTCTCTCCAGCCCCACTTCTTGCCAGTTAGTCCCCATGAGGCAGGCACTCCCTCCTTGATCTCCCTGACCTCCCCGCTCACCAACTCAGGGCTTTACACCTGTCGCTTACCTGCTCTGTGTCCTTCAAGACCTAGGTCAAATGTCACCATACGCTTTATTATCTCAAAAAGACCGATGCCTGGCTGTTACTGTCTCCAGACTGCAAGAAGTTGAGGGACAGGGACCATGTCTTATTCATCCGTATACTGCAGGTGTGCCAGAGATTAAATGTGCTAGGTGGGTGCAGGGACATGACAGGGATGTGTGGGAGACCAGGCTGGAGGCACAGTTTGGGGCCAGCTTGTAAAGCGTCACAGGAAATCCCACATAACAAGTGTTTGGTGAAAGCTGAACGAATGAATGATCAAATGACATGCAAAAAAAAGATGTTATCATTTAAGGCCAAGAATCAGCAAATAGCCACTAGAAAAAATAAAACCAGCCAATTCATGATCCTGATTTTGTTTTCTACTTACAAAGCATGTTAGTTTCAGTAGGAGTTTATGAATTCAGTCTGTTTATACATTCAAGAGACTGATGGTACCTAAACCTGGGTTGGTTGGGCCAAATGCTATACATGAAAATACCTTCTCTGATTTGTCACCAATATGGGCCATGTGCAGGCAGAATATCATATCTGAAATCATAGACTTGACAATAGACATTTTTAAAAAAAGAACCAGAATTCACAAGCTGGTGATGGCCTTTGCATGAGGTAAAGCAGGGCCAGTCAACAAACATGTGAAAAACAGCTCATCATCACTGATCATTAGAGAAATGCAAATCAAAACCACAATGAGATACCATCTCACTCCAGACAGAATGGCAATTATTTTGGAAAAATAGGAATGCTTTTACACTGTTGGTGGGAATGTAAATTAGTTCAACCACTGTGGAAGACAGTATGGCAATTCCTCAAGGATCTAGAACCAGACATGCCATTTGACCCAGCAATCCCATTACTGGGTATATACCCAAAGGAATATAAATCATTCTACAATAAAGACACATGAACATGTATGTTTATTGTAGCATTATTTACAATAGCAAAGACTTGGAACCAACCCAAACGCCCATCAATGATAGACTGGATAAAGAAAATGTGGTACATATACACCATGGAATGCTATGCAGCCATAAAAAGAAATGAGATCATATTCTTTGGAAGGACATGGATGAAGCTGGAAGCCATCATTCTCAGCAAACTAACACAGGAACAGAAAACCAAACACCACATGTTCTCACTCATAAGTGGGAGTTAAACAATGAGAACACATGGACACAGGGAAGGGAGCAACACACAAACAGGGTCTGTTGGGGGGTGGGGGGCGAGGGGAGGGAACTTAGAGGACGGGTCAATAGGTGCAGCAAACCACTATGGCACATGTATACCTATGTAACAAACCTGCACGTTCTGCACATGTATCCTGGAAATTAAAGTAAATTAAAAAAAAAAAAAAGGAAAAAATAGTGGTCTTTTGGCACTGCTCCTGGGGATGCTTCTAGGGGTCACCGGAGCTTCCTCCTGTGCACTCCAGGACAGGGCCAAGCCGAATGGATCCGGACAGGGACTTGGAGGAGGATGGCAGCGAGGGCGCAGCTCTCATGGAGAGCAAGCTGGAGAGGCAGCTGCAGGCAGGGCTGCGTCCCTTCTGAGATGGACTTTCTGCTCAGGACTTTCGCTGTCCTGTTGCGCCCCCTCCCACCCCCTGTGAGCACTTGATGCAAAGAACCCCCTACTCTCCCCACTGTCTAATTTGGCCCTCCTCTGTCGCCGGAGAAGGTGCTTTCTCTTTGTCTGGGACACCATGTGAGTTCTCCCACTCTGTCCAGCCCCTTGGGGTAGCTGAGCCCTCCCATCCATCCCCTCCTTTGGGATTCAACACTTTCCTAAATGCTACTTTTCTGACTGCTTTGTCAACTCCCCACACCGGGTCCCACAGAAAAGTAACTGCTCAGCCCAGTGTCTGACATCTATGGCCTGGGCTCACTTGGCTAAGAAGGAGAACAAGAGACACATGAGGTGTCACTGCAGAGACAACACCAGAAGGTGAGGTTTTAGAGGCCAAAGTAAAGGTCATGAGTTAAGTTCAGAGGTCAGGTAAGTTGAGCATAGGGGGCCCAAAACAGCCCAGGATGAAGAACAGCAAAGATGCTCCTGTCTAGAGTTGGCGTGGGAATTGTACTAGTCTGTTTGCATTGCTATAAAGGAATACTGAAGCTGGGTAATTTACAAGGAAAAGAAGTTTATTTGGCTTGCAGTTTGTGGGCTGTACAGGAAGCATGGTGCCAGCATCTGTTCTGGTGAGGGCTTCGTGGAGCATCCAATCCTGGCAGAAGAGAAAGGGGAGCTGGTGTGTCACATGGTGACAGAGAGCAAGAGACAGAGGGGAGGGAGCTGCCAGGCCCTTTGTAACAATCAGATCTCACAGAAACTAACAAAGCAAGAACTCACTCATTACCGCAAGGGCAGTACCAAGACATTCATAAGGGATCTGTTCCCATGACCCAAACACCTCCCACCAGGCCCCACCTCCAACACTGGGGATCATATTTCAACATGAGATTTGGTGGACACAAAGATCGAAACTGTATCAGAATAGGTGACCAGAGCAGGCCTGACCCTAGGACTGGGCCCAGTCTCTCACACAGGGCAGGTTCTCAAGGCCGGGAGCCCAGGATTACCACCAGCCCAACTCAGGCACTGTCAGCCTTCTGACTGTCCAGCTTGGTTCAAAGAAGCTCATGGCTATACATCCCCAGCAAGCAGCTGAGTTCTGCAGAGTTCTGGGAAGACGACTAGACCTGTGGTTCATAACCCAAGGATGTAATTCTGATTACAGTTTTTTCAAAATCCACATGCCAGGACTTCCCTCTGGACCTGTCAAATCAGAATCTCAGATGATGAGTTTGGGGTGGGATGGGCAGGCATATATGACTTTTATTATTATTATTGTTATTATTTATAGATAGGGTCTCACTTTGTCACCCAGGCTGGAGTGTAGTGGTATGATGACAGCTCACTGCAGCCTCAAACTCCTGGGTTCAAGTTATCCTCCTGCCTCAGCCTCCTGAGTAGCTGGGACTACAGGTGCATGCCACCATGCCTGGCTAATTTTAAAATAAAGTGTTTTGTAGAGACAGCGTCTTGCTATGTTGCCCATGCTGATTTCAAACTCCTGGCCTCAAGTGACCCTCATGCCTTGGCCTCCAAAGCATTGGGATTACAGATGGGAGCCACTGTGCCTGGCTCACTAATGACTTTAGAATGCTGTCCAGGTGATTCACATACAGCAACCCACCACATCGCATCTCACGATGGGCACCATCTTTGTTATGTGATTTTGAGGCTAGAGACCAAGGTTTTTACCTTGCATTTAGCATAGTTCCTCATGCATGATAGGCCTAAAATAAATATTTGTTGAATGAATGAATGAATAAACGGACACTTCTGGAGACTAAAAGAATTGTGGACTATGTCAACAAACACAGGAAAAAAACAGACTTTCCAGTTTAAGCAAGTCTTCCAGTCACCCATTCACAACATCAACAAATACGACAACACTAACGTGCATTTTGTGTAGTCGTGTGGCTCAGCAATATGTGGTATTAAGGAACGAAACAAGGATTTGTGTTAACATCATAGACGAGAGTGTAAAATACAAGAAGGCACTCCACCCACTCACAATTAATTATATAATCTGAGGCTTAAGTCTGGCTTTGGAAACAATGGAACCATAATTACATGTCCAAAGCCCAAAATGGAATCCCACAAGTGTTTGACAAGTAGAACATAAGGATGATGGAGTGGTTTACCCATAAGCTTGACCACAGGGCAACCCTGGTGAGTCAGGATTTTAGGTCGTGGTAGGATTTTTCATTATCCTCCATTCTTCTGCAGTGAGTACATTGAGCTCAGGGCCACTTGATGGATGTGAATCGGTCTGTGAATTCAGGCTAGCCTGCTGTCTTCGTGCATCTGACCCGTATACAGAATAGCCATGCAAATTAGCATGGGTCTCAGGCCAGACAAAATTAATCTAGGCCTAAAAGCAATCAAGTAAAAGGTGTCAAAGGGCAAAAGAAGAGGAAAATATGACTGGGAGCAGCGACGCTTTATTTTTCAGGTTTCTCTGACTCATGTGATTTTTTTTTCTTTTGTCATGAGAAAATTCACAAATGTAGGAAAAGCTGGTGGGAATCTTTGCAAATATTTATGGGATGAGAAAAAACTGTTCATATTGAAAGCTGGATTAAGAGATTCAGATTCAGGCCATCCCTGATATCAAATCTAAAGTGGGCCTCCATGCCAGCCCCTTGGGTCTTGATCTCAGCACCCTGTTTTACCTGGACAGCAGTGGCCACAGTGGGTCATTTCATTCATTAGTTTTGATGGCATTTGTCTCTCTCATTGGACTGTAAGTTCCTTGAATCATTCTTAAGTTCCTAAGAATCATGTCTGGGCTGGGCACAGTGGCTCACACTTATACTCCCAGCACTTTGGGAGGCTGATATGGGCAGATTGCTTGAGCCTAGGAGTTCAAGACCAGCCTGGACAACATGGCAAAACCCCATCTCTACAAAAAATACAAAACATATCTGGGCATGGTGGTGAAGGCCTGTAGTCCCAGCTACTTGGGAGGTTGAGGTGGGAGGATCGCCTGAGCCCAGGAGGTTGAGGCTGCAGTGAGCCACGAGAGCATGCCACGGCCCTCCAGCCTAGGTGACACAGCAGGACCCTGACTCAAAAAAAAAAAAAAAAAAAGAAGGAAAGAAAGAATCACGTCTGTCTTGCCCACCTCTTATTCCCAGCATGTGGCACACATATTCAATAAATGTAAATGCTCATTAAACTAATGATTGGACATTGCCTGAGGATTGCAGCAGCCTTCTTATAATAAGAGCAGGCCGTGCAGTTGTCAGAGTCCCCAGGCCTACCATTTACAGCATGCCTGCACCTCACAGAACTCCCTGATGGCCTTGAAGCTCTCACCTTTCTGTTCTGACCCAGGATGCCTTGAACAGTCATTCAGCTTTCTTTTATTGACCAGGGCAAGCTGCCTGAGAAATGGAGATAAAAGGCAGAGGCACACAGGCAAACCCAAGAAGGAAAGGCAGGGACTGGTTTAAAAATGGGCTGGATTCAGACGGCAGATGATCAAGGGAGAGCCAGGTATTCAGTCCCAGGCCTGAGGGGCCAGAGAGAAGACCATATGAAGGGCAAGGAGTCAGGCAGAAGGCCAAGGTTACAATGATGGAGACCTGGGCACTGAGCTACCCTCTTTCACAGAGCACACCACTTCTGTGCTTTCTGTATGCTCAGTAGCAACTAAAAGCAGTAGCAATCATAATAACAAACATGGGTTTGTTATTATGAACTCTTACTATGGGTACTGTGCAGAATATCCTCCTTATGGGAGTAATTGATCCATGCTAAGGATTGGTCATTGATAGAGGTCAGAGGTTAGAGAGGTGAGGGTTTGACGGTCAGGATGGTATTTGTGCTGGAGAACTAGGAATGCCCAAATCCCCTGTCAATCGGTCCTCCTCCCATGAGGTTTGATTGTGTGTAATAACACACAAGGGGAGTGAGTCGAAAAACACAGAAGGAATAGCAATCAAATTACCACTGTATTGTTATTTCCCAATTGCCCCCAACAGATGCTCGCTGGTTAAGCTGCGTTGGAGCCTGCGGTTGAGACTTAAGGCCAAACAGACCTCCTAATCCACCACCAAGACATCCCTTGCAAGAAAATAAAAATCATGGTACTAACACATTAAGAATGTTTTTAGAGGAAAAAGAGAGGATGAAGGAAGGCTTGTTAGGTAGAGCACAACCCTGACCTAACTGTGGAAGCCAGCAGTAGCAGTATCCCGAAAGAGGCGGATCAGAAGGGAGATTCCTGGAGTGTCCATCACATTGCAAGTAGCAATCCCATCCATCATCAAAGGAGGTCAACAGGTGGCCTCTGAGTCTGACTGTCCTGATAGCAGCGCTTCCTTGGAGAACTCTGTCTCATGAGAAGCAGCAAGGCCAGGAGGCAGGTGAATGGGCACAAGCATGAAGACATGGGAGGGAAGCATCCCTCCCCAACAGTAGTAGAAGTAAAAATAATGACGATCAATATTTCAATATGATCACTTTCAGAGTGCATTTAAATGTATTGTTTAATCTTTATAACAATCATATTGGATAGCTGCCATGAGTCTCGGAATGCAGATTGGTTAAGTGACTTACCTAAGATCGCACACCTAGTAGGTGGCAGAGACAGCATTCACTATCAAGAGGGCAAAGCCCACCAGCTTGCCATCCAACACACTGGTTGCTAAGTGAATCTAGCGTGGGGAAATACGTTGGATCTAAGTACAAAGCCTGACACTGTGCCAGGTGTCCTGCTCTGCCAAGAAGTGATGGTTCTCCTTCTACCATTCTGGTCCTTCTAGGGAGCTACCTCTAACACACTTGCCGATTCCCATTTACAGAAAATTCTTGATCTCACTCGGCCTTTCCAATTAATGATTACATATAACTTAAAAATTTTCCAATCATCCATTAATTCCCAAACACAGAGGTGACTCACTAATCGAGGATTTATGGCAACAAATACCATCTAGATAGATTGGTATAATAGCTTTCACTGTAAGTAAAACAGCATGGCCTAGGTGCTGGAATAGACAGATCAGTGAAATAGACCTAAGAATATGGTTACTTATTATAAAGAAAAGATGACATTTCAAATAACCGATAGAAAGCATGGATTATATAACAAATTATGATAAAATAATGGATTTGCAAGAAGAACAATTCAGTTATATCTTTACCTGATTCCTTATTATCGACATACAGATGCATCAAACAAAGCCAGAAATGTACTCGGTGAAAACACAGATGAATACTTTCATAATCTTGGAACGAGGAATTTTCTTACCCAAAGATTATCTTGATACAATATATAATTTTAAATTTCCTATGGCAAAAGATCACAAATGACATTTACGCAGAAATAAAGAACTGGAGAAAAATTATTTGCAAATGATATGATGGACCGAATTAATACCTTTACTATACACAGAGCTCCTACAAATCAATAAAAGGAAGTAAAGAGCCCCATAAAAATGGGAAAAGATACATGTAGCCTGCTTATAAAAGAAGAAATGCCAAACATATAAAACAATATTCAATCTTAAGTTTCAACTATATTAATATTCACACATAAAATAATAAAACAGTAAAGTGTGTGTGTATGTGTCTGTGTGTGTGTCTTTGTCTTTGCCTATCAAATACAAAGAATAAAGAGACTGAGAAAACCTACCATTGAAATGGGTATTCTCATGCCCTTATAGTTGTTTTTTATGTAAATTGGCATCATTCTTCTGAAGGGCAGTCTCAAAATATATACCACAGCTTAAAATATGCACACTTACCCTTAGCCCAAGAATGGCAATTCAACAAATTTATTCATTTTTATTGTAGTAAAATATACATACTATAACATTTACCATTTTAACCATTTTCCAGGTAAATGTAAAATATTTTTGTTCTAGTTTCTTTTTTAACAAATAGTTTACATGTCTGTATACATATACTTATATACAATTATATCTCAGACACATATATATTTTTAAGGTTAATTACAGCTTCCATTTTACTTGTTCAGGCTGTGAGGCAACTAACATTGTAACCATTTGTAAGTGTGCAGCCCAGTGGCATGAAGTAGATTCACGTTGTGCAATCATCACCACCGTCCATCTCCAGAACTTTTTTTTAATCTTCCCCAACTGAAGCTTTGCACCTATTAAACACTAACTCTCAGCCAGGTGCAGTGGTTCATGCCTGTGATCCCAGTACTTTGGGAGGCAAAGGCAGGGGATCCCTTGAGACCAGCCTGGGCAACATAGTGAGACCTGTCTCTACAAAAAATAATTTAAAAAAAATTAGCTGGGTGTGGTGATGTGCATCTATAGTTCCAGCTACTTGGGAGGCTGAGGCAGGAGGACTGCTTGAGTCCAGGAGTTTGAGGTTGCAGTAAACCATGATCACGCCATTGTATTCCAGCTTGGACAACAGTGAGACCCTCTCTCAAAAGTAATAATAGTAATAAAATAAAAGTAAATAATCAAACACTAATTTCTCACTCCCCCCACCACCCTAGCCCCTGTCAACCACCATCCTACTTTCTGTGTCTATGAATTTGACTACTCAAAAGATTTATCTTAAGAAGATAATTGTACAACAGTAAAATACATGTGCATGAAAGATATACTCATTCATTCAAAAATATTTCCTGAGTCCTTACTACGTGGTAATAAACAAGATAGAAGAGGTAACTTGTGTCATGCCCAAGTCATGATCCCGAGAAAGAAAGTAGAACATAAACAAGCATGCAAGCTATGAAACATTCAGTTGGGATAAGCAATTATAAAGAAGATAAACAAATCGACGTGATAGTAATTTTAGGTGGGGGTGTACTTTAGGTTTCTCAAGCACTGTTTATAATAGCAAACAAATTAGAAAAAGCTAAATGTCTAAGCAACATTCCTGCTAAGGCGTCGAGTCCACCTGGCCGGAAGTCAGCATATGACAGTTCATCTTAGACAGTAAGAACCTTTCTCAGAACTAACTCCATTAATTCAACGTGCCTTCTGTAGAGCATTTTCCTGGAGAGAAAGTTTCCAACATTTGGGGGTAGAGAATAATTTAGCAGGGGTACATGCCAGTGCTTCCTTATTCTGAGAAGGAATATGTAGATGACAGTTTCAAGTGTTTGATGTCCAACCCTCCTAAAACTGTAAAATAGCAACAGGGTGATCAAGACACTGATCTAAATCTTGTTTTGTGGTTTTACTTTTGTTCTGGCAGGCTTAGCAACACTGGAAAAAAAAATTACAGTGTGTGCACGGGAAACAGATTCTTTCCTCCTTCTTGACTAACTGACAAGTTGGAGATCAGGCACAAGTCAAGTGTGATGGCATTGCTTGTGATATAGTTGGGATACATGGAACAATTTAAGCAGCATCAAGGGCCTGGCCTACCCTTAGCTTAGGCAGGAAATTCAAGGGTAATATAACACTTTGCTGTTAAGTAATACCATTGGAATAAAAGCATGTTCAGGATGACTTTTGGCTTTAACTTGGAATTTCTGTTTCATTTGCTTCCAATAAGAACGTTTTTTTCTCCTTAAAGTTCTTAACTTGTATTTCAAAAGTTCTTGTCGCTGTATAAATATGATATATACAAGCCAGCCTTGAATAAAAACTGTATGCCACAGGATACGCTGAAAAACAAATTTGGGATATAAGTTTTAGCTGGAAACATCTGCAGCAGCAGCTTTGTATAATGTAAAGAGTAAGTTGCAGGTCAGACGTATGAACCCTCCTACCTATTAGCTGTGTGGCCTTGAATGGATGAATTAACCTTTGAGCCTATAAAAGGGGAAAAACCATAGAACCCACTCAGAGGGTCTCTGTGAGGATACATTGCAAGCACATGAACTAGCACATAGTAGGTCTTTTTTCTTCTTTCCTAGGCTTCATAACTGAGTGTGGCATAAATGACCTAGAAGAGAAAAGGACTAAAATGAGAAACTGAAATGTAGTTTTGTCTGAGTAACTCAAACATGGTCCGACCGATCTGTCTTTTGGTTTTAACCCATGTTCCCCCGTGCTGCCTAAGAAGCTGAGTTTCGGCATGAGTTGAATTTCTGTCTTTAGTTTCTAAAGGATTTACACTAACTAGAGCATCGCTAGATAACTCAGGGTGATGCGAGAGGCTCACACCCATGAGAGAAATTGCTGCAGGATCTCAGGATGTTTAGCAGGGAGAAGACTGTGTGGGGACAGCAGAGCTATCTCCAAAACATTTGTAGGGTAATATCATGTGCAAAAGAAATTAGATTTATTCCGCATGACTCCATAAGTGGAGACATATTTTGGTTTTATAGATAGAAGACATTTATGAAAAATAAGATTGTTACCCAGGCACGGTGGCTCCCACCTGTAATCCCAGCACTTTGGGAGACTGAGGCAGGAGAATCACTGGAAGCCAGGAGTTCAAAACTAGCCTGGGGCTGGGCGCAGTGGCTTACACCTGTAATCTCAGCACTTGGGGAGGCCTAAGCGGGTGGATCAATTCGAGACCAGCCTGGCCAAGGTGGTGAAATCCCGTCTCTACTAAAAACACAAAAATTAGCCAGGCGTGGTGGCACACACCTGTAGTCCCAGCTACTTGGAAGGCTGAGGCAGGAGAATAGCTGGAACCTGAGAGGCGGTGCTTTCAGTGAGCCGAGATCTCACCACTGCACTCCAGCCTGGGTGACAGAGCAAGACTCCCTCTTAAAAACAAACAAACAAACAAACAAACAGCCTGGGCAACATAGCAAGAACCCATCTCTGCAAAAAATTTAAAAAATTAGCCAGGTATGGTGGCACATGCCTGTAGTCCCAGCTACTCATAGGCTGAGGTGGGAGGATCCACTTGAGCCCAGGAGTTAGAGACTGCAGTGAGCTGTGATGGTACTACTGCACTCCAGCCTGGGCGAGAGAGTGGATCCTTGTCTCTAAAAAATAAATTTATAAAATCTGAGGTAGAAAGGGTCCCATCACTAACACTCCCTAGGGGCCATACAGGGAATTCAGTATTGGAAAAGGGTTGAATGAGGTGACTTCGAGGGTTCTTTTCCAGGCCAGGGAGGCTGCAATTCTGATGGCTCTGTAAATGCAAGGTTTTGCTGCAGGAAATTAAGGCGGAACAGGCATAGCGAGGTGTAAGGCACACGCAGGAGCACACAGATTGTGCTAATATATGAACTTTTGAACTTTAACCTTCTCTAACAAAAGAACGTCATGCCACATTGAAAAAAAAAAGGCCTTCCACTGCTAGAAATGAAAACATTCATACTTTAGTGTATCGTATTTTATAGGTTCATGTAGACACAGGGGCCAAATGAAACTGAACCAAGATCTTAGGCATTAAGTTACATTTTAATTTTACCTTTTCCCCTTTGCGATTCTGACATAAGCAGTAAAAATGAACCTGGACCTTTGACCTGAGCAGTAGATATATTTTTTAATTAAATTTTTTTTTCCATTCACCTGCGAACCTCTACTGATTGTTTCAGTGTCTTGGTCAACCGCTTTTAACAGCGAAACATTAAAGCCACTGCAAGAATAAACAGGAAGCTGGTGTTTAGGTGGGAGTTCCTAGGAATTTTATACCACTGACCACAGAGGCCAAAAGAGAAAGGAAATAGGAAAAACAGTGTAAATACCTGGGTGACTAATGACTTTGCACAGCTCAGCTGGCTTTTCTGAACATTTCATGGGACGTCTCTCCAGGGGAAACAACCTGAAAATGTTTCAGGACTCCGGGTGGCATTGAAGGGCCAGAGAGGGGTGTTTAGTGCACGCTGTTGGCTGGCTGGTTTTGTGGGTTTTGTTCACCGTCTACCGGGCAGAGAGCCTTTCTGCCGATGTCGCCAGATGCCTCTCTCCAAGCGAAATGACCCATTTGCATGCGTGGTGCAGACATTTTCCGGAGCTCCAGGGCTCCCAGGCCTCCCCAGGCCTCCGATTGTAAAGGATCGTAGGGCCACCCCTTTCCTTGTTCACATGGACAGCGCCTAAGAGGATTTAGAATCAAGTGGGCACATTTGCACTGCCTTGTTCTGAAGAGGCAGCTGGAGCGCGGACTGGCCTGGCGCAACCCACCGCGGGTCCCGGGGGACCGCATTGTCTCGGAGGGGCCGCCACAGGGGCTCCATTGTGAGCGGGGCCGGCCTTTTTCTCCTGCCCTCTGTCTCCCCGGGCCTCCCCTCATCCCCCCCACCCCCCCTCCACGCAGACTTTTCTCTCAAGCTGCCGGCACCCCCGGCTGCCGCATTTCCAATGCAGGGGAGCGGCGAGGCTCCGGGCTGGCCATCTGCACGCGGAGATTGACAGCAGTCCCGGAAGGTCAGCGCCTCAACGATTTCTGTCTGAACAGCAGGCCACCCAGGCCTCGCGAGCAAAACAAGGACATCTGCTCCCCTTAATTTAGAACGCTGGTTCTAATTTCTCCGAAGCCCCTTGCTTAACGCCCTCCTCAGGCTGCGGGGGAGGGGGCGAGGAGGGGCAGGACAGACGCGGCTGCCCGCCCCCGGCTCCCCAGCTCCCGGGGAGAGCAGCTGAGTCTGGCGGGAGTAGGGAGGGGGGTTGGGGTGAGGAGCCTGGTCACTCACGTGACCCGGGTGACGTGGCGCGGGGGAGGGGCGGGAGGGCGGAGTGGGCGCCGGGCCTGCCACGCCCGGGACGCACAAATGCTTCTGGGTCTGCAGAGGAGCAAGCTGCGCTGGCCCACGAGGCCCTTCTCCCCGGGGCAGATGGATTTCAGGCGCCCCCCACCCCTTGAGGAGAATATCAAGGAAATGGACAGAAGAGTATATTACAACTATCATCTCTGCCCTTGGCCTCGTGAGGGTCGCTGGGCTGGGACAAAGTCCTGCCTGGGCAGTTGACATCAAAATTCGTCGTGCCTTGCCTGCTTTATGTGGGCAAAAGGATGAAAGAATTGCACTTCTGTTGCGCTTCCACTGCTAGATCATAAGCTCCCTGAAAACACGTTGCATCTGTGTCTCTAGCAACTTCCACAAATGTTTGGAGAATAAATTAATGTGTGGCAGGGCGCGGTCCCTGTGAACTCTAACTGTGCTCTTTTTCTCTGTGACAGAAAAGGAGACATTGCAGAGAATCAACCTGTGCCTGCAGCTAGGGATTCGTTAATTACTTTGTTCCCTCTTTTCCTCCCTCCCTCCCTTCCTCCTTTCCTTTCGCTAACATTTTGATGGATACCTCATGTGTGCTGGAGATCAGGCGGTGGACCAGGGATACAAGAAACGAGACTCCTAGCCCTTGAGATGCTCTTCATGTGGTGAGGGGTGCTGCATACAAGCAAACAGTTCACCAGGGCTCTGGGTGACAAGTGCCATGGATAGCAGTAGGGCGGCCCTCAGCCCAGCTCCTGGGGAGGGAGGAAGGGAGGGAGGATGTCCAGGTGGAGGCTGGGTGAGTAGAAACTTACCAGGAGAAAGGCCCTTTGCCCACATAGGTCTCCCTGCATAGCCCACCCCCAGCCCATTCCCCTCCCACTTATTCCTCTGGCCTCAGGTGAAATGTCACTTCCCTGGTGCCTGGGCCAGATCAGGTCCTCCAGTTACAGGATCCTGTAGCTCTTTCATCTTCTCTTTTGTAATACTCATCAAATGTACAACCGGGCAAAATTCACCCTCCCCACCGGACTGTAAGTTTCGTGAGCCAGCACTGTGCCTGACTCCTCATGCCCCATAAATACTTGTTGAGCCAATGAATAGTCAGACTCCTCTTAAGTTAGTGAGAAATCCATACATACATTTTCTGTTTGGGATGCCAGGACAAGCTGTGACGGCTCCACTCCGAGTACCAGTGGGAACTGCCTGGTACCAAGGGGCTGTGGTTTCAAATTTATTATTTTGTGATATTCTGCACCTCGGTGATTTTGAAACTGCCTTCTTCCAAATGAGTGTCAAGTAGATGCTCCTCAAAAAGGGATCCTCGGGCAAACAGGTTTCTTTGCCAGAGGATTTTACAGAGCCTATGATGTGTTCATGTGCACTGTCCTCAGGCAGGTAGTTTGTTGAAGAAGCATCTAGTAACATTTGCAGCTGGAGGATATCGATGAAGCTCAGTGTTAACTTTGCCGCACCGTTTCTCCGTAACTCCTCCTAGGCTCTGAGAGATAGAAGGAGCTGGGATCAAGGGATCTGCACAAGATTAATTTGCCATAATGAAGGTCTACTCCTTCCCCTTGATTTCTTTGTTATGCCATGTGACAAATTGTTGTTTTTGACAAACAGAGCATTGAGGGAGGCCGAGGCAGATAGGCAGATAGATCAGCTGAGGTCAGGGGTTCAACACCAGCCTGGCCAACATGGTGAAACCCCATCTCTACTAAAAGTACAAAAATTAGCCAGGCATGGTGGCATGAGTCTATAGTCCCAGCTGCTTGGGAGACTGAGGAAGGAGAATCACTTTAACCTGGGATGTAGAGGCTGCAGTGAGCCAAGATTACACCATTGCACTCCAGCCTGGGCAACAGAGCCAGATTCCACCTCAAAAAAAAAAAAAAGGATTGAAGATGTAGATTAAGGAGGCATTGGGGGTACTCTATAGTGTCACCTGAGTTTAAATCCAGCTCTGGCACTACTTAGCTGTATGACTTTGGAGGACTTCCTTAGCATCTCTGTGCCCAGGTACTTTATTTGTACATAGAGATAATAGTTTCTAATTTACAGTCTTGTTAAGACGTTAAAAGCTCTTATAGGCACGTAGAATTCTCATGGTAGATATAAATTTTATTTAAATTGCTAATAATTGGTTAATTAAAAAATAAATATCCAACCTCTAATAGGTTAATTTAACTAATTAAGCCTGGTGTATTAATGGAGAGGGATCACAGTGGCTGATAGCCCGAGGGACTAGGTTTTCTCTGCTTGCTGCCTTTGAGCTTGAGTGAAGCCTTCTGCGCCTTGGCTATTTGTTGCTTTTCCAGCTAGAAGGATTCCAAGTCTTCAACAGCATTACTGAGCTCTTCCTCTCAATAAGTTTAAGTTGTAATTTCATTACACTTCATTCTCAAATAGAAGAGTTGAGCAGCTGTGTAGCAAGATCCAAAACACTTTGTTTACAATTAGTTTTCCAAGGATTGGCTTAATAGCCAGTGGCAAATTTCTCAGCAATAGGTTTATGAGCCAGAGAAGCATTTCTTTTTTTTTTTTTTTTTTTGGATACAGGGTCTGGCTCTGTTGCCCAGGCTGGAGTGCAGTGGTGCAATCATAGCTCAGTGCAGCCTTGAACTCCTGGGCTCAAGTGATTCTCCTTCCTCAGCCTCCTTATTAGCTGGGACTACAGGTGTACACCACCATACTTGGCTAATTTTTTAACATTTTGTAGAGATGGGTGTCTTGCTATGTTGCCCAGGCTGGGTTTAAACTCTTGGCCTCAAGCAACCCTCCCACCTTGGCCTCCAGAGGACCATATTATTTTAAACAATAGAGACTGTTTACAGTGAAAAGGAAAATAGAATCGTACCTTATTTGTTGTAGCTTAATTTGGCCATAAAAGAGTCAATATTGTATTTTCAGAGAAGAAAAATTTTCAGGGGCCTTATATGAGAACACAGTGTGAAAATTCACATTATTTTCAAACTGTATTTAAACCACCCAGCCTAAAAGAAAGTTGCTTCTGGAAAGTCAAAGATGCTCTGAAAATGAGTGGAGATATGGTTTCTTACCTATGTGTATAAAATGAACAGTTTTATTCTTTCAACTCTTTATTATCTCTATAGGACATTAAGTTGGGCCGCATGTGCTAGACTAGATGTCTGGAGTAAATCTGTTTTCAGATATAATCTCTGGAGCATTCATGAAAGCTTCATATTTTGACACAGGAAGCAAAGAACATACTTGCAAATGCTGGCTCTGTTCATGGATGGAATGGTGCTTGAAACAAGTATCCTGCTGACATTACTTAACTCTTACAGGGGTCATTACTTAGGGATCAGCAATTTGCTAAAGATGAACAGATTCTAAGAAGATGGTTTTCCAGCAGCAACCAATTTTAAATCTGGACTGTGCACCAGGCACCTCTTGGGTATGACCTCAGTGCCTTTGGGTGTCCCTTGTCCCTCATTCCAGCTACTGATGCAGGTTCTGAGCAGCTTCCTGCTGGGGCCTTGCCTCATGCCTTTGCCTCACACCTCTGCTGGAGCTTCCAGAGTCTGCCCTGGAGCTTCTCTAAGCCGTCGGGGGCCCATGCATTTTGCCCAACCCAGGAGTGATCAATGGAGTCTAAGTGCTAATGGATAAATGTTTTCCTTTCTTCCCCCAGATGGACAGCCCTGAAACATCTTTCATGCAACTCCTCAGGCAGCCCAGAAACAGCCAGGAACCATTCGCCAGGAGCTGTGGCCAACTTAATAACTCATCCTTGTATTGGTTTCCATCCTCTGTCCTTCATCCGTCTTGTCTTTTACTCCTACTTGCTGGATCACACATCCCAATAAATTTTTGCACTCAAGCGTTTGTCTCAGGATCTGCTGTCCGGAGGACCAAGACTAAGTTCAAGTCATATTTTTTTTTTTTTGAGATGGAATCTCACTCTGTTGCCCAGGCTGGAGTGCAGCGGCATGATTTTGATTCACTGCAACGTCCACCTCCCGGGTTCAAGTGATTGTCCTGCCTCAGCCTCATGAGTAGCTGGGATTACAGGTGCACGCCACCACACCTGGCTAATTTTTGTATTTTTAGTAGAGACAGGGTTTCACCATGTTGGTCAGGCTGGTCTCAAACTCCTGGCCTCGTGATCCGCCCGCCTCGGCCTCCCAAAGTGCTGGGATTACAGGCATGAGCCACTGCGCCCAGCTGCCTTTTTTTTTTTTTTTTTTAACTAAATTGAGTTACACTGCCTAGGCTATCTTCACACACCCCCACCATCTCAGGCAGTTTTCCAAATGCAGAAAGCTCAGTCCTCTTTTCACTGAGTGCATCTGCATCCTGGTGTGTGCATGAAATGGGTGATGGGGTAACCTGTCTCCTTGCGTTGCATGTGGTGGGTCTCAGGGAGAGTGCTGAGTCATGATGTCTTGGCAACAGTCACAGCAGGACCCAGAATGGAGTTTACAGTGCAGATCCAGCAACTGGTTGGGAATTCTGGCCCTGTGCTTTTGTCTGCTAACTTTAACTTGGCCCTGTGTTATTTTTCCAAGCCATATTTTTAACTTACTCCTAAGTTTTTTTATTTGTTCATTTCATCCTGCTGTATTTGTGGATTTGATATAAATAAGCAAAGATTGGTGTGAGTAGACCTTTTTTAAAAAAATCATGTCTAAAAGTCCCAAAGTCACATTGAATACTCTTACTATATGATGTAGCTTTTTAAAAATGATGAGAAAATTGTGGTTTTGAAAAGTAAGTGTAAAAACTTTACTGTCTTCATTTGGAGATGATTTATTGAATTTGTTTAATCACTAACAAGCCTGGAACAAAATTATGCCATCCACAGCGAGAATTATACAACTTTGAACAACAGTTCTGGCATGCTATGGGGACCTCATAGAGACACAGTATCTGACCATGGGACACAAAGTGACCATGTGGCCAAAGCAGCCCATCAGGAGCTGGGTTCTGTCGAAACCACTATGTCATGTCATTGGATAGGCCCTGGAACAATCCATTGTAAGACTGGACTGGTACATCTGGGATTAGGCCTAAGCAGGACCAGAGGGCACAGTCAAGCTGCACAATAGCCATCCACTATTACTGTACCAGCACTTCCCTCTCAGCTCACACCCACAGCCATATGTAAGACCCTTATGATTAGCTGACTAAGAGGAAGGAGCTCAAGCTTGCTTCATGGATGGGCCAGCTCTGTACATCCGTGCAAGCTGAAAATGAATGGGAACTGTGCTACAGTCCCATTCAAGGGTGGTCTTAAAAGACAGTGTGGATGGTGGTGTCCCTGGTCATACACTTTGTTTTGAAAGAGAAGTGGCCTGGGGTCGTGATATATGCAGACTTATGGGCAGTACCAAATGGCTTGACCAAATGGGCAGGGGCCTAGTAGGAGACAGATTGGCAGATTGGCCACAAGGAGGTCTGGAGTAGAGACACGTGCATGGACTACAGGAGTGTTGAAGGTCTTTGTATCACATGTTAACACCCACAAGAGAGGCACTAAACATACAGGTAGACAAAATGACTAACCAGTTGACAGCAGTCCCTGTCATCATCCACTCCAGGGCCGGCGCTGAATAGAATAGCCATGGTGGCAGGTATGGAAGCTATGCATGGGCCCACCAGTATTGGCTCCCGCTTACCAAAGCTTTTCTAGCCACTGCTACTGCCAAATGTCTAACATTCTAGCAGCAGAGAGTGATACTGGGGTCCCAGTAGAGCCTATACCTCAAGGAGACCAACCGGACACTCTGGCAAATTCACTACACTGGATACCTTCCACCCTGGAAGATGCAGCAATTAATTTTAACCTGAATGGGCACATATCCATATCCTGGGCATGGGTTCACATTTCCTGCCCTTAGCACTTTGGTGAGCACCACTATTCAAGGGCTTCTATCGTGTTAAATCCACCTTCATGGGATCCGTATAATATCACATCAGGGCAAGGAGCCCACTTTTCAGCAAAGGAGTTGTTAGAATGGGCGCATGCCCGTGGACTCCACTGAACGGTTCTAGCACATGCTATGACACCCTGGGGCTTCAAGCCACATAAAGCAATGGTATAGACAGAACTGTTGGGGCTTAGCCAATACACCAGCTCAAAAGTGATGCCTTGTCAGGATGGAGCACCATTCTCCAGGAGGCAGAATACATCTTAAAGCAAAGACCTTTATATGGCACTGTGTTCACACGGGTAAAATACATGAGTCCGGGAACCAAGGAGTGGAAATAGGAGTGTCTCTGCCAGCCATCACTCCCAATGACCTACTTGGAGAATCCCCCAAACACTGAGCTCTGTGGGTTTTGAGGTACTCATTTTTTAAGGGAGAATGCTTCTGACAGGTGACACAGCAACAGCCCATTGAATCATAACTGTGGCTGATCCATGGACACAGCTTGCACCAAGGGGACCACAGGCAAGAAAGAGGAGTCGCCATCTTGGAAGGGATAACTGAACCTGATTATCAAGGTCACCAGGAAGAGGGAAGGCTACTCTAACATGCAAAGAAGGGAAGAATACATGTATAACCTCAGAGATTTACTTAGGCGCCTCTCAGCACTTCCTTCTCCAATTTTTAAAGAAAATAGACTGTAGCCTGTGAAGGGCATAATGACCAGGAAGTTCAGACCCCTCAGGGATGAGCAACTTGTCTTAACACCAGGAAAGCCACTGAGATCAGAAGAGGTGCCTGTTGAGAGTGATGGAAATCTTCAATGGATAATAGAGGAGAGAGAAGATAAGTGTTAGTGTCACCCTTAAGCCAGCTCTAGCATCAGGATCTATAATTTGTCCCACTACTCTTCCTTTTACAAGTTCCCACTAGGAACAGAGGCTCACTAGTACCTTGAAGGAAAGTTTCCCAGAGCCTATAAGAGGATACAAGCACCACAAGGCGTGGACTGTTGTGGATGCTTTGATGCATTGTCATGATTCCTACTCAGGAAGATTCTTGTTGAGGAATTAAAGTCTTATTTCCAAGATGCTGGGAATGCTGTCAGAAGATAGCCCTCAGCTGTTAGCCTGTGGGGTTTGCCTCAAGTAGAGAATACAGCCTGCATGATCTGAAGATCACACCTCCTGCCAGGAATGACTTGTACTGAATGATCAATATGAAACTGGAAAGACCTGACCTTCTTGCTCTAACTTGAGACAACTCTAAACCCCAGATCCAGAGCTCCACATGGACTGGCTGATGTTTTTGCTGAAAACTGCATCGCATCTTAACTTCCCCCTCTGTCTCATCCTACTTGTCCTTCTCCCTTCACAGGTATTGATCCCCAAAGCACTCCTTAATAAACTGTTTCCCTGGGACCCTTACCTGCAACAGCCAGTGAAACTTGGGTTATCACTGTATGAAATGATTTGTATGCATAGGCTGGTGAGGTCAAGAAAAAACTTTTATTCTAGAAATAGTCAATTTCACTAACACCAAACTATAGAATTATGAGCCTCTTGCTAGTTGTCAATTGATGTTGATCAAATATACATATACGTAGCAAGGTGAACTCTTTTTGAGAATTCCTGAATGCATTCAGTCTGAGCACATCTCAGTTCAGATGCCAGATTTTCAACCCTGATTTCAATTCTCAGTTTGGATTTTAGCCATTTCGTGAAAGATAATGCACTTTCACAGAGGTAAGTAGATGCAAACATTCCTTAGAGTTTTGACACATGGTCAGAAACTTTATGAGAATTTGTGGATTCATATATTCATTTCTAGGATCCTAAGGTTTTGTACCTTCTTTGCATGCATGGCTTGTTTTTCAGCCCAATCAGTTCTTGAAACTGAACCACACTGATACAGCAGATGTTTAATAATTCAGATATATGCTGAGGTTAGCATTCTGTGGATAACTACAGAAACTTAAAACCATGATTCTTTTTTTTTTAATCAAACTCTATGAATCTTTTCTTGAATTGTGTCTTCCTATTCACCTAATAGAAGCTCCTTAAAATCTCTGGAGATTTTCTGGAGCTCAGGGAAGATCAGAAAAGGGAATCAGTATGTCCCCAGCTGCCATATGTGTGCTCACATGTCAACTTACATCAGAGTGTCTGGACAAATCAGTAATCTGTGTTTTCTTCCTTGCCACTTTATGTTCCGGTCTTGACTCACCAATGAGAAAGTTCCATCTTGGGGGTGTTTGAGAAAATAACAAGGTGGTTCCTCTGAGTTCTTTTATGACCAAAAGTTACTGATTTGAGAAAGTACTTCAGAAAACCTCTTCCACAGGTTTGCCCAAATTCTCCTGACAAGTGATGCAATGGAAGTTGGGCATGCATATCTGTTTTCTTGACTTGGGTAAAGAGAACTTTCCCCCCATTTTCCTATAAGCCTTCTGAGGCACATGAATTAGCTTTTCCTCTTTGGATCAAACTTCCCAGATCTTTTACTGGAAGAGGCATGTGGCTTATTCATTCTATGAATTGCACATGGCATTGCGCATGGTCCCAGGTAGGCCACACCTCAAGTAGGGTTGGTTGCTTCTCTCCCTTTTCCTCCCCACTTTCCTCCCATCCCCAAACTCTGTCCTTCGTGGTTTAGATAATCCTGTCAGCTCTAGTAGCCTCTGGTTAAAAGGACGGGAAGAACATTCTCTCATTCCCCCAGCTCTTGAAGGTAGGGGTCATGCTCCTGCTGTGATGCTGGAAGGTTGCAGAGGCCAGGGGCAGCCTTCAGAGGCACGGGGAACCAAGCAGTGAGGCTGGGTGATTGAGTCCAGGTTCTGTCAGAGCCTGAGTCAGAACTCACATCTTCTGGGCTTGTGTGCTTTCTCAATCAAGCTAGGTCATCCTTCCCCCTGAGATTGCCTTCACAATTGACTTAGCCCGTGCCAGGGGAGTTGGTTTATGAAACTTATCGCATCCAGTCCTCGTGTTTGCCTCCTCAATATGCCTTTTGATGTCAAAGTACTTGCAGTAGTACTTTTCCTCTTCCCTGCAAAAACATTTATACTTTCCCCTGGACTTTCCCATTGAAAAGCTTACTATTTAAATGTTTAAACATAATCTTTCCCAGTCTTAGCAAGCTTTTCATTTTCAGCTCTGATTAGCCATCAGATCTTCTGTGCCTTGGGCTTCTCCCTCTTGTCAGGCCCGATCTGGCTCTTCATATATTCACACTGCAGTAAGGCGGCAGCTGCAGGCTGGCATGTCTGACAGGAATTTCAGGCTGCTCCCTATACTCAGATCAAGGAATCTTCCTCAGTTCCTTCACGCACACTGTGCGTAAGAATCTAGAATGGCACCCTAGTGCCTACCTGGTATAAGCTCCATACAATCAAGACTTGATCTCTTTCACCACAGTTTCCTTAGCTGCTTGGACAGTGCTGTTACAGGGCTGACCCTCCATTACCGTTGGCTGAATCAATGAATGCTGCCTCAGGCTCAACCAGCATTCACTGACAGACACTGCACCAGGCTCTGAGTAGGTACTAGGATGCAGTACCTCCATTCTTGCAGGAGATCAGAGTTGAGGATGCAGAGAGAGTGGAGGGATTGATGTTTAACCAGATCACTTCACTACAACTTAGTAAGTGCTATGGGCTGAGGCACACCTGGGGCAGGAACGCAGAGGTGACGCCTTGCGGAGTAGTAATTCACCAATCCCACCACACTCCTCCGCTAGCCATGGGCCATTTGCCATCTGCTCTCCTCCTGCCCTTATCTTTTTAATCTAAGTTCTCCTTACTTCGCAGCAAGCCAGGCCTTCTGTTCCAGGGATGCTAATCTGCTTTCTCTAACCCCCAAGGACTTGCTTTTGTCCATGCTAGCCTATCTCTGTGACTATATGTTCATTACAGCCCAAAAGGTCTGGCTCAGATTCATGGGGTCTAGGCAGCGTTTCCTAGTGATTTCTCTTCTGATCCCTTTATTTCTCTACTACTCAGAACTTAGGCTTTTAGCCTGTGCAGTGTAATTCTATGGACCCAGATAAATCACACTGGCATTGACCATGATTTGGATGTCTATAGATAAAAATAATACAAAGAAAGGTATCGGGATTCTCCTCATGTACTTTTATAAAGCCAGGAAATGTAGTGTGCACAGCACTGCATGTCAATGTGGAAATCAACACAGTGGGAGGTGACTACTTCCTTTTCGCAGGGACTTTTAGTGTCCCCATTGTCTCTATGTCAACGTGACATATCACAGACACACTTCTTTATGTAAATTTAGCACTGTTTATACATATAAAAATTTGGAGGAGGGGGATCTGGATGGGAGATGTATTAAATGGGCTTTATCACCACTGTCACCACCATTGTGGGGTTTTGTATTTGACTCCCAACTGAGTTGCAGTTGCTTTAGAAATGTCTCCATCTTTGTATTCCAATAGAAGAATAGTTAAGGAAACAAAATAATAATAATAACTTTAAAATTGTGAATAGTGCATTACAGTTCACATCCAAAGTAAATGTGACCTCCCCTGAGATGCCTTACTGAATTCCTAGGAGACATGTTTTCACTTTGTGCTCCCAATGCGTCTTGTCACACTTTCAGTGTAGCACCTCCAAGAAAGTATTGTGGTTGATGTTTCATACCTGACTTCTTAGCAGACAGACTTCTTCAAGGATGGGGGGCTTGGCTTCCTTATTTGCTGCGTGCTACTAGGACCTAAGTCACAGCAAATCTCAGTACACTTTAAAAATACTTTTTTTTTTTTTTCCCGAGATGGAGTCTGGCTCTGTCACCCAGGCTGGAGTGCAATGACGCCACCTCAGTTCACTGCAACCTCCACCTCTGGGGTTCAAACGATTCACCTGGCTGCCTCCCCAATAGATGGGATTACAGGTGTCCATCACCATTCCTGGTTATTTTTTGTATTTTTAGTACAGATGGGGTTTTACTATGTTGACCAGGCTGGTCTCGAATTCCTGACCTCAAGTGATCTACCTGCCTCTGCCTCCCAAAATGCTGGGATTACAGGTGTGAGCCACCGCACCTGGTCAAAAAAATACTTAATAGGTAATAAATGAATGAATGAAGGAAGGGAGGAATGGTGTTTCTGTATTATGTATTTGATAAAGGGATGCTATAGTATACACTTATTATGATAAAATAAAAATAAAAGCTGATCAATCTAATGGTAGGAAAAAATATTTGTGGGATGAAATGTGAAGTTATAAATGTAATTAAGATTCTAAATTTTCCTAAGAGTTCTTTTGTCCCTAGAATCAACAGTAAGGAGTTAGTTGTATTAACTTGGGCCAGCACCTCTGCAGAGTTATAAAACTGATTCAATTAAGTCTTACCTTTCTGTAAGAGTTAGAAAAGAAAAAGTGTTTGAAGATTTTTAAAAGTATAGAACAAACAGTTACCGTGTAAATTCTGGAGTATTAGGTGCTTTTCTGGGTATTTCCTCCTTCATACTAAAATGTTAATCTCTGAGTTATGCACTGTAATAATAGATTCCACTGAAAAAAGTGTTTCTGGCACTAATGCATAAAATATGTGCATGCAATTTGAGGGCTGAAAAATGAATCATTCTTTGGGGGAGAAAGAATGGTATGAAAGTTAGTGCCATTCGGGGGGAACAGAACATGATTATCTACAAGGTTAGCTGATTTTAAATACTGATTGCCAAATTCTGCAATAAAATATGAATACTTACCATGGCAATCTGCATCATATGTTACATATCCTATTTCAGGGGTGATGTGTACCTTCTTAAAGAAACATACACTAACTAGGTAATGTCAAGCATTATAAAGAGAGTGGAAATTAAGACTGAAGTGCTTATTTTCTATTGGTTGTTAAACTGGACTTTAACCTCTAGGAAAAGACTAAAACTAAACAAAACTCAGTATCCATGGTAACATGCATAAGAAGGTAATTATTTTTTCTTTACATTTTTAAATTTCAGAGTTTAATAGCATATTATATGCATTGCCTCAGGCCCACAATCCCTCCAGTTGGCCATTAAGTATTAGGAAATGCCCTCTCTAGCAGTCATTATTGCTTAAATAAAATGCCACTTACAACCCTCCTGAACAAAAGAACTACAGTGCCCGTTGAAAGTACAGCTTGAGTATTGTGGTGATTTGGCATAGGGAGCAGGTACCCCTAGAGCAGCTGGCCCAGAAACCAGGCTTGTGTCCGGAGAACAACCTACACAAGGAATCCTTTTCAGTTGAGATTAGACACAAGAAACAGCTCTGTTCCTTAAGGGAACATACCAGAAGAAAGGCTCCAAGCCCACGTCCTCATAGGGTCAAGCTGGCTGCAGTAGGAATTTTTCTTGGGAAATCCAGTTTTTATTAATTCCATCTTACTGTAGAGAATCACTCCTGGATGTACCAATTTGGAGTTTGGGTTTGTAATGTTTAGGGAAGACTCACATTCGCAACACATTGGCTGATTGAGAAGGTATAAAGGGAGAATTTGCTTACGAAATTGAGCTAATGTTCTTCCTACACAGGCAGAGTGATGACAGCATTTATAGTAATCCAGAAAATGCAGTCCAAATTGAAACCAAACCTCCTTTTGCAAGCTACAGAGGCCCTCTCCTCGATGTGGTACACTTGGGTGGCTCACCCCAGACAGGTGTCGGCCTCACGCCTTTGGCTTACCTGCAGAGACACAACCCCAGTAAAGCCGTCCCCAGATGACTTGTGCAAACAAAAGGAAAAATATGTGCTGAAAACTAGAGCTAATCTAGGAAGTTCTAAATTTAGACTGGATTTTTCTTCCAAGAGTTTATTTGTAAATCAATTTTTGGAAGCTGGAGCAAACATTTTCCCATAGAAACATTGTAATAAATGTGGCTGTGCAAATTTAACCCCTAATGAAAATGAAATCCTACACATGAGCAAAAACAGCTTTATCCACTGCCTTTTTTTTTCCACACTTTTTCAGCTACATTGTGGATTAAATGGTTTTTTTTTGGTGGGCTAGTCTGGGAGCTAGACCACCATGGGCAATGGTTTCTCTGGGAAATTAGTCCTCACTCAAAAACCTGGCTGTGAGAAATTCTCCTCTTGCTGCCAAAAGTTCACAGAAAAGAAAGAATTCCTTCCAACCGTTCTGGTGATACCACCCAGAAGTAAAAAAGGGCAGCCATCTTTGTGTAAGGGACATTTGTAAATTTGGTGTTTGTATTTTAGGAACTGCCAGCACTTAATTTAGAAAGTATTACAACTGGATTAAGCTAAAGGTGAATTCTACAGAGCTTAGACCAGGAAGTTGAATAAGAAAACATAAACAGTGAAGCAAAATATAGAACAGAGATTTGCTTGGAGATAAACACTGGAACTAAGAACGTCATAGCAGGGCTTTGGGCAAGACCAATATTCCAGTTCCAAACAAGGCAATGCAAACATTTCTTTACTAGAAAAAGGAAAGAAATCCAAGGGCTGAGAAGCAATGGACTGTGATGCTGATCACAAGAACTTTCTCTGAGCCACATCTTAGCTACTTGCCTTTTCCCTGCCCCCCACCAAAAAAACAAAAACGAAACAAGCTGTGGGCAATACCTCTTCTTCTAGGCAATTCCTCTAGTTGTTTTTGTCCCCCAACCCCCACCATGGCAAAAGAGATCAAGAATTCTTTTTAGCTAGAATGAGGATTGAGATGAGACAGTGGGCAGAGAGCAGAAGATGGAGCCATGACCCATGAGAAAAAACAAGAATCAGTGTAAGAAGTTGTCAGGGGCAAGGGTCCTTCTGGAAGAGAGAGAGGCCGTAAGTTGTGATTTCTGGAGAAAGGAATTACAGCAGAGGCTCCAGGAGCAAGGCAGAAAAATGCTGTGAAAGATGAATGAAATAGTGCGTGGACTTTTCCAGAAAAACAAACAAACAAACAAAAAAAGTAAAAATGTTGGCCAGGTGCAGTGGCTCCCACCTGTACTCCCAGCACCTTGGGAGGCCGAGGCTGGAGAAACACCCAAGGCCAAGAGCTCAAGACCAGCCTGGACAACATGGGTGAGACCCCATTCTACAAAAAATTTAAAACAAAAATCATCCAGGCATGGTGGCATGTTCTGGTAGTGCCAGCTACCTGGGAAGATTGCCTGAGCCCAGGAGTTTGAGACTGCAGTGAGCTATGATCATACCACCATACTCCAGCCTGGGTAACCCTGTCTCAAAAGATAAAAAAAAATATGTGATGAGGTCAAATCTCTTGCGGCAGCCATGAAGGAGCAGAAGGTAAGTTATGAAGCAGGAACAACAACAGTGAAGCTAACCAAGAAATCTCCCAGGTTTCCAAAGTTGGGAGTTGGGGCCCAGTTTATCTAATATCCAGGCTCAGGGAAGGAACCAGCGCTCTCCAAGCTACTCAGGAGTCACTTGACTTTCCATTGTGATCACTCTGCCCCACTGGAGTGTGGGCACCTCTGGGAATCATGGGTTTATAACCTCAACTCTAGTTCTGACCCCGGGGGACCCCAGTGGCTTTGGGTTGGGATCCAAACTCCCTTTGATTTTGAGGAAGTGGAGAGGAATTCATACACTACATTCCTTGTCATCTCATTTGAGACAGTCATTCATTTGGGACTGTTTGTTCCGTTTGCTACCTACCATTAAAACAAAATGGCAGAAGGGAGAGATTTTTCCAAGCTGTTTGAAAAGCGCTTCTCACGGTCAGTTAGGAAACGGCCCGTTGCTATAATTTATGATTTCCACTGCTCCAAAGCACTAAAGGGACAGTAGGCAGAGATGCTGTTAGATGAGAAAAGAGAAATTGTAGTGTGATGGTTGAGATAGATTGAAAGAGTAAATTTATATCAATAGTAGGAGGATTTTCCTGTTCTTCTGGACCTGAAATTTTGAGCATCTGTAAGACTAGCCTCTGGCTTATTTTCTCAGCACTTAATGTAGAGGCTTAGCTCTTTGAAATATGCTAATTTTGGGAAAAAAAACCTTGATAGCTACTTAGCTCCAAATAACCCCTTCTTGGATGAATTAAGTGACGAGGAATAGGAAAGGCAATTGGGGGAAAAAAAAAAGATCCATTCCAATCTAATGAGATTGCTGGATGCTGACTTTCTGGGAAACCCAAGCCCCTGGGACAATTGCCATTGTAGCTGTGCCCTTGTGGTGCAGTGACTTCTCAGCTCACGATGTTTGAAAAGCATGGTTCAGGCAACATGAATCATAAGAATATATCAGTCTGTGGAATGTTCAGCCCAGAAAGTTCACGCACAGGTGAACACTGCCCTCACCATCCATATCAGAAGGGCTTGCTTGCTTTGTGGACTGGCTTATGGTGGAGTTCATTTCAAAACAGAATTTGAGTTGGGTAAAAAGGATTGTATGTGCTCTTCTGTCGGTTATTTCCTAAACTTAATCATGTTTATTAATGTATATTATCAGGGTGACTTTTACAAAAAAAAACCTCACTGATTTAGGTACACTAGGTAGAAAAAACCATTCTGAATCAGTGACTGTCTGGATTATGAAGCAAGTTTGAGCACAAAGGAAGACTGATTGTTTTAAGTAATTCCACTTGACTCTTTAATAGACTTCCCTAAGCAGCAGTTACTAAGGGAGCTGTGTTAACAAAACAGTAGAGGGGTTTTTGTCTTGGCTCATCTACCAGTATTTCGATTCCATGTCTGCCCTTAAATTGGGTTGGGTAATATTCCCTCTGCCTCTGGGAGTCACAGATCATCAACAGGTGGGAAGGGACGGAGAGATCATCTGGGCCAAAGGCAGGCAAACTTTTCTGTAAAGGACTAATAATAAATATTTCTTTTTTTTTTTTTTTGAGACGGAGTCTTGCTCTGTTGCCCAGGGTAGAGTACAGTGGCATGATATCAGCTCACTGCATCCTGTGCCTCCTGAGTTCAAGAGATTCTCCTGCCTCAGCCTCCCCGAGTAGCTGGGACTACAGGCACATGCCACCATGCCCGGTTAATTTTTGTATTTTTAGTAGAGAGGGGGTTTCGCCATGTTGGCCAGGCTGGTCTCAAACTCCTGACCTCAGGTGATCTGCCCGCCTCGGCCTCCCAAAGTGCTGGGATTATAGGCATGAACCACTGTGCCTGGCCTCAATAGTAAACATTTCAGGCTTTGCAGGACATTGGTCTCTGTCACAGCTCCTCAACTCTGACAATGGTAGGAGAAAGCAGCCATAGATAATGCAGCAACGAATGAGCATGGCTGTGTCCCAACAAAACTTCATTTACAAAAATGGGCTGCAGGCTAGATCGGCCAGCCTCCGATCTAGTCCAACTTCCTCACTTTACAGATAAGGAAAAAAGAAGCCTGAGAAGACTGGGTATTTCCCAAAGTCACTAGAAAATGAGTAGCAAAGCCAGATCCCAAACCCAGAAAAGGAATCTAGCATCCCGCTTTATTGCTGCCATGTCACCTCAGTTCTGTCTTGTTTCATAAGATTTCTTCTGCCCCAGAGATGACATAAGTTTGAGTCAAAAAGGAGGAAATTATGCGCTGGCGATATTATATTACTTAATAAAAAGCACTTGGAGGAAGAAAAATATTGATTAGGAAATTGTCACTAATTATCTACATTCTTGTTGGTGCCATTGTTGTATTTCAAGATGCCAGCAACTGAGTGTACCATGAAAAGATTGTTAGTATGTCAGATTCTCACTTTAACACGGTTTTTCACTAGGGGTGATTTGTGGGTTTTTTGTTTTGCTTTTGTTTTTAGAGACAGGGTCTTGCTCTGGTGCCCAGGCTGGAGTATAGTAGCACCATCATAGTTCACTGCAGCCTCAAACCCATGACCTCAAGCTATCCTCCCACCTCAGCATCCTGAGTAGCTGGGACTACAGACACACACCACCACACCTGGCTAATTTTTAATATTTTGTGTGTGGAGACAGATGTCCCGCTATGTCATCCAGGCTGCTCTTAAACTCCTGGCCCCAAGCTATCCTCCCATCTCAGCTTCCCAAAGTGTTGGGATTACAGGTGTGAGCCACTGCACCCAGCCCACTAGAGATGATTTGATAAAGCTAGCAAACTAAGATTTCCAGTTCACAAAGGAAACTGATAGCCTCCAGACAGAAGTTCTTAACATGGGATTTGGGGGTTCATGATTTCCTGAAGTCCATGTGGAAGTTTCTGTGGGTGTGCTTTTGTGCTCTGGGCAGGATACATCATTTTTTTTGGATCCCCAAAAGGATTTGTGACCCGCCCATGCCCCGCAAAAGTTATGAGGTTCTAAATGGTGAAATATTCCTGTTCCAGCCAAGCTTCCTAAAGAGAAAATGAAGACGCTCCCTTTCCTCCCTGTTCCCTCAGTGGCGGTTCTGCAGAAGGTGGTTAGCTGGCCACGCAGAGGAAGGGAAAGTCATCATAATTTGGCTGACACCGACAGAGCCACAAATATGATCAGACCTCAGAAGGCCCAGGTGCAGTGTTGCTCAAAGGCAGTGGGCAGCATGCTGTCGCTGCAGGTTACTAGCTGGCTCAGAGCAGAACCCCTGTCAATGACTGGGTACCCAGAAGGTCAAATTCAACCACCAGAAACTACAGCGTGCATGGGCTTGACTTCTGGCAGTGTGGTGCATTGAGCTGACTCAGCCACCCCAACTACCCCAAACATGGAGAAGTGTTGGATGAAACAGAATTTTGTTTAAAGGTTGTTGTTGTTGAGATAAGGTCTCACTCGGTTGCCCAGGCTGGACTTCAGTGGCACAGTCATAGCTCACTGCAGCCTTCTGAGCTCAAGCAATCCTCCCATCTCAGCCTCCCCAGTAACTGGGACTACAGGTGCACACCACCACACCCAGTGAATTGTTTTTTGCTTTTTATTTATTTATTTATTTTGGTAGAGATAAGATGGGGTCTCCCTATGTTGCCCAGATTGTTCTCAAACTCCTGACCTCAAGCAATCCTCTTGCCTTGGCCTCCCAAAGTGCTGCAGTTGCAGGTGTGAGCCACCATGACCAGCTTGTTGTTGTTTTACTGCAAGTTAAAATCAAAAGAAAGGAAGGAAACTCCCACATATCAGAAGCAAAAAGTGAACTCAAATCAAAATTTGAAGCTACAGCATCCCAGGAGGCTAAAAGCTAGGCATTTAATTCCCATGCACAGAGAAGAAATATGGCTTGGAGTCCACTTAAGGTGAGGAGTTAGAGAGGGATCTCAGCCTAACGCCAGAACTCTTAAAGGGCTGCTGATCTATGAGAAGGGGTCCAGAAAACTTCACCCATAGCCTGTTAGGCATTAAAGAAGCTTTCTGGGTGGCCCAAAGCTCTAGGAAGGAAAAAAAATGCCTACTGTGAATAAAGTTAAAACCCAACTTTTCATTTCATGTGCAGGAGTGGACTCCAAAATTATACTACTCATGTGGATTCGGAATGCCTCGCTCAGGAAAGAATAGTCTAACTGGAGAATGTTTCATGTCCAGTGGGTGCTGCATAGAAGCAGGGCAGATGTGTCGCAGCCCACTGTATACGGACTCCAGAGAAAGCCCCCCTCCCCTGAAGTTGAGTTCCTTCCATATCTCAGACAGAAACTCATGCATGCACACTTACACACATAAACACACACATAACTCAAATACTGTGAGTGAAACAAAATCTGAAGATGAGTGAACGAGTTGGAAGAGACTACAATACAAGCATTTAAAAAATATAAAGTAGGATATAGAAATCATTAGGAAAGATTGCATTAAAAAAAGGTTTAAAAAAGAATCAGATAAAAATTATAGAAATAAGAACTGTAATCATTGAAGGTAAAAACACCGTGCACCTGTAAAAGAACAGTTTCAATGTAGCTAAGAAGGAGTTTACTGAACTGGAAGGTAGATCTGAGGGAATCACACAGAATGCTACACAAAAAGTTAAAGGCACTGGAATCCATTTTGACAAAGCCCAGGGAAGCCAAGAACAGCCTAAGAATACCAGCCTACGACAGCAGCCCCAACTCCAGGCCTGTCTACCAGCAGGCTAAGGTTCCTATCAAACCTGGCCAGAATTATTTCAGGAGCTAGACGGACCTGAACCTGAAAATTCAGGGCCCCAGAAACTCTTGGTGAAAAACCCTGGGGAAAAGGAAGCTATCTTCCAGACAGGCCTGATTTACCTGCCATTACCTGTTCTCTTGGTGCTGGCTGGTCCTGAGGTTAGCTCCAACCTTGAAAGGGAGAGGGAAGGGCCCATTTTCTCTCCTAGCTTCTTACCAGGCCTGTGATCCTCCAGCTAAGTAAAACCTTGCAGGCATTTCTGGGCTACCAGGGATGCTTCTTTAAGAGGCTTCCATGAGCTAGGCCATATCCCAGGAAGTGGGGACACATTGCAAGGCATTTGATAGACCTAGTTAGGAACCAGCAGAGAAGCTGGCTTATACCTCTGAGCAAGAGACTTAACAAAAGGATGGACAGTAGAATGCTAAATCTCAAGGTCACCTTGTGCAGCTTCTCACTGTGGAATCATCTTACAAGTAGTCAGTCTCTAGTTCCTGATCTACTGTTGGCCAGATCTCTGAAAACGGGTTGCTGTCTTACCCCTTCTAACTTTGACCTCCAATAACTGAACCACATTCTCTTGCCTGCCTCTCCCAGGCTCAATACTCATCAGTGGCCCCAGAGTGGCTGCAGCCCCCAGCTCTGATGTGGCCACATCCCAAGATGATGTTTTCATAGCCAAGCAGGATCTTCCCAGAAAGCAACCCCCCTACCCCTCTTTGCTTCTATCCTCAGAATCAGTTCTTTTTCTGAGAAACTCCTGACACATAAGAGAGGTAGGGGAGCATTAGGGGAAATACACTTGCAACAGAGGTCCTGGAGTAACTTGATTTGGAGGCTGGACATGAATTTTCACAGGCCCATTACTTGGAGAACCCCAGAGAGCTGCAGTTATTAGCATTTTGCAGAGATTTGAGCAGTGCACACTAATGGCCAAAGAATATAGTACCATTAACACCATAATGGTGCCGCAGCATCTCTGCAGACAGCGCTCCCATTGACTTCAGAGGCACCTAGACACCAGGTGACGTTAAAATGCTCTCTGCCTTCCTTCTTTGTTCAACAGGCACAGGTTCCAAAGCTGAATCAGCAAGAAAAGCCAATTCTGGGACAAAATGAGGACCTTTGTTATCTTAAATTACTTGCACCATCTAACTCCCTATACAAAGCATAATGTCTCTTAATAAAATAACCTTGCTTTCCATAAGTATGTAGTACATCATCATAGCGATGATTTTATTAAGCCACTAGAAGGTACCCTTGGAGAGTGTTAAAAGGTTGGCACAAAGAATGTCAATTTCGTAGGAGAAAGCTTAGTGTCCAGTTTTCTACCAGAAACTAAAATCTTGACTCCTCATTAAATGACATCTCAAGGCCAAATTTGTAGTCAAGGTATTCTTTATTAGAATTCAAAATAAAAGCCCAAAGAAATCCCTCTAGAAGGCAACTTCTAGCAAAGTATAATGAGAATAAAATATTCTCATTAAAATTCTCATAAAATAAAATAAAATATTTTCAGTTCAGTTTGGCTGCTGTGTTAACAGTCCCAAGCAGGAAGACAATCTATTTCCATTTGCTTCTCACTATTCCCCATAAAGGAGACCTGATACATTTTGGATCTGGCTTGCAGTCTTGATGCATGCACAGACATTTTTCTGAGGCCTTTTCGTGGCAATGCAGTCAGGGGCCTGGACCATTCAGAAGCTGGGTGGGATGGAGGAAGCACAAACCCCCTTTCTGTCGAGTGCCTTCTAGGACAGAGTAATGTCAATGACTCAGAGCTGCCTGGGCTTGGATCCCAATTTGACCATTTATCAGTTGTGTGACTTCGGGCATTTCACTTAACCTTTCTGTGCTCTGGTTTCCTCTTCTGTAAAATGAAGATAATAACAGGCTGTCTTGTAGATTTGTTTTGAAGATCAATGTATAATATCTGTAAAGTACTTACCTTGTAATAAGCTAATTATTAGCTAAGAGACCCTTTCTTCATTTCCAGAGCAAGTATACAATTTTACGTACCTAAGAGATGAATTCTTCCTAAATTCCATGGGCAGAAGAAGTCCTTTTATGGCTATGTGGCCACTGAGGAAGACACAGACATTCCCAAGAATACTTGGACATTCTTACCTGAAGGAATATATTTTCCTTAAACAAGAACATGACCTTGGTGGACTAGGGATGTAGTGTATAAGTGAGGACAATTTAAGCTGTCCTAAATGCAGGTTCTTCTGACACGTGAAGGTAGGATTAGCATCTCACTTGTAGTTACGGGGTCTTTAATAAACTATCCCATGTAAAAGTGACTAGCACAGTGCCTGACACAAGGTAAGGTAAGTACTTGATACATGGTATTTGTGCATGTGCCTTGATATGGATCTGTGCTTCCACCCAAATCTCATGTTGAATTGTAACCTCCAGTGTTGGAGGTGGGGTCTGGTGGGGAGTGATTAAATCATGGGGTGGATTTCTCATGAATAGTTTAGCACCATCCTCTTGGTGCTGTCCTTGTGATAGTGAGTTCTTGTGAGATCTGGTCATTTAAAAGTGTGTAGTACCTCCCCACTAACTCTCTTATTCCTGCTCTGGCCATGTGAGATGCCTGCTTTCTCTTCACCCTCCACTACAACTATAAGCTTCCTGAGGCCTCCCCAGAAGCCAAGCAGATGCCAGCCTCATGCTTCCTGTCATGCTTCATGTCAATTTTGTAGGAGAAAGCTTAGTGTCTAGCTTAGGTTCTGCTCATGCAGAACCATGAGCCAATGAAACCTCTGTTCTTTATCAATTACCCAGTTCCAGGTATTTATAGCAATGTGAGAATGGACTAATACATGCCTGAAGCTGTTGCACATAGCCTCCAGTCCAAAGCTCACCATGACCCATTGGAATCGGGGGCTCTGAACAATCAAGTGAAAGCTGTATAGAATGTGCTAGAGCTGCCTCTGTAGGCTCCACCTCTGGCGGCAGGGCACAGACCAACAAAAAGACAGCAGTAACCTCTGCAGACTTAAATGTCCCTGTCTGACAGTTTTGAAGAGAGCAGTGGTTCTCCCAGCACACAGCTGAAGATCTGAGAACGGGCAGACTGCCTCCTCAAGTGGGTCCCTGACCCCTGACCCCCAAGCAGCCTAACTGGGAGGCACCCCCCAGTAGGGGCAGACTGACACCTCACACAGCCGGGTACTCCTCTGAGACAAAACTTCCAGAGGAACGATCAGACAGCAGCATTCGCGGTTCACGAAAATCCACTGTTCTGCAGCCACCGCTGCTGGTACCCAGGCAAACAGGGTCTGGAGTGGACCTCTAGAAAACTCCAACACACCTGCAGCTGAGGGTCCTGTCTGTTAGAAGGAAAACTAACAAATGGAAAGGACATCCACACCAAAAACCCATCTATACATCACCATCATCAAAGACCAAAAGTAGATAAAACCACAAAGATGGGGAAAAAACAGAGCAGAAAAACTGGAAACTCTAAAAAGCAGAGCGCCTCTCCTCCTCCAAAGGAACGCAGCTCCTCACCAGCAATGGAACAAAGCTGGACGGAGAATGACTTTGACGAGTTGAGAGAAGAAGGCTTCAGACGATCAAACTACTCCAAGCTACAGGAGGAAATTCAAACCAAAGGCAAAGAAGTTGAAAACTTTGAAAAAAATTTAGACGAATGTATAACTAGAATAACCAATACAGAGAAGTGCTTAAAGGAGCTGATGGAGCTGAAAGCCAAGGCTTGAGAACTACGTAAAGAATGCAGAAGCCTCAGGAGCCGATGCGATCAACTGGAAGAAAGGGTATCAGTGATGGAAGATGAAATGAATGAAATGAAGTGAGAAGGGAAGTTTAGAGAAAAAAGAATAAAAAGAAACGAACAAAGCCTCCAAGAAATATGAGACTATGTGAAAAGACTAAATCTACGTCTGATTGGTGTACCTGAAAGTGACAGGGAGAATGGAACCAAGTTGGAAAACACTCTGCAGGATATTATCCAGGAGAACTTCCCCAATCTAGCAAGGCAGGCCAACATTCAGATTCAGGAAATACAGAGAACGCCACAAAGATACTCCTCGAGAAGAGCAACTCCAAGACACATAATTGTCAGATTCACCAAAGTTGAAATTAACGAAAAAATGTTAAGGGCAGCCAGAGAGAAAGGTCGGGTTACCCTCAAAGGGAAGCCCATCACACTAACAGCGGATCTCTCAGCAGAAACTCTATAAGCCAGAAGAGAGTGGGGGCCAATATTCAACATTCTTAAAGAAAAGAATTTTCAACCCAGAATTTCATATCCAGCCAAACTAACCTTCATAAGTGAAGGAGAAATAAAATCCTTTACAGACAAGCAAATGCTGAGAGATTTTGTCACCACCAGGCCTGCACTAAAAGAGCTCCTGAAGGAAGCGCTAAACATGGAAAGGAACAACCGGTACCAGCCACTGCAAAATCATGCCAAATTGTAAAGACCATCGAGGCTAGGAAGAAACTGCATCAACTAACGAGCAAAACAACCAGCTAACGTCATAATGACAGGATCAAATTCACACATAACAATATTAACTTTAAATGTAAGTGGACTAAATGCTCCAATTAAAAGACACAGACTGGCAAATTGGATAAAGAGTCAAGACCCATCAGTGTGCTGTATTCAGGAAACCCATCTCACGTGCAGAGACACACATAGGCTCAAAATAAACGGATGGAGGAAGATCTACCAAGCAAATGGAAAACAAAAAAAGGCAGGGGTTGCAATCCTAGTCTCTGACAAAACAGACTTTAAACCAACAAAGATCAAAAGAGACAAAGAAGGCCATTACATAATGGTAAAGGGATCAATTCAACAAGAAGAGCTAACTATCCTAAATATATATGCACCCAATACAGGAGCACCCAGATGCATAAAGCAAGTCCTGAGTGACCTACAAAGAGACTTAGACTCCCACACAATAATAATGGGAGACTTTAACACCCCACTGTCAGCATTAGATAGATCAATGAGACACAAAGTTAACAAGGATACCCAAGAATTGAACTCAGCTCTGCACCAAGCAGACCTAATAGACATCTACAGAACTCTCCACCCCAAATCAACAGAATATACATTTTTTTCAGCACCACACCACACCTATTCCAAAATTGACCACATACTTGGAAGTAAAGCTCTCCTCAGCAAAGGTAAAAGATCAGACATTATAACAAACTGTCTCTCAGACCACAGTGCAATCAAACTAGAACTCAGGATTAAGAAACTCATTCAAAACCGCTCAACTACATGGAAACTGAACAACCTGCTCCTGAATGACTACTGGGTACATAACGAAATGAAGGCAGAAATAAAGATGTTCTTTGAAACCAACGAGAACAAAGACACAACATACCAGAATCTCTGGGACGCATTCAAAGCAGTGTGTAGAGGGAAATTTATAGCACTAAATGCCCACAAGAGAAAGCAGGAAAGATCCAAAATTGACACCCTAACATCACAATTAAAAGAACTAGAAAAGCAAGAGCAAACACATTCGAAAGCTAGCAGAAGGCAAGAAATAACTAAAATCAGAGCAGAACTGAAGGAAATAGAGACACAAAAAACCCTTCAAAAAATTAATGAATCCAGGAGCTTTTTGAAAGGATCAACACAATTGATAGACCGCTAGCAAGACTAATAAAGAAGAAAAGAGAGAAGAATCAAATAGATGCAATAAAAAATGATAAAGGGGATATCACCACCGATCCCACAGAAATACAAACTACCATCAGAGAATACTACAAACACCTCTCCGCAAATAAACTAGAAAATCTAGAAGAAATGGATAAATTCCTCGACACATACACCCTCCCAAGACTAAACCAGGAACAAGTTGAATCTCTGAATAGACCAATAACAGGCTCTGAAACAGTGGCAATAATCAATAGCTTACCAACCAAAAAGAGTCCAGGACCAGATGGATTCACAGCCAAATTCTAACAGAGGTACAAGGAGGAACAGGTACCATTCCTTCTGAAACTATTCCAATCAATAGAAAAAGAGGGAATCCTCCCTAACTCATTTTATGAGGCCAGCATTATCCTGATACTAAAGCCGGGCAGAGACACAACCAAAAAAGAGAATTTTAGACCAATATCCTTGATGAACATTGATGCAAAAATCCTCAATAAAATATTGGCAAACTGAATCCAGCAGCACATCAAAAAGCTTATCCACCATGATCAAGTGGGCTTCATCCCTGGGATGCAAGGCTGGTTCAATATATGCAAATCAATAAATGTAATCCAGCATATAAACAGAACCAAAGACAAAAACCACATGATTATCTCAATAGATGCAGAAAAGGCCTTTGACAAAATTCAACAAACCTTCATGCTAAAAACTCTCAATAAATTAGGTATTGATGGGACATATCTCAAAATAATAAGAGCTATCTATGACAAACCCACAACCAATATCATACTGAATGGGCAAAAACTGGAAGCATTCCCTTTGAAAACTGGCACAAGATAGGGATGCTCTCTCTCACCACTCCTATTCAACATAGTGTTGGAAGTTCTGGTCAGGGCAATTAGGCAGGAGAAGGAAATAAAGGGTATTCAATTAGGAAATGAGGAAGTCAAATTGTCTCTGTTTGCAGATGACATGATTGTATATCTAGAAAACCCCATTGTCTCAGCCCAAAATCTCCTTAAGCTGATAAGCAACTTCAGCAAAGTCTCAGGATACAAAATCAATGTGCAAAAATCACAAGCATTCTTATACGCCAGTAACAGACAAACAGAGAGCCAAATCATGAGTGAACCCCCATTCACAATTGCTTCAAAGAGAATAAAATACCTAGGAATCCAACTTACAAGGGACGTGAAGGACCTCTTCAAGGAGAACTACAAACCACTGCTCAATGAAATAAAAGAGGATACAAACAAATGGAAGAACATTCCATACTCATGGGTAGGAAGAATCAATATCATGAAAATGGCCATACTGCCCAAGGTAATTTACAGATTCAATGCCATCCCCATCAAGCTACCAATGACTTTCTTCACAGAATTGGAAAAAACTACTTTAAAGTTCATATGGCACCAAAAAAGAGCCTGCATCGCCAAGTCAATCCTAAGCCAAAAGAACAAAGCTGGAGGCATCACGCTACCTGACTTCAAACTATACTACAAGGCTACAGTAACCAAAACAGCATGGTACTGGTACCAAAACAGAGATATAGATCAATGGAACTGAACAGAGCCCTCAGAAATAACGCTGCCTATCTACAACTATCTGATCTTTGACAAACCTGAGAAAAACAAGCAATGGGGAAAGGATTCCCTATTTAATAAATGGTGCTGGGAAAACTGGCTAGCCTTATGTAGAAAGCTGAAACTGGATCCCTTCCTTACACCTTATACAAAAATCAATTCAAGATGGATTAAAGATTTAAACTTTAGACCTAAAACCATAAAAACCCTAGAAGAAAACCTAGGCATTACCATTCAGGACATAGGCATGGGCAAGGACTTCATGTCTAAAACACCAAAAGCAATGGCAACAAAAGCCAAAATTGACAAATGGGATCTAATTAAACTAAAGAGCTTCTGCACAGCAAAAGAAACTACCATCAGAGTGAACAGGCAACCTACAAAATGGGAGACAATTTTCACAACCTACTCATCTGACAAAGGGCTAATATCCAGAATCTACAATGAACTCAAACAAATTTACAAGAAAAAAACAAACAACTCCATCAAAAAGTGGGCAAAGGACATGAACAGACACTTCTCAAAAGAAGACATTTATGCAGCCAACAGACACATGAAAAAATGCTCACCATCACTGGCCATCAGAGAAATGCAAATCAAAACCACAATGAGATACCATCTCACACCAGTTAGAATGGCAATCATTAAAAAGTCAGGAAACAACAGGTGCTGGAGAGGATGTGGAGAAATAGGAACACTTTTATACTGTTGGTGGGACTGTAAACTAGTTCAACCATTGTGGAAGTCAATGTGGCGATTCCTCAGGGATCTAGAACTAGAAATACCATTTGACCTAGCCATTCCATTACTGGGTATATACCCAAAGGACTATAAATCATGCTGCTATAAAGACACATGCACACATATGTTTATTGCGGCACTATTCTCAATAGCAAAGACTTGGAACCAACCCAAATGTCCAACAATGATAGACTGCATTAAGAAAATGTGGCACGTATACACCATGGAATACTATGCAGTCATAAAATTGATGAGTTCATGTCGTTTGTAGGGACATGGATGAAATTGGAAATCATCATTCTCAGTAAACTATCGCAAGGACAAAAAACCAAACACCACATGTTCTCACTCATAGGTGGGAATTGAACAATGAGAACACATGGACACAGGAAGGGGAACATCACACTCTGGGGACTGTTGTGGGGTGGGGGGAGCAGGGAGGGATAGCATTAGGAGATATACCTAATGCTAAATGACGAGTTAATGGGTGCAGCACACCAGCATGGCACATGTATACATACGTAACTAACCTGCACATTGTCCACATGTACCCTAAAACTTAAAGTATAATAATAATAAAATTTAAAAAAATTAAAAAAAAAAGAAAATGTTCATTAAAGCTACTGGCTTGCCCCAATTATAAACTAAAAAAAAAAAAAAAAAGAATGTGCTAGAGCTAGGGCTGAGCCCAGGGCTATGGGGCTGCATGGCCAATGCTTCCTTCAACACTCCTGTTTTTCACCTCTTGGTATTTTGAGAGCCTGCAGGCCTCCTAATCTGTTCATAAGACGTGGCCACCTTATAGCGCTAGGGTTTTTACAGCAAGGTGGCTGGTACCTACCTGAGTGGCTCCAACCTCCAGGGCTTCAGCATTGTCAGGCTGGAGGGCTTCTTAATAAGGGATCACCAACAAGGAAGAGCTGTTCCAAGATCCCACGGTGTTTCAGTCCTCCAAACCCGGACCCCTCAAAGCACCTCATGATCAATAGTGGTGGGGTCGGGGGTGGGCGGTGAGAAATCAACTGCTCCTATAAAATGTTTTAAATACACTAATTAGTGGGCCAGCCATTATAATGCAACCAAACCCCCTCAAACCTCACATAGCAGGCATTTTGTAACATTGTTGATTCAGGTTTTAACTAGAGGGGTTTTTCCTCCCTTCTCCCACTTGCTGCTAATCTATGGAATTCATTAGCTCCTATTCATGATTGCAAATCACTGCAGTGACCTGTGACAGGGTTTCTCATTTAAGATTACTGAAAGACCTAGAAGGGCAGGATGATCCAGCAATGTGGCTTTCTTGTTATTCTAAACAAACAAATAAAACCATGAGATCAGAAGATAGCTCCCTAAATATCTCTATGGAACCTACATTTGCATTTTGTAATTTCCAGAGGAAAAGCACTGGTGAGTTTCAGGTTGTGGTTGCATTTACAGATGGATCAACCCTGGAAGCAGGTGACAGACACTGCTTGGCAGTGATACTTTTCAACGCACAGAGGATTTTCTTTTTTGTTTCTTTCTTTTTTTTTTTTTTATTTGAGATGGAGTCTTGCTCTGTCGCCCAGGCTGGATTGTAGTGGCGCGATCTTGGCTCACTGCAACCTCCACCTCCCGGGTTCAAGTGATTCTCCAGCCTCAGCCTCCTGAGTAGCTGGGATTACAGGTGCGTGACACCATGCCACCTAATTTTTTTTTTGTATTTTTAGTAGAGACAGATTTCAGCATGTTGGCCACACTGGTCTCGAACTCCTGACCTCGTGATCCGCCTGCCTCGGCCTCCCAAAGTGCTGGGATTACAGGCGTGAGCCACTGTGCCTGGCTAGCAGGAATATCCCGGCCTTCAACACAGTATTTCTAAACACTAAAGGAGAATGCTGGAGACTGTCTTCCCAGATAATGATACTATCTTAACTTTGGAGAGTGCTTTCATATTTACAGAGCACTTTCACAATGTCTTTTTTTTTTTTTTGAAACAGTGTCTCGCTCTGTCACCCAGGCTTGAGTGCAGAGGTACACTCATAGCTCGCTGTAACCTCAAACTCCAAGGCTCAAGCAATCCTCCCACTTAAGCCTCTTAAGTAGCTCAGACTACAGGTGCATGCTACCATGCCCAGCTAATTAAAAAAAAAACAGCATTTTTAGAAATGGGATCTCACTATATTACCCAGTGTGTCTCCAACTCCTGGCCTCAAGTGATCTTCCAGCCTCAGCCTCACAAAGCAGTGGAATTACAGGCGTGAGCCACTGAGACTGGCTACTTCCACAATGTTTCTTACTTGATCCCAGACCCAATCTGGGTTGGTGTGAAATGTTTCATTTCCATTAACAAGTGCAATGACATATTGGAAGGAAAAAAAGGTGATGTTGGAGGTGAACAAAAGGAAGACAGGCAGGCCTTCTTTACAACACTGGCCTTTCTGCTTACCTGCAACCTACCTGTGGGCCAGGTGTGCCTAGTGGGCTGGGGCATGGCATCGAGAGCAGAGTTCTTCTTGCCCTTTAAGAAACCATTCATTTGGCTTTCTTGCCAAGAGAGCTTTCTGACCTCAGAGGGATACGTCTTTTACTGCCTGCAAAGGTGTTTTACTGACTTGGGTTAACGTCCACGGGGACTCATTTGAACTCGTGCTTATCGGGGAGCCAAATAGTCCACATACCGCAGCGGAGAGTGAGGGGCTGGAGAAAGCATTACAGGCCTGGAGGGGCCTTAAGGAGGCATAAGGCATGGAACCCTCCCCCAGCTGTGGATGTAAACAATCCACAGGTGGAAATCTGGCCTAATTTTTTTCTTTTTCTTTTTTTTCTAAACCTTTCTACAGTGTTGATTTTTTTTCTTTTTTCTTTTAAAGACAAGGTCTCACTCTGTCACCCAGGCTAGAGTAGTGCAGTGGTGCAATCATGGCTCACTGCAGCCCCTAACTCCCAGACTCAAGCTATCCTCCTTCCTTGGCCTCCCAAGTAGCTAGGACTACAGGTATGTGCCACCATGTATAGCTAATTTTATTTTACTTTATTTTTTGTAGAAATGGGGTCTCCCTATGTTCCCCAGGCTGGCATTGAACTCCTGGCCTCAAGCAGTCTTCCCACCTTGGCCTCCCAAAGTGCTGGGATTATAGGTACGAGCCCTTCACACGGCCTGGCCTAAGTTTTTATTTACAAAAAAAAATCTCTAGTCAAGGAGACACCCTGCCTGGCCTTAGCATTGTGCTCTTGCTTGGGTGGACTTTGCTGCAAATGCTGCAGAGGTATCCACACCGTGAGGCTGGGAGAAAGAAGTAGGAAGAGGTGAGATAGGGCCGGGAGCCAGAGGAGACCCAGCTCAGAGGCCGCCTAAGTGTGACAAGGGGGCAGTCAACAGCCTGGATAACTGCTTTCAAAGCAGAGCAGAAACTCCGGCGTAACCCCACAAGAATGAGCCTTTTTCTCCGGGTTATTGAGCAGCTTTCTGATGGTTCTGCTTCCACCCTTGTGCTTCTCCAGGGCACACGTCAGCCACAGGAATCCTTTTAAACAGATGGTGTCACTCCTTTTCTCCAAACTGATAGATCTGATGGCTCCTGGCTCACTCCATGAAAGCCCAAGTCCCTCTCAGGCCCTGCAGGCTTCACCTTCCCCCGGCCTGTGTCTGGGGCCCCATCTCCAGCTGCCTCCTTGCATCTGCTGCTACTACTGCCTCCTGCCTGCTCCTCCACAGCCAGCCTCGTTCCCATGAGGGCCCTGCACTAGCTGCACTCTGTCAAGAATGCTTTTTCCCTGGAAACACACAGGTCTCTTGTCCTCAACTCCTTCACATCTTGGATCATATTTCCCCCTGTATTCTATTTTTATTTATTTTTTTAAGAGACAGGGTCTTGCTGTATCACCCAGGCTGGAGTGCAGTGGTGCAATCATAGCTCACTGCAGCCTCACACTCCTGGGCTCAAGCCATTCTCCCGCCTCAGCCTCCCGTGTAGCTGAGACTACAGACATGCACCACCACCCCTGGGTACTTTTTTAATTTTTGTAGAGATGGGGTCTTGCTATGTTGTCGAGGCTGGTCTTGAACTTCTGAGCACGGCCTCCCAAAGTGCTGGGATTACAGGTAAGCACAATGACGCCTGGCCATATTTCCTCTTCTTAAGGCAAAATGCCCCCCAGCCCTCCTGGTCTCCATCACCCTGTTGCCTATTTTTTCACAGTGTCATTCATTTTTTAACTTCCAAATTTACTCATTTATTATATTCATTGTCTGTCTTCTTCCACTAGAATGTGAATTCCCCAGGGACAGAAACATCTTTGTCTTGCTTACAGAAACATCCCCCATGCCAGGTAGCACTGGTTGAGTAAACGTTTGACTTGGAGGTATTTGTTCCAGCAGGCTGGATGCAGAAATGACGGTTCTCAGTTCCAGACTGTGGCTGCTCCAAGATATCCAGTGTTCCATTCATGTTGGAACAAGACCCTGATGGGAACTACAAATGCCCACATCAGTGTCTGGGCTTCTGGGAGAGGGGCTGGAAATGGTAGACAGGGAGTCTGGCTCCAGCTAAGCCAGCAGAGAGTTGTTTCAGCAAATCGGAGGCAGAACGCCACTCCTATAGGCTGCAGGGATGGGGTGGGTTGGGGTGGAGTGAGGGCTTCAGGACTGGCGGGAAAACATAAGCCAGGGTTCGGGGGTAGCAAGGCTCATGCTGAACCCCTGCACTGCCCACGATAGGTGACCTCAAGTCTTGCCCATCCTGCTCAAGATGGGCCTAGCACTCAGCAAGGAACCCTAGGATACCCCAGGTTAAGGTCTTCGGGGCTCTCTAGGAAGAGTCAGGGCACAGGGTGCCAAACCAGTTACATAATCTGTAGGGCCCAGTGCAAAATGAAAATATGGCGCTCCTTGTCTAAAAGTGATTGCGAATTTTAAGATGACAAAAGCAGGGCATTAAACCAAGTGCAGGGCCCTCCCGAGCCCAGGGCATGTGTGACTGCATAGGTCACATGCCCACGAAGCTACGCCTGCTCAGGACTGACGGCACTGATGGCTTTTCAGAGATATTCCTGCTGGCCAGGCACAGTGGCTCACGCCTGTAATCCCAACACTTTGAAAGGCCGAGGTGGGCGGATCACCTGAAGTTAGGAGTTTGAGACCAGCCTGGCCAACATGGTGAAACCCCATCTCTACTAAAAATACAAAAATTGGCCGGGCGTGGTGGCACATGCCTGTAATCCCAGCTACTTGGGAGGCTGAGGCTAAGGCAGGAGAATCGCTTGAACCTGGGAGGAGGAGGCTGCAATGGCTGAGATTGTGCTACTGCACTCCAGCCTGGGTGACAGAGCAAGACTGTCAAAAAAAAAGAGAGAGAGATTCCTGCCAGAAAATTTCTCATAATAAATCCAGCTCACTTATGCCCAAGATGTGCAACATAAGGAAACAAGGAAAGAAGCCCTGGGGTGTAGCGGGAAACAATCTCAGAGAAAACCTAAAGGCACCCAAAACTGAAACCCTGCAACTAGCAAAAGGACCTGATGTGTTGCAGGATGGGGACAGCTGGGAGCAGGGGCAGAACGGTGACATCAAACAACCAAGGTGGCCTCTGGGGCTGTGTTCATGTCCATGGGAAATGAGCCACCAAGAGTCCAGCACATTCTTCATTCCAAAAGTGGTCAGTGACCAGCAAGAGGTAAGCAGAGAAGTGGAAGCAGGAAACTGCAGTTAGAAAAAACAAAGCTGGGTTGAGTCACACGGTTGTGGCTTGAAGTGCTGGGAAGCCCAGGGCCTTTCCCCTTGAGTCAGCTGAAGGGGTACACGTTGCTACCATGACCTTACTAACAACACTCAGTAGGTGTCTACAAAGAAAAGCCGATGCTGAGCCAGGTACCACCACCTTTCATTTGGATGGCACCTTACAGTTTAGAAAGTGCTTTGATATGCATAATGACTTCAGTTGATTCTCTCAATAACCCTATTAGGTTAGCAGAGTATCATTGTCCCCAGATAGGTGGACTGACTCGCCCAAGGTTGTTGGCAAAATCCATTCAAGTCCAGCACTTTTTTCTTCTCTTCCATAATGCTCCTGTCACTGGTGCCTGCCATCATCCCGGAGTTCATGGCCCGAGACTGGCAAACGCCGGCCAGGGCGTTACAAGCATCCATGTTGACTAATTGCACCCAACATCCCAATATCTTGCCAGTGGTACAAAAGGAATAGGTGAGCTGCTGGGCTGTGCAGCACCTACCACATCCTCCAGAAAAGGTAGACGGTCAGAGAGATTGGGCATTTCTTTCATACAAACATCACAGGAGCTGCTTTTGGGAATCGTCTGTTAAATGTGAGCTGCAGATTAGACCAAGATGAACAGAGGGTTGTGATCCTGAGTGACTTAGTATTTTGAAGCAGCCTGTTAACCTTTTATCAGAAGGATTCCTTCAAAGCATTAGTTTACGGCACTAAAATGTGGGCAGATTATTTGCCAAATCACATTGTTATGCACAGCTAACTAACTGCTTTGCAAAAACTGGTACCTGTGGATGCACAGTCAATGGCTTTGAGTCAAATATGTCAATCATTAACATTTTCTCTAAAAATTAACAAGTGCAATTAGCATGTATCAATGAAATAATTGCTTGAGTTCACTATTTTTTTAAGCTGAATCTCCATTTGAGTCACACAAAAAGAAAATGAATCTTAAAATCATTTCCATTTTAGCAGAGGCACATGTTAAAAACAGCTGAACTTATTTTTCCCTCCTCAATTTCTGCAAAATTCACTCCCAGGTTTACTTACTGTGCCAAGTTTCAGAGCTGAGCAAATTTTTATGGTCTAGTTATAAACCCTAGAAAAACAAGGTTTATAGGAAATGTTGACACAACCTTAACTAAAGTGGTGCTAGCTGACACCTCTATATTTTCAATTTGGGGATTTCTACTGGGAAAGTATAAACGCTAATTCAGCAAAGGAAGCCAACTATAATAAAAATGTTGTAGTCTTCCTGTTCACCCCATGAAGTTCTACTTCAAAAGATGCCAGTGCAACGTGGAGGTGAGTTAGAGTTAGAATGATCAGCATGGAGAGCACCTGCAAATCGCTCAGCCTCCTGGTTACCTATAAACTTCGCCTGGGAATGCATGACCTCACCATGAGTCACGGCTGCCCACAGCAGTGCAGTCGGAGAGACGGCGGAAGATGTCAGGTCTTTACGCAAAGGTGTCTACTAGTCTCTCCCTGCACACCTTCTAATCTATCCTAAATGGAAACCCAAGTTGATTTTTCACAGGCCAGTAAAGCGAGCCACTGAGACACTGAGAAGCTAAGAAGATGGGAGTGAAGGCACGCCATGGAAGGTTGACTTTGAGTGCGGTGGGCTCAGACTGTGGTAGTAGTGGGGCACCAGGTGTAAGGGCACACTGAGACATCGGGAGGCAGGACCAACAACAATGAGGATTTCCCCCATCCTGCTAAGCTGCCCAGATGAGAAGCACATGTGTTCAATATTTAGGCTTTAATTTTTTCCCCTCTGAAACAGGAGGAGGTGGGAGAAGGGGTAGCTTTGATTCAGGTCCAGAGATAAAGACTGACTGACACACACACGGACCATAATAGGGGACAAAGTGAGTTAAGCGGAAGTAAATGTTTTAAAATCCTCAGCTAGATAGACTAAACAGCACTGGCCCGGGAGTCAGGAGACGCAGCTGTCTGTCTGTCCGGGCGTTCCCACTTATGAACTGAGACTCCAGGCGGTCTGAGTGGCCTCCCCACGTCCTGTCCCAATTTCGTCACTGGTGAAATGGAGTTCAGCCTCTGTTATGGGACAGCGGTGAGGAATAAGTAGAGTTATGTCCCTGGAAGTGGTTTGTGAATTGTAAATTGAAAGGCAAATGGGAGTATTACTTTGTATTGATTGCATTTCTACTTTGGAAAACTATGTTCAGAAAATGGAAATATTTTCTTTTTTTTATTTTACTTTAAGTTCTGGGATACATGTGCTGAATGTGCATGTTTGTTGCATAGGTATACATGTACCATACCATTCAGGACATAAGCATGGGCAAAGACTTCATGACTAAAATACCAAAAGCAATTGCAACAAAAGCCAGAATTGACAAATGGGATCTAATTAAACTAAAGAGCTTCTGCACAGCAAAAGAAACTACCATCAGAGTCAACAGGCAACCTACAGAATGGGAGAAAATTTTTGCAATCTATCCATCGGACAAAAGTCTAATATCCAGAACCTACAAGGAACTTAAACAAATTTACAAGAAAAAAACAATCCCATCAAAAAGTGGGTGAAGGATATGAACAGACACTTCTCAAAAGAAGACATGTATGTGGCTAACAAACATATAAAAAAAGCTCATCATCACTGGTCATTAGAGAAAAGCAAATCAAAACCACAATGAGTTACCATCTCACGCCAGTTAGAATGGCGATCATTAGAAAATGGAAATATTTTCAATGGAGGGACAAATCCATCAGGATAATGGGGATAAGAAAAAAGCCTCCCTAGCATTGCTTTTAGTTCATTCCGAAGCTGATTTGGAAGGGAATTCACTGCTGACAACTTTGCTTTTGTGTTAAGTCGAATAGTCTGCTTAAAAGGCCCTTTGGGTTACACCCCAAATGCCATCACATATGTCTAACCTTCACCAGCTCACAAGGGACGACTAAGTTACATATCTTCATGAGCAGAAAGTATTTTGGATTATGTTTTTGTTTTGTTTTCTCCCAGGTTTCTAAGCCTGTTGGCAGCATTTTCCCAGGGAGTTTTCAAAAGCTTTCACAAGAGATCCCCATACCACTGGCAGAAAGGCATGAAACTTACTTTAAGACAAATGCTTAACTTCTGTGGACCCTGGTTTTTTATTTTCAGGTTGAAAAGGAAGACAGTGAGTTTCTAGATGTATCTGTCAAGACTAAATGATTGTTCATTTCCTCTGAATTGGGAATAACGTAATAACATGCAGCTGGGGAGCTAGGCTGTGTTTCTTGCGTTTTCCTCTTTCAGAAGCTGGGTCTCTTACCAGCTGGGAAATATTACTGTCTGAACGTGCTGAAAAACTTAGGGTAAATGAAAAGAACAACAACATTCCAGATGTCAGCAATCACTCTGATGGTCTTACCTGTACCAACCCGAGAATATTTTAATAGAAAAGGTAGACAAAGATTTATTTAATTCAGAATGAACTCCAGAGTTGGGGAGAGCGAGTTTATAATGCCTCAAAAACCCCTGCTGTAAAATTGAGCTGATAAGAATTAACTCTGCAAAAATTATGCATCCCAATGACAAGGTAAGTTTGAGAGAAACAATTGAAAATAATAAAGTATTTTCACCCAAGAGCAACAGATTTGTACAAATAAAAGTATCCATGTCTTGCTAATGCAGCCATTACCTGGAACGAAATAAATAAAATAAAACCACGCGTACTTTTAATGCTGAGTTTAGAACTGGAATTCAGCAAAATGAATCCCAGACACTTACTTTAAATGCATGCTTATATCTTTTAGTGTAATACATTTTGCTCAGTGTTTCATTAGCCATTATACTATATATTGTGATTATATCAGACATTAGATGCCGAGAGACAGAGCCAACATTTCACTTCAGGTAGCTCTCATTCCAGCTCATCATCACAATTAATTAGAGCAAGAGGAGGTAGGGTGGAGGCGGAGAGATGCTATTTGGGTCTCCAGCTTTTTCTGGAAAGGTAAGGAAGGAGAAGCTATGGCAGTGGGCACATCTCTGCCAATAGAATCTTAAAGCACCATTTCCCATGGACCCAGGCCTGTGCATGGAAGATAAGAAACTTAGGTTTGGGATAAGTGCAGGAGTGATAGGGCTAGCCTGGATCCCCATGAGCCTGTGGTTCTCAGCCCTGGCTAGGGCATCAGAATTACTGGTAGAATTTAAAATTAAACAACTGAATCCTATCCAGACAGGATAAAGCTCGGACATCTGTGTGTTTAAAACAGATTTTTTTAAAAAATTATTATTTCCATAGGTTATTGGGGAACAGGTAGTGTTTGGTTACATGAGTAAGTTCTTTAGTGGTGATTTGTGAGATTTTGGTGCACCCATCACCCAAGCAGTACACACTGTACCCAACTGGTAGTCTTTTATCCCTCACCCCCTTCCCACCCTTTCCCCCTGAGTCCCCAAAGCCAGTTGTGCCATCCTTATGCCTTTGCATCCTCATAGCTTAGCTCCCTCTTACGAGTGAGAACATACGATGTTTGGTTTTCCATGTTTTTTTAAAAAATTAAAAAACTACAATTGGTTCAGAATGCTGAGTCGTGTTGAAAACCATAGGCAGGTGGTAGTTGAGAGTAAACTAAAAGGTGAGTTTGACAGTCTCACCCTTTATCTCAGTCTCTTTCATCTTGCACACATCTCTCCCAAAATACAGCTGCATGTCCTGAAGTATACCAGAGAGACGTAAGATGATGAGGATGACAATATTACTAATAAAATAACGCGAACAGTGCTGGAGTCCTTCTGGCACTCCTCCCCTACCTGACAAAGCACTTGAACATCCATGATGTTATTTCACCCTCACTCCCCTTTCTCTCCCTCAGCGCTGGGAAGCAGACACTGCAGAGATCATCATCCCATTATGCAGATAAGAAAATGCCACATCCTGCTAAATCCCCTAACAGCATGAATGGGCAGGCTTACCCCCATTTCTCATCCTTCCCCAGATGCAACTCCTTACACCTGACAGCTGTTTTGCACCATCCCAGGGCCAGGAGGCAAGGACTTTGCTCCCGTGTGATTTTCCACTCGTGTAGCAGAGCAGGGAGAACCCAGCAGTCAAACACTTAGCTCTCAAGTAGACTGTACATGAAGAGAAGTAGCCTTGGGTTTTGTTTTAACCCTAAAGGATTGGCTTACGTCCCAGTATGTATGATAGATTTTTGGCTCTCCATTTTACACAAGTCTTTTTCTTAAGTTAACACATCATGCTTCCCTTGTCTATTTCATTGTTTCCTGGGATTCAACAGAGAAGAGAGAGGAGAAAGTGATGCAGTAGGTACCGCCGAGCAGCATGTCTCCCCTGGCATGCCTGTTGGAGCAAGCAGCATGGTGGACTGTTCGCCTGCCAGCTTCTTTTACATCACATGATGTAAGTGCTCCCCTGGTTAAGGATGGAAAAAGAGGCTGAGAAATCTTCCAGTCATGTTTGGGTTTATTTCTCTGCCACCTGAGTAAGTTTTCAGTAACCTTGGTCTTATGATTCAATTGTTCCGAAAGAAAAAAAGAATGATCACAGCATTGAGGGGTGATGGATGTTTAGAGCTGAAAGTTACCCTTCTCTGGGGAAGATTTTGTGAAAAATAGACTTGAGGATAAAGAGATTACAAAGCTTGGCCCTACAAGCTGTGCTTTTGCTGATACATTTGTCTAAGTTCCTTCATATCTTATGTTAACCTTTTTTTTTTTTTTTTTTTGAGACGGAGTCTCGCTCTGTCACCCAGGCTGGAGTGCAGTGGCGCAATCTCACCTCACTGCAACCTCTGCCTCCTGGCTTCAAGCGATTCTCCTGTCTCAGCCTCCCAAGTAGCTAGGACTACAGGCGTGTGCCACCAGGCCTGGCTAATTTTTGTATTTTTGGTAGAGATGGGGTTTCATCATGTTAGCCGGGCTGGTCTTGAACTCCTGGGCTCAAGTGATCCACCTGCCTTGGCCTCCCAAAGTGCTAGGATTACAGGTGTGGGCCACTGCACCCAGCCTACATCTTATGTTAACATTTAAAAAACCCAGCTCCCTAGATGAGATTGTCTTTTGGAAGTGTGTGATGTTATAATAGCTACCACTGTGGCCAAAAGTGGAGTGTTAAAACATGATAAATCCATCTCCTCTCAGATCACTATTTCAGAGACTGATAAAAACAGATTGTATTTTTTGGTTTACGCTATCATACAAAAATATATTTACAAAAAGTATAACTCAAGTTTTTAACCCAGTAAGCTGATCATCCATTTTATCATACTTTTCCTTTTATATATGTCATGTAAAAGGTTGATGGCCATGTTTAAATCACATCTGGTTTTCTAATAGCATATTGAAAAACATATTTTTTTACAGTAATACAAAGATATTTTATAGAGAGTTGAATATATGGAATGTAACTAACCTTTTAAACCAGGTATGTAGAGCTACCCTCTGGGAAAGAAATGGCAAATGGGTTTCACCTGAGCACCAGCCAAATGGCAGCTCATTGAAGTGTTATCTCGAAAAAGCTGTTCTGGGCTCAGCAAGAAGGGGTGCCAAGATTGATTAGTGATGCCGGCCATGGGAGAAGGACCAGCGTTTGGAGACCTGTGCACCATTTGTTTGCCATCTTGGCTATGAAGGAAAGAGGAAATACACCTGCTGGGAAATGTACATTTCACTGGGACCTAAGACTGTTGATATGTATAAAGAATTACTTTGATGGATGGCTTTTGCCAGAGCAAAGACTTGATTGATCATTTCAAATAGTTATAGATTTAAGAGCATTCTTTAAGATGTTTAATGCATAGCTGTGTCTAAAAGTGCAAGGATTATTCATTTTTCTCAACACGCTTACAGTGTTATTTGAAATTCTGGAATCGAGTCTGTCATTGTTACAGTAGTGAATGTCAGTCATGATCTTCCAATTATGTAAGCAGCTCACAAATAAGGCTTTTTCCTTGAATTCCATCAGCATTTGGGAACACTTCAGCCTGGTCATTTTCATTAATGTAGTTTTCATTGCACTCAAAGCAAATGTCATCATTTACACTAGTGATTATGATGCCCAAGGGGAAGCCATAAAGCCTGTCATATTTCTAAGTTCCTAATCTTAGAGAATTAGTGAGGATACAACTCCAGCAAAGTCATTTGTTTCCTGTTAAAGATAATGTAAATGGAAAAGCAAATGGGGATCATCCCTCTGGAGAAACCATGAGCTTGAGATGATTAATGTTGCAAAGAAATAACTTTCTTATTGAATAAATGTTCTTTTCATCAGAGTGAGTTCTATTAAATTGCAAAATTTAATTTCGGGTGGAAGAAAACATATCTCAATTATATCATAAATAGTGACAAATTTAAACATGTCTTTAGCCTATTGGCTACCAAAGATTTATCATTGTAGATCATTTTCATGTGTGTTTTTTAGTTATACACTATTCGTTTTATTTTTCAAATGGATGGACACTTTTATTGTCTACGGATTGGGTCCTTGAAGACATGGATTCACCAATAAGGGTTTTGGTTCTGGTTAACTTATACAGCCAGGCAAGTGAACAGACATGAATGAAACCCTCCAAGAATTTATTTGTTTCTACTACCCCTTTTCTCCCTTAGCGAACAAATCCATTCTCTGGGACCCTCAGCAAATTCATAGTCCAGTGTTTCCAGCAGCCATCTAATCATGATTTCATCACCTCCTCTGAACCAACATGAGCCCAGCATGAAGTCTCTTCTAACTCACACTCTTCTCCCTCTCTCCATAGGCATTCAAGGCATGAGGTTTCTGTTGTTGCTTGGTTTTGTTTTTTTGCTTTTGCTGTAAATTATGAAAGTGGCTTCCTTGAGTTACAGGAGGAAACAGGACATGATTTTTCCAAATTCTTACATTGCTCTTGGGAAAGGGCATGTGATCTTTCCTGCTTCCACATATCATTAGTCTTCGGTGATCTTGGGGACACCAGCCTAGAGCCATATGGGAGGTAAGGAGTTCCTCCTTTGGGATCATCGTTTTAGAAATGGGTGTATTCACCAAAGTGGAGAATTGTAACTTACGTACATGTGGGGCCTCTGGGAGAAGAGATGTGGAAGATGATTTGTCTTTATTCAACCCTAGTGGCCAGAACAATAGATCCTCCAAAAATAAATAAATAAAAAGCTTTCATTTATGTAGATATTCTAAGCTGAGTGGGTAGAAAGTGATCATTTACTCTCATTTGGCAGAGCCTCTGCCTCCTTTTTTTTTTTTTTTTTTTTTTGAGGCAGGGTCTTGCTCTGTCACCCAGGCTAGAATGCAGTGGCACAATCACAGCTCACTGCAGCCTTAACTCTCAGGCTCAAGCAATCCTCCCACCTCAGCCTCTCAAGTAGCTGGGACCACAGGCATACACCACCATGCTCTGTTAATTTTTAATTTTTTTTTTGTAGAGTTATAGGTCTCACTATGTTGCCCAGGCTGGTCTTGAATTCCTGGGCTCAAGGGATCCTCCCACCTCAGCCTTCTGAAGTGGCTCTGTTGGGATTACAGGTGTGAGCCACCAGCACAGCCTTCTTTTAGAGCCTGTGACAGGACTGCTTGTTGCCTATACGGCATCCATTCACTCTTGTTACCAATAATGTGCCCAGTGAAAAGACTTTATTGCCTGGACTGCCTTGCAGGCGAGGAGGGTGAGGGAGCACTGAGATATAAGCCTATGCTGTTGGGTGGAACTTTTGATATTTGATTATTCCTGCACTACCTCAAGAGAGAAATTTCTCCTTTCATCCCCTGTCAATAGGTTGTTGAGCCCTAAAAACCGGTCTTAGTTCATGTTCCTGCAATTGTAAGGCTTGCCCTTCTAGCGAGTAATTTGTGAAATGTTATTGGGAAATGGCGGGGGGTGGGGGGAGTCTTTTCCTGTTAACACAGCAGCATATAAAACACAGATGGGAAGATCCACTGAGGAGCATACTAATTTAAATCTAATTAAAACACATTGCCTTGAAAACATTTAGGTATGATAAATCCGAGTGTGAAGGTCACAAATTTCACCACTGTAGGTATCAGCAAGGAAAAATGTTGGCCAGGTTCGGTGGCCCACACCTGTAATCTCAGCACTGTAGGAGGCTGAGGAGGGAGGATTACTGGATGCCCGAAGCTTGAGACCAGCTTGGGCAACAGAGTGAAACCCCATCTCTACATAAAATTTTTTTAATTAACTGGGTATGGTGACACACACCTGTAGTTCCAGCTACTTGAAAGGCTGAGGCGGGAGGATAGCTTGAGCCCGGGAGTACGAGGTTTCAGTGAGCTATGATAGCACCACTGCACTCCAGCCTAGGTGAAACAGCAAGACCCTGTCTCCAATAAATAAATAAATAAATAAATAAATAAATAAATAAATAAATATATAAATAAACAAATAAATAAATAAAATATTAATCACCTAATAGTTACTTATAGCAATAGTGCTAGGTATAGGGAATAGAATCATAAGCAAGAAAGATATGGTCCCACTCCTTCTGGAGTTGACAGTCTAATGGGGAAGACATACAATAAAATAAGCAGGCTGGGCAAGGTGGCTCATGCCTGTAATCCCAGCACTTTGGGAGGCCGAGGCAGGCGGATCACCTGAGATCAGGGGTTCGAGACCAACCTGGCCAACATGGTGAAACCCCATCTCTGCTTAAAAAAATACAAAAATTAGCCAGGTGTGGTGGTGGGTGCCTGTAATCCCAGCTACTCGGGAGGCTGAGATGGGAGAATCACTTGAACCCAAGGGGTGGAGGTTGCAGTGAGCCGAGATGGTGCCACTGCACTCCAGCCTGGGTGACAGAGTGAAACTCCATCTCAAAAAATAAAAATAAAATAAAATAAGCAGTCAAGGTGGAAATGTACAGTTGTGCAGGCTGTGCACTGCCCAACTTCAGGGGACATTATTCACATAGAATGTGGTCTAAATGGTGCCTCCCCAACAACGCATGGCCTGTACCACCTTATGGTGGTGGCCCTTCAAGCAATTTTCTGAAAATGTGCTAAGTAATTGGTGACAGCAGATGTACTGAGCCATGGAAGCACCTGGCAACACCTCTTGACCTAATCTAGGTGGTTTCCTGGAGTAAATGACATTGCAGCCAAGACTTAATAATCAGCCTGAGTCAGGTATGCTAAAAGCAGGAAGAGTCATCTAGGCATCTTCTTCTAGTAGTTTCTCTTCTCAATCAGAGAAACTGCATATACCAAGGCCAAGGACCAGGGGTTCTGAGGCTGAGCTAACCACAGAACAAAGATAAGGGACATCTTGGCAGTTGAATTCTGCTGTTGATGTGGGAGTTTCATTTTTCTCGCTTGACAGACCCAGGTCAGCTGCACCCAAACTTTGTGGATTCCAAGCTGTTTTCTAACAAGGTCTCAGCAATGCTTTTCAATATAGTGCAGTTGATTCAAAAGCTTTGGCTAAACGTAACTTTCAGAGAAGATCCCCTCTCTTCAGACGGATGGTTCCAAAAGGTGGACTCCTATTCCTGCCACCCATCAACTTTATCAATTGTCAAGCATTTTGGTTCAGACAAACTCAATCTGATTATGACACTTCTCTGCTTAAAACCTTTTAATTAGTGCTTTAGGGATTAAAAAACAAAATGAAAGACATCTTGAGATAAAGTTCAAACTCCTTAGCCTGGCCTACAAGGTACAGTAATCTTCCAGAGGGCAGGGGTGATTTCTACATCATCACTTAGCCCAGTGGCTTACACGGAGTAACATTATGGAATGGATGGATGGATGGATGGATGGATGGATGGATGGATGGATGAACAGTCAGTCTTGCCCTGCCCACAATTTTCCCCTTCAATCTACTCCAATAAGAGATGACTCTCTTCCAGGCAGGGCATGTTCCTGTTAGGCCCTCAGTGTTCACAGGATATTGTCACTTCTCCCACAGCTGACTGACTGGTAAAGTTTTAGTCCCTGGCATTCTGAAATGGTGGCACTCCAGGCACAACCAACCAAAGTGTATCGTCTCAAAATGCCTGCAACCTGACACTTATCAAAACTTGGTTTATTACTCTAAAGGGAAAATCACAAAAGTATGAAAGGATGTATGCACAAAAAGATTTCCTGCAGCGCTGTTTATGTTTGGGAAAAATCAGAATGACCCAAATGTCCATGAATAGAGGGCAGGGCACATAAATTAAGGAATATACCACATGGTAGAATATGGAGCAACCTTAAAGTGGGGGAGGGGTCTATTGCATTCCATCAAATCTGCGATAACTTCATCTTTAAGATACATCATTATTTTATTTATTTTGTTTTTTGAGACACTCTGTCACCCAGGCTGGAGTGCAGTGGCACCATCTCGGCTCACTGCAACCTCCGCCTCTCGGGTTCAAGTGATTCTCCTGTCTCAGCCTCCCGTGTAGCTCAGATTGCAGTTGAGCGCCTCCATGCTGGGCTCATTTTTGTATTTTTAGTAGAGACGGGGTTTCACCATATTGGCCAGACTGGTCTGGAACCCTGGGCTCAAGTGATTCACTCACTTCAGCCTCCCGAAGTGCTGGGATTATTCTGAGCCACTGCACCGGGACAAGATACATCATTATTTTATGATAGTAAGAAAATGCTATCAATTAAATGACACAAGCTTTCTTATTCCCTTGAATTTTTATTTTCCACTAACTAGCTCTTTAAACATAGGCATATTTTTATTATATATTGCTCTTGTGCATACATGAAAACATATATAAGCATAATAAATTTGTTTGTATGTTCCTGAAAGTGCCTCTCATTTAGAGTCCAACCTTCCAGATGCTCATCAACTCAGAATCATCAGTGTCCATGGATTTCTATGCTATATTGTCCTCTCTGCCATCAAGAGAGTTTGGATGCTGACTTTTCAAAGAATACATTAAAAAGGTAAATCCATCAAGCTCCTGACTTTGCAGTTATGTAGGATTGGCCAACTTTGGACTTCGCAAATATTGATAAATCAGTTCGATTTCAATAAATCATCTCCCACACTCCTCCTTCAATAATTTTGCTTCTAAGGTTTAAAGAAAAATTCACCTCTTGCTCATGGCTTTTCTCCTAAGTCATTAGCATCCATTCTGAACCTTTTGATGTTTTTGTGAATGTGCCTGGAGCAACTGCTGCCTGGCCGGACACCATCACATGGATTGTAAGACGCAAATCAATTTCAGGCGTGCAAACGTTTTTTTTTTTTTTTATTAGGATCAATGAAATATTTAATATGTCTACAGCATGTTAAGGAGAGATAAAAAGCAAGTCTCAGAATAGCACATACAATAAGTACCTACATGTAATATGTATAAAAGTATGTATTACATCTATTTGTATCAGTATGAAAGGCATAAAGATGCCTAGAGGGATGTCCATCCAAACACTGTCAATAATCATGTCTAAGCCAGGCGCAGTGGCTCAAGGCTAGAATCTCAGCACTTTGGGAGGCTGAAGCAGGAGGATTGCTTAAGGGCCAGGAGTCTTTTTTTTTTTTTTTTTGAGACAGAGTCTTGCTCTATTGCCCAGGCTGGAGTGCAGTGGCGCAATCTTGGCTCACTGCAACCTCCGCCTCCCAGGTTCAAGCAATTCTCCTGCCTCAGCCTCCCAAGTAGCTGGGACTACAGGCCCATGCTGCCACACCCGGCTAATTTTTTGTATTTTAGTACAGAGGGGGTTTCACCATATTGCCCAGGCTGGTCTCGAACTCCTGAGCTCAGGCAATCTGCCCGCCTCGGCCTCCCAAAGTGCTAGGATTACAAGTGTGAGCCACCGCACCTGGAGGCCAGGAGTTTGAAACCAGCCTGGCCAAGCAAGACCCCATCTCTACAAAAGTTATAAATAAATAAATAAATAAATAAATAAATAAATTTGTTATTTTTACCAGATAGTGCACTTGGAATGATTATATTTTCTTTTTTGTATTTTTCTGTATATTTAGCACTTTTAAATTTTACTATAAATGTGTAGCATATTTTCAAAAGTAATAAATTTTTTTTAAGGAGAAGAGATAGTGTTTATGGAAAATTGCCCAAAACATATGGATTTCACTTGTTATCTATATAAGTCTACACTTAAGAACAAATTTTATGAGGTCTGTAATATCCCTAAAATTATACCCATACTTTTAATCTCCCTGTCACACTTAACATAAAATTTGAGCTCCTCCCCAGGATTTACACAACCTCATCCTGCCCACCGGGCTGATCTCACATGCCACCTGTGTTCTGCTGCCTCTCTCTACTCTCCACACATCCCTGCAGTCCCTAAACACACCAAACTAATTCTCCCCTGCCTCACATGAGCCTGACATTTAGGTGTCAGCTTAGCAAGGGAGGCCATTCCTGATCCCCTAACCTAAAGTAGGCTTCCCTTCATTCTCTCTCCCATAACCCTGTCTTGTTTCCTTTTGAGCACTAATTACTATCTGGGAGCCATCTCAGCTATGTCTTTGTTGCCTTGTTTGTAGTCTGTCTCTTCCCTGTGGGCAGGACCCCTGACTGTCATGGTAACTGTGAAATCCTCAGTGTGTGGGTTAGTTTGGCTCCTCAAAAAAGCAGGTGACAAAATGAGATCAGATGCAAAAGAGATTTACTGGGAGAAACACTGTGAAGAACCACAGGAGGTAGCAGGAGGAGGCAGGGAGAGCCTTCCCACCACAGTTCAGGTTGAACCCTATGAAGGGGGACAGGGAAAGAAGGGAGATCGGGTGGGAAGACTGTCAAACCGCAGTTCTAAGGCAGTTTCCTATAAGCCCATGGGATGTCCTCCAGCCAAAGTTGCCCATTTAAGGACTCTTGCATCCTGCAGTATTGGGTCAGCACTGTCACCTGGATCTACTGTGCTCCATCATTGGCAGGGACTGGGAGCAGCTCCAGGGATGGTGGCCTTGGTGCCAGTATGGCAGTGGACCCCGAATGGAGGGGACAGGGGCTCCCCACAGCAGGATACCTGAGCAGCCCATTTGCAAGGCTGCCATAGCCTGGAATAGAGTGAAATCTCTGCACACATTTGTTTTTAACAAATGAGTGAATGGAAAGTTTTCCAAAGTGGCCCACAACTCAAAAGAGGAACTACTACTCTAATATTCTCTCTGAGATAAGTTATATGCTCATACCACAGGATTTTTACTGTCACAGAGTTTCTTTTAATGAATTGGATGATAGTATTTTGACTTCAGCTTCCTTCGAATACTGATATAAGAAATATCTCCAAAGAATGCATTGCCTTTTGTCGTTTAAAAAGGCCATTGATGTACTTATCACTGTATCACCCAGTGCCTTCTTCATGAAGACCCAAGAGGAAAATATTCTTTCTAATCTCAGTACCAGGAAGAGTTATGCTTTATCTGGGTGACTGGGTTGTAAATTTATGTAATTGACAATGTGATCAGAGTTTGCTTTCTTTTTTTCTTTTTCTTGTATCTGTTTTGCGTATGCACCTGAAAGCTTGGAACCTAACTTGTAGTCCATTTTCAGCAAATGCCTAGGAACTCCTACAAATATTTCTGCATATTTCAACAAAATTGATTTTATTTTATTTTATCTTTAGAGACAGGGTCTCCCTCTGTCGCCCAAGTTGGAGTGCAGTGGCGCAATCATAGCTCACTGTAAACTTGAACTTTTGTGCTCAAGTGATCCTCCCCCTCAGCCTCGCAAGTAACTGGACCTACAGGTACCCACCACCACACCCAGCTAATCTTTATTTAAAAAAATGTTTTTAATAGAGACAGGGTCTCACTATGTTGCCAGGCTGGTTTCAGACTCCTGGCCTCCGGCAATCCTCCCACCTCGGCCTCCCAAACATTGGGATTACAGGCACGAGCCCCCTTGCCTGGCTCAAATATTGATTTTAGACCAGCCTTACTCGTGGGTTAATCCTATTTTCCTATCCTTAATTATTTTGCCCCAAGTTCACGACATACTTTTTTATACTTGATCTTCTTGTATTATATATATTTTAATAGGCCACTTTATATGCTTTGAAATATGGTGGGATCTGCATAAATTGTTTGTTGTTTAATGGTAAGCGTGGTACTATGGACCTGTGGTCTAGCCCCAGCCTTCAGCCTCACGTCCCACCCACCACTCCTCCCCAACCCTGTCCTGCTGCTCACAGCTTCCCTCTTATTCCCTCATTAGAGTCCTTACCACACTTTATTACAAAGATTCGTGTAGGGGTCTTGTCCACCCGGAAGCAGAGCATTTTTTGCAGCCCTACTGACTTAGCCATGTCAAAAAGTAAAATCTCTATTATGTCACCCAGTATCAACCTGAACCCTCTCCCTTCTTCCATCTTCAACACCCTCCACCGTTGATTGTGGAAAACTCTTTTTCCATTTTATTCATTTCTAAGTGGCTTGTAATTTTTATAGGTATAGTCTCTTTATCACTGGAGGAAAAAGGGATAAAGACATATTAAAAGCTATACCTGGGTTAATCTCTAAGAGATTTGAGACTTGTCCCTCCAACCATCATTTTAATAAAGCTTTAGAACATTAGCTAAGATGGAGCTCTACAACAGAGAATACTAAAAGAACAGTTAGACATTTATTTTAGTCTAGGGCTGAGAATGGAAGATCATATTATAGACAAATATTCACCCACACCAATTTCCTATATATATCTAATCAATAAGATAAACCAAGTAAGAAAGAATACCAAAAAAACAAGAATGTCCACATTAAAAATAGAATGGGTTCCATGACTAAACAGCTGAATCTCTTTATTACTAGAAAGTAAATGCATTTGACCACTGCAACATTAAAGAAAAATTCAGAGAATCTGATTGTGGACCAGTTGAGATTCATATGAAATCAAGAGAATGAGCAGACATCTTATTTAGAGTGATTGATGGCCCCTGCTGAGATGAGCAAGTGTGAAAAAACATATGCCACTTGGTTTTATGTGTTTTGGCTGCCAGATGGTGCCTAACCCCACCCCACTGCACCCCTGAACCACCCCTCACTCCCACCCATGTCAATCCCTGCCTCATCTGAAACTCTCTCTGGTGCCCGTAATCCACTCACCACCAGGACTGGAGTGGGGGTAGTGATGGGTGAGGCACAGGGATGAGGTTTAGATGTCCATTTTGCATATTACTGGGTAAAATAAAAAGTTTAAATTAGAATGATTTGTTTTCCAGGACACATGTTGATAGCATCTAAATGTCATCTACCTGTCTCTCCTACTAGAAGTTCACCTTTCTATTTCTATCACCAAGGCGGTTCCTGGAATAGAGTAGTTATGTAATAATGTTTATTGTATGAATGAATAAATAAATAAGCAAGTACATGATCAATTCATAATAACCCAGCAATAAAAGGGAATAAGGTGAATTTAGCATAAACTGGTCTCTGTGAATCCAGGCTTTCTTCCAGTGTCCATGGGTTATCTATGGAATAGGCTTGTAGAATTTGCTGGAAGATCCCATCAACCGTCTCATTTTGTTAGTTTTGAACCATACCCTTTTTGGTTCTTGGAGAGCTATGACATCACTTGCTTCACTCTGGTCTTTACTGCTCCTCTTTTTCAAAAGTTATCCCCAGTGGAATTGTGATCACATTTGCAGTCACTTTTCATTACCCAGATTATAGTTTGTCTGATTTTTACAGGCCAGACTCTCTTCAGGCTAAATACGCTTTTATTCATACTTGGAATCAAATCTTCTCATTAAAAAATGTATAATTTTATATTTTTACTATGAAAGTAATGTAACCATATTTCCCCCAAAAATTCACAAAATAGGGGTGAAGGGAGAAGAAAATTCACTCATAAGCCTAACACCAGGTTGAACGCAACCATGATTCAGATTTTGGTAAATTTCCTTCCAATGCTTTTTCCCAGAGAACTGTTTACATAGCTTCATGTGGTTGTGTTCACTATACATACATTTTTATTCCTTGATTTTGTTTAATCAGTCAAGAAAATATAAACTAATTATTTATAGAAAAATAGAAACTAATATTTATTTATTTTAACACTAATTATTCAGCAGAGAGAATTTGATTTTATGGAAAAGGAACCCTGAAATAAAACAGGCATAGTAACCCTAGGAAGCAACTCTCACCCCTGGGGCTGGAGGAAGAAAGGAAAGAAGTTGGGGTAATCGGAACCCAGAAGTGTGCAGGGGAGGGGTGTTGCAGAACTGGGGCCTGCGCTTCTGGGGAGGGGATGCCACCAGGGCTCAAGTTGACACTTCCAAGAGGAGGGGCGGTGAGGCTGGTTCTAGATGTGGCTACAAAGTTGGAGGCTGGAGCCAGTGCTGGTGAGACCAGCTGCTTGTCCAGAGGGAAGGGCCACGTGGGTATCTCTGCCAAGACAGGAAGCAGACAGAAAGGGGCATGTCCCTTTTCTGCATTCCTGCCTTCAATCTTCCTCTAGTGCCCTCTGTTGGTGGAATCAAACACGGAGCCAGCAGGCAAAGTAGAAATTTGATAGGCAAAGTTCCAGGTTGGGCACCCCAGAGCAACGTGGGTTCCAAGATGGAGACCACAGCTGAATAACCAGCCTATAGCTTGAGCTTTGTTTTCGTGTTACTACAAGCCCTACGTTTTGAGGGGCTGGGGAAAGGGAGGACAGGGGTCTTGCTCTTTTGCCCAGGCTGGAGTACAGTGGCACGATCATAGCTCGCTGCAGCCTCAAACTCCTGTGCTCAAGCCATCCTCCTGCCTCAGCCCCCAAAGTTGCTGGGACTACAGGTGCATGCCTCAACGCCTGGCTAATTTTTTTTTTTTTTTTTTTGTAGAGGTGGGGGTCTTATGATGTAGCCCAGGCTGGTCTCAAATTCCTGGCCTCAAGTGATCATCCTGCCTCAGCCTCCCAAAGTGTTGGGATTACAGGTGTGAGCCACTATGCCTGATCCACAGCTCACATTTTTCATGACCGTGCCATATTTTGCACAGTGTACTTCAGTTTTTAAACCATTTCCTTATTGTTAGATTCTCTAGTATATGGCCAAGACTTTGCTTTTGAAAATAAAAATCAATGGAAATCGTTGGGCACTTGTGTTGTTTTTTTTTTCTCACTCTTTCAGGGTAAGTTTTCAGAAGACTAATCTCTCAGTCAAAGGGCATGAAAAGTGTTATGACTTTTACTTGAGAATGCCAAATTGCCTTTCAAACCTGTTGTTTCCATTTCTGGTATCACCACCAGCATGGGAGAACAGAGGACGATGTTAAGAAAGTTAAACCCTGGGCTGGGCGCGGTGGCTCACGCCTGTAATCCCAGCACTTGGGAAGCTGAGGCGGGTGGATCACGAGGTCAGGAGTTCGAGACAAGCCTGACCAACATGGTGAAACTCCGTCTCTACTAAAAATACAAAAATTAGCCAGGCATGGTGGCATGTGCCTGTAATACCAGCTACTCAGGAGGCTGAGGCAGGAGAATAGCTTGAACCCGGGAGGCGGAGTTTGCAGCGAGCCGAGATCATGCCACTGCACTCCAGCCTGGGCGACAGAGCAAAATTAGTCTAAAAAAAAAAAAAAGAAAGAAAGTAACTTAAATCCCACCACATCTACAGACAATGCTGTACTCTTGTATGATTCCAGACATTGCCTTTAATCCCCAAAGCCTTCCACTTTGATTTTGTAAACAAATAGATAAACAGACAGACACTTTCTCTATATAGCTTACAGCAATTTAAGCCCTATGTCAACACTTTTGCTAACATTCTAGACTAGTGTGTAGTGATTTGATTTGCAAATTTTTTGGCATGCACCAGCTTTTTGATTTAGGCAACTCAGTTGAAGAAACTTCTTTTTCCTTTTTCTCTTCATCTTTAATTGTTCCTTCAGCTCATGCACCACAGGGGCTCAGCCCTCAATAAGAGCAGAAACTATGCAAAGGAGTCCAGGTCTTGGAATGATGGCCTGAATTCTCCTAAATCCGTAGGATTAACTACTGCAAGCTGGGATCCATCAGTTGGTGAGTTTGAAGATAAAAAATAAGGAGGTTAATTTAAATATAAAACTCATGATGAGCTATATTCAAAAGCAGGCTCACTTTTCCCAAAATGATTTAAGACAGCACAGGTAACTATCTCTGCTTTTGAATGTATTATTATTATTTTTTTAATTTTTTTTTATTTTTAATATTTAAAAAATATTTTATTTTATTATTTTTTATTTAAAATTTTTTATTTTCTTTTTAAAATATTTTTTATTTTTTAATTTTTTTTATTATTAATTTCTTATTTTTATTTTTAATATTTTTAATATTATTTTTAATTTTTTTTAAATATTTTTATTTTTAATTTTTAAAATTTTTAAAATTTTTTTTAATATTTAAAAAATAACCTTGTTACATTTGCTTTCTTAAGATATTAGTGATCTGGAAGACAGAAGTCTGTAAGGGATTCCTTAATGTCTTTGGATAGTGACATTTTAAAATATGTCCTGCATTAATTGTCCAGGAAAGGGTGGCAAACATAACATGGGAAAACAGGCCTACTCTGTGTGCATATGTGGGCGTGTGGGTACTAGGAAAAATTTATAAAATTTTATTCTTTATGATAGTTAATCTATATTACCATACAATGAAATATTATTTGATTCTAGACCTTTATAACGTTTTTTATTTTAGACATTTGTAATTTAACAGATGAGAAAAAATACATTTGAGTCTCATTATTTAAATCATGAAATATATATAAATATAGACCCACTATATATCTACACACATCATACCCACATGTATATATGAAGGGATTTGTATTCACAAACGATATTCCTTGGAGGGCTAGATTCTGTTAATAGATGACCATTTCCACTTCCTTTAATTAACTTTAATAAGACAGATTTCATGTAGCAGTTTGTTCTATTAAATCTAAGTCAACTCCTCTTGGCTCCCAAATTTATGATCTCTAATTTCAGCACAGCTCATATTTATCAAAACCATGAAAATGATGGCCTGAGTTTCATGGTGACTTATGGTGTGTTGTAAAGATATATTCTTTGTTTCATCCTTTGGCCCAGGGAGGTTCGGGGAGCTCTGCTGAGGGCTTTTCTTTTTCTCTCGAAAGGAATGGGAGAGAAGGGGAGAAGCTCAGGAGCAGCCTCTGCCTGCAGCCTCCATGTGGCCCATAGACTTCTCTCAGTGAGGGAGTGCGAGGGCATGAGGTGCAACTGTTATCATTTATGGCTCTTCCCAAGTGACAGGTTAGTTACCAACACAGCCTGGAGAGATGTGTCTATGGCCAGAATTGGATTTCAGGGCTGATGACCTTACTCCTTAAATAAATAGAGAAACATTTGGAGCCACTTTTGAGGGACAATCACGATTCTGCAAATATGTGGTGGAAAAGAAAGAAGGAGGGTGGGAGAAAATAGAATTAAGGTCCAGTGTAGTGGTCACAGTTATAATCCCAACTACTCAGGAGGCCAAGGCAGGAGAATCGCTTGAGGCCAGGAGTTTGAGACCAGCCTGGGCAACATAGCAAGACCCCATCTTTACAAAAAATTAAAAAATTTGGCAGGCATGGTGGTGCACACCTGTAGTCCTAGCTAATTGGGAGGCTTCAGCCTAGGAGTTCAAGGTTACAGTGAGCCATGGTTGCACTGCTGAACTTCAGCCTGGGTGATAGAGCAAGACCCTGTCTCTTTAAAAAAACAAAAAAGAAGAAGAAGAAAGAAAGAATTAATGACTTCACAGGCAAGCTCCTGGAATGGTCTGGAACATGCAGCAAATGCTACAGAGTAGAGCTCTTAGGAGAAGGTGAGTGGTGGAGAGGTGGGGAGGTGAAGGAGGAGCAGAGTAGAGGCAACAGAAGAATTCAGGAGAAAACACTACCTATGCTTGCAAAGAAGATGCTTGCAAAGAAGATACATTCTGGCGATGCACTTGTGTTGTCACAAATGTTGTCAGAGGCCAAGGTGATACAAGGAACCTAAGAATGCACTTTGGGATGAGAACAAAGGGAGGATTATGGCATTTTTAAAATTTCTAAATGCTAAGAAAATAGAATTGAATGAGTTAACATATGTAGGGTGTAAATATCCTCTGTTTGCTACTGTTATTAGAAGTAGCGTCATATGTGCCAGATAAGGAAAAGAGACGGGAGGAAGGGGAAAGGCTAAGATGTGAGGACCGAGGCTGGAGAGCAGGAGGAAAAGCTCCAGGTACTCAGCTGTGTTAGGTCACAGTGGGGGTCTGGGCCACAGGGAAAGTTGCTAAGAAAGTTGGCCAAATATGTGCAGGTTCTGAAAATAGGTTTTTGTTTGTTTGTTTCTGTCACCCAGGCCGAGTACAGTGGTTCGATCTCAGTTCACTTCAACCTCTACCTCCCATGTTCAAGCAATTCTTCTGCCTCAGCCTCCTGAGTAGTTGGGACTACAAGCATGCATCATCATGCCTCACTAATTTTTGTATTTTTAGTAAAGATGGGGTTTTGCCATATTGGTCAGGCTGGTCTCAAACTGCTGACCTCAAGCCATCTGCCCGCCTCGACTTCCCGAAGTGCTGGGATTACAGGCGTGAGCCGTTGTGCCCTGCCTGAAAATAGGTTTGACAGGGGCACCCAGGCAGCCCTGGGCTGATCTTCCTTCTGGATCTCTCTGGAGGAGGTAGGGCAGAGCCTAGCAATCTTTTCAGAGCATCCACTCATCATTCTAAAAGAAGAATCTATAATTCCACTGTCACCCAGCCCTCTCCTGCCTGCTGCCTCCTATCCTTTTCATTTGGGACCCCAACTTTTGTTCCACAATTGAAGATGAAATCTTAAAATGTAAATCCTGCGAATGGACAACATCTTGCCTAAAACTTACATTCACTGAATATAATGGATTCACCTGTATCTGTAATTCATTCTTATTAGAATTTGAGCAGGGCGGTGAAAAGTCTTGGCTTTGTTGTCCTACAGAATTGGATTTACTTCCCAGGCAGTTAAGTGACCTTGTGTAAGTTACTTAATCTTTATGAGCCTAATTTTCTTCATCCATAAAATGAGGTAATAATAATACTACGCTTAGGATTGTTGCAAGGATTGAATCACCTATTATATGTAAAGGAGTTAGTACATACTGTGAAGTTAGCATGTACTAAAGCTCAATGGGCATAGCTGTTGCAATGGTGGGCGGGTTGGAAAGCAGGACGACACTGACCACAGGAGGGGAAAGGGTTAAGGACACGATGAAGACCCCAGTTTGGCATGAGGCCAACCTGTCCAACTTCACTTTGTACAGCCAAACCCTTGGGATCTGTAGCAAACTTTGGTCACTGCATTATGTGATGCTTAACAATGTCACCCATGTGACTTATGAGGATAACTCATTTTGAAGGCGTTTTATCCCCAGAAGCATCCTCCACTGAGGTATGGAGGCCTAGAGAAGGGAAGGTGTTATGGTTTAAGTTTCAGGCCTGCTCAATTCAATCTCAAACTTCAAGATGTCTGCGTGAAGTTTCTGAAGAAATAGAAACCCCTTACTAACTCAGATAATTAAATGGTATAAATACCGCACCTTAGAAGACCTTAAGCGAGATCGTTTGCAGAAACCTCCAAGCTAGAGGGGGTATTCCCACTCTACAATGTTGGCACCTGTTGGAAAAGCCCCAGCATGTTCTCAGTGCTCCCAGCCTGCACGCCAAAATATTTGCCTCAGTCCATATCTTGCTGGTCATTTCCCTTCCTCACCTGTTCCTGATTGTCCAAGGCCATGGCCCTAGACCTGTTTCCTGACCCTCTGACCTGTGGACTTATACTGTTTCCATTGAGCTGAGCTCTAGCTTCCTTCCTTAGCTCCACTTTGGACTGCCCCTTGATCACATTGCTTCATGGTTGCTCCAAAATGGGGTCCAGCCTCTCCCCGGTACCAGTTCCCATGCCAGAGGGTGCTTCAGGTTTACTCTGCCTCCAGGAATGAACCCCAGACCCACATCATCTTTTATCCTGTAAGAACTGAATTTTAAGCCACTTGAAAAAAAACTAAGACTTGAGAATTTGGTCATTAATGAGAACATAAATATGGATCATATAGCTAGAAAGGGCATGTGTACATAAGAATTGACCTCTCTAGGCATGCACACAGTGAAAATTAGACCTCACTTATATATAATTAAAGAACAGTAACACAAAGTAGACCTTTGCATATGCATCAGTCAATCCAATATTCAGAGAGAAATTCGCTGTAATTGGTTGATTAGAAATGGGCAACATAAAGATGATGTTAATGACTTCCCATCAGCTCACGTGGTGTTCCAGCCATTCCTTGTAATGACATTCCAGACACCCTGTCCACATGCCAGGATATGCAATATTTTCTGAATACTGTTCTTTTTTACAGATGAGGAAAGTGAAGCTCACAGGTTAAATACTTGCCCAAGGTCACAACTTACAAATATTGGAGCTGGAATTTGAACCTAGGTAATCTAGCTCCAAATTCCATGTTCTCCACATATCCATGATGCTACCTCTCTAAAGAAGGATTTCATTCAAACATCCTGTAAGTATAATTATTTTTACATATTTGCTTGCTTTATAGGATTCTTCAAGCTGGGGGTGAATTTACTGGACAAGTGGTGCTGCCTTATTCAACATGGTCATTGACTATTTTCAAATGCTAGTAGAATAAAGTGTTAAGGAACACTTCAGAAATACAAGGAATCCAGGCTTAGCACTTGCAAGCTAAGGAAGAGTATAATTTATATCAAATGTTCAATAGTTTCAGGGTTCTAACCTCTTATTCATATTTGGGCAACTAGGTAGAAAAACCTAGAATTATCTATCCCTGGATAGATCATTACCAGATAATTACCTATTACCTAGATAATTACCTATTACTAGAACCTTCAATCACTGGATTTTTTTAACCTATTTTCATAAAGAGGTCACTATCAACAAAATACTCTGAGAACCTGAGTTCTCTCTCTCTCTTTTTTAGAGCAACTTCTAGTGGCTGTCTTGGGTTAGTATTGTTTAGATGCAGTCTTCTCTATCCAAATGATTGTTAAAGTGAGGACTTGAGTTTCTCCCACAGTTTCCATTTTGTTATTTGGACTGTGTTTAACAAGTCAGGAAAGTGGACATGCATGCTCGATAGGTTCCAAAAAGCACTGGCTCTGAAACAAAAAATCAAGAACACTGTATTCCCTGAAATTTCTGATCAAATACAGTTTCACTCTTGATCCAAATGTATTATATTTTATTAGTAAAATTAATGAGAAAAACATGTGTGTACCTACTCTACATTCAGTGTTCTATGGACATAGGTTTCCATGGGTGTCACTTTCATGACACTGTTCAATAGCTATTAAGGATCTCACAAGTTAGGAACACTCAGTTAAGTGTAAGGTCAATTGAATTCTAATATCTCTTGAGCCCCATTCATTGCAAGACTTGGCCAGGCAAGGTGATATGAGTGAATCAAAACTATTTAAGACACGATATAGGTGACTACAACATAAGCAAAGCAAAGGGACACAACACCAGAAAACTCAGAAATACGTAATGCAGGTGTGGTAAAAACCTGGTGACGCACGACCACACCCATTCCCACATCCATGACAGACATTATCAATCAATCGCAGCACTCTTTCCATGAGCCCAGAGTTAGCCTTGAGGAATGATACTGCACCTAATATCTCTCTCATTCACTTGCTTTTCCTTCTTGAATAAGACAAAATGAGTAGAGTTATGAAACTATACCTCGGAGAGTTAAAGAAACCAATGATTAACAGAAATTCTTGAGCTTGCAGGATGACAGATTTTAAAAAGCACAACTTATTAAAATGCTGAAACTCTCTCCACTTGTAAGATAACAAAACTGGCTAAAATTGGTTGGGACCAATATGGCTGACTGGAGTTTGTGTAGAATTAGCTTGCTGATGTCATAGCCTGAATTTCCACCATGTGTTTCATACCAACTCCCCCTGGATTTGCGCATGGGACCCATGAGGAGGCATGAAGAGAGATAATTGTGCATGCCCAAGAACTTTCCAAATCTCCTCTTTCCTTCCACCAGTCACCTTCTAATCCTGAAATCCATCCCCTAAACATTTTCTAATAAAATTACTGCCTGAAAGCCAGGACAGGGAGACAGATTCGAGATGGTCTCCTGTCTCCTTGTGAATTGACTTGCAATAAAAAGCAATTGCAATAAAAAAGCAATTACAATAAAAAAGTCTTCTTTTTTCAAAAACTTGGCGTTGTTGTATTGGCTTCTAGTGAATCAGGAAGCAAGCCCCTTTTCCTCACTCACACTTCTAGCTATCAAGCTGGGAACACCCACTGGATCATGTATGTAAACATCAACTGTCACTGGTGTCACAGTAATGAAAAAAATAGAGGCCTTTTGTGGGGCTCTGTTTTTAAGTATCTATGGTTTTCACATTATTCATTTAAAAAATTGTGGTGCATTCATTTGCACAATTTTGGATCTTTATTATTAGTAAGAAATTACTGCATTCCTCACTACACATTCCAACACACCAGTTTGTTGAGACACCTCCCTTAAGAACAGCTGCTCTAGAGGCTTAAACTCCAAAGACCATTCCAGACCAAGGTGAAAGAACAAGTGAACTAAAAAAAAACTCCACCACAACACATTGAGAAGGGACCAACCCTATCCAAAGCAAATTATTCCCTTCCCCTCCACATTCCTGAGCAGCTATGCATGTTCTTCCTACACTTAGATGCTTACAATTCTTGGTCAAGAAGTCAATTATGACACGTAAGAGCCAAGACGTTGGTTTTTTTCTTTATGGACACCCCTCCTGAAATGTGAGTAACAAGGTGTGGCTGTCCTTACTGACAGCATCCTGTGTTCTCACCCTGCGCCAGTCTTGGCGAGTCTCAGAGCATTTCTCTTCCTCTCCAAGAGAAAATCTATTCCAGGAGGCATCAGTGAGAAGTAAGAGACTTCACTGAAGATTCTTTAGGGTGGAGTCGGCTTTATCTCCAGCACCTAAAACATACACTGGCTCACCAAAGGGGCATAGCAAGGAATAAATGAATGAATGGAAAATCAATAAAAGTCCTCATTGCACCTGTGGGTCTGTTTTGCCACCATGTTGACTAACCCAAATTCTGAGAATGCCTCTAAGATTTCTTTTTTTCTCTTTTTAGAGACAGAGTCTCACGCTGTTGCCAAGGCTGAAGTGCAGTGGTGTGATCACAGTTTACTGTAGTCTCAGACTCCCAGGCTCAAGGAATCTTCCCACCTCAGCCTCCCTAGTAGCTGGGACTACAGGCATGGGCCACTGCACCTGGCTGATTTTTTAAAACTTTTTGTGAAGACAAGGTCTCACTATGTTGTCCCTGCTGGTGTCGAAGTCCTGGCCTCAAACAATCCTCCCACTTCGGCCTTCCAAAGCACTGGAATTACAGGCATGAGCCACTGCACCTAGCCTGCCTCTAGGATTTCTACTTTCACATATACTTCCTGTAAATCCTGCCCTTAGGTCAAAATAACCATGCTGTTATCATAAACACACACTTACCATAAATCCTGCCCTTAGGCAAATTCCCTATAGTATATAAGCCCTGGGTCTGCGGGGTAACCGTGCAGTGATCCACCATCTCATGGCCGCCTGAGACATGGCTTCTGTTCTTAAGTCCCTGTTAAATATTTCTCTCTGAGAAACTGGATTTATCACCCTCTTTCTTCAGCTTCTCAGCTCCCTGGGCCTTTGGGGTAGGTTTGCACAGACCTGCTCATCCAGGAACACCCTCCTGGAGCCTCATCTCATTCCCTTTCTTTCCCGTTTACAGCTCCTCTATGTGGGTCCTTCCTGATTCCAGGGTCTCCCCTCACCACCCTGCCATCCGATACCCCCCTCTCCTCTGCAGAGCTCTCCCCAGAGATTCCTCCAATCTGTCATCTTCATCCCCAGCACTTCACTCTGCAAACAGCCCTCTTAATTTTGGGGCCAGTTTTTTTTTTTAACTATTTTCTTTTATTTCAAACATTTTTGAGGTACAAATTGTTTTTGGTTACATAGATGAGTTGTATAGTGGTGAAGTCTGAGATTTTAGTGCACTGAGGGCCCTCTTGAGACTCCCCGCTTCCTTTGAAAGCAGCAAGAGATTGTAAATAACAAAGTACTTTTCCTCTCACAAATAAAACTTTCCTGTCACTTGTATATTTGTCATTGTTCTGCTTCCAATAAGCAGCCATCTCTTAAAGGGCAAGGGATCTTATCTGTTGAAATCCAATGTGATCTGTGTCATTTGTGGATGTGGAGGGAAGACGGCTATTAATGTAATACTCTGCATCGAGCAGGCTCTTTATGTTTTTGGACTCTCAGAACAACATGAAAACCTCAGAAATATCAATATGGTATCAAATGGAATGTGTTGCAATTAGAAGGAATTAAATTCTTTCCTTGTTTCCCCATAGACAGGGTCCTCTTAGAAGTAGGATATCATGAACTTCGAGCAAAGAAAACATGAGTTTTCTGAAGACAATAATCTAACAAACACAAACACATTAACTTAGGCAGACTTCACAAAGTTTCCTTAATTCTTTCCAGTAACAGGCAAAGAGAAAGAATTCCTATTTTGCTAGCTCCTTCGTTCTTTTCTCCTACCTCTTCTAAACTTTCCCTATCCCTTGTACCTTTTCCATATCTACCCTACACACATGCGCACGCACACACACACACACACACACACACACACACACACACACAGAAACATAGAGAAGGTATGTTAAGATTACCTGGTAGAGTACTCAACAAGAGTCAAAATTGTATGATTTATGGCTGAAAATCTATTTTTCTCTAACAATTTTCTCCTTTAAAAACCAGTTCCAATAGCTCGGCTTCTTCTCAAATGCACTTTCTGCGGTAATATTTTATATCTCCACTCCCTTCCCTGGAACTTCATTTTTATTTGATTTTATTGACGCTGCTCTATTGGAATGTGTATCGCTTGAGCCCCCATGGAGAACTGAGCAGGTGTGAGTAAAGCAAAACATCTTTTGTTAATAGAAGTTCACCCTGGGAGTTCATGGAGATGCGTAATTTCAATTGCTTTTATGAAAATTCTGTAAATTCCTGTGTTGTGAATTTTGAACAGAGCTTAGGAGACCAACAGTCTTTAATACAAGCCAAAGACATGCTTATTTCTATAACTGAAATAAATGTTCTGCTTACTTTCTTCCAAAAAAATAAATGCAGGTATTTAATTGGAATGTTTAAGCTGTAGAAAATCATATTAACTTTGAGTCTGGCTCTTGGAGCCAAAATGGAGATCTCACTGTGATCAGCCTACAGGAAGATGACTTTGGTTTTCCTGCGTAACTTCTTGAAGCATGAAGAAGAGCTTACCCCACTTTCATGTGGGGTCGAGAATGACTTCACAACTGCATTGTCCATTCCCTGCTCAAGTCTTTGTACATATTTATATTTAAAAACCTAGAGAATGTGAACAGCATCCCCCAACCTCTCAGCTTGAGGGGGTGTTGTATTATTATAATTCTCTCTGTGTGTCTAGCCCTCTTGGATTCACTGCCACAGAGACTCTGGGGGTGAGGTTAAGCCTAGCTTTCTTCCTGGTTTGGGGCCAGACATGTATGGTGTTGCACTCTCCTAAGCTGGAAGGAAAGACGTAAGCTTGGTATATTATAAAATTGCATGTGTCATTAGCAAAAGATGTCAGAATGCTTTATTTAAAACTTTGTTTTCTCAGGTTGTGTTGCCCAAGTGTATCTTGGCATAGACAACTTCAGCTTCAAAAATTCCAAGACGTATAAAGAGTTTCACATAGCTGAGGCTATTATAGTTGGTTATATGCCACTAACACCTTTTCCCCCTTCTTTCTTACTGAGTGAAGTGATGACTGCATTTCTACTAAAAATTTCATTCTCTTCTCCTGGCAACCACAGGGTCTATTCTTGATGGGATCATTTATCTGTTCCAAAAAGAAAAATGTGGCATTTGCTATGGTGTGGGATCTTTGAGGGTTTCTTAGATAAAGCCTTTAGAGTAAAAGCTTTCACTATTCTAGGACAACTTTCAGAAGAATTATCTAGCAGCCTGCCCTGGTAAACTTGCCAAATTGCTCGTACTTGGCTAGAAACCATGGGCAATCTAAGGTCCATCTTCCCCCTGTAGAGCAATAGAGTGTCTTTGGCTAGGAGCTAAGCATACTCATTTGATGTTTGGGAGAGTTTTTCAACCTGAAGATAAATTCCTTTAAAGGATTTGTTTTAACTGACAATTAGACAGCTTCATATCTACTTATGCTGAAATGAAGGTCACCTATAGAGAAGAAGAGAGATGCCTTTTTAAACATATTCCCTCGTGGTTTCTGATGCTACCTGGCAACTGGGTGGTGAACTAACAAGGGCTCAGAGTATTTTACCCTCCTACTTCTCCCATCAGACTCTTACAGAGCATTGCTATTCTTTTTTAAGTGTAAAGAACTTGAGGATGTTCCAGTACAGCCCAGAAACTTCTTTGGGAACACAGTCCTTATGGTCAGGGACTAAGTCTAGTCTCCCAGGAAGGTCCCAGCCTATGCTGATGACCTCAGCACATACCAATGGAACCCGACTGGACTGAGTGTACTCACATCTGTCCCCAGAAACCTTGCTTTATTTCCACAGCTACATTACCTCAGCCCTTCAAAGTTGCCACAAGCAATGTTGGAATTTAATGTCGGTCCCCTTGGCCACAGTGAGTAAGAACAGTTGCTGAAAAATAGCAAATGGGTGTGGAAAAATTAAGCGGGGGGATATTCAATAATCAGAGGGTGCATGAAATCAACAGAGTAAGAGATGTGCCATGATGCTCTCAAAAGTGCTGAAGCCATCCTGCCACCAATACTGACTGCAAGTGTCTTGGGACTGAAATATACCACTAAAATGGTATGATCCTTAAGAGAGGCTATGCGGTGAATGGGGCTGTATGAAATAGCAGGAAGTGATTCATAGGCTCAGGTGTGCCTGGCACACGACTCCCCCAAGTCACCTGCTCACCTGCCCAGCCAGAGTTCAGTGAATGCAGGCATATAATGGAAAAGATGGGCAGGGTGGTGAGAGTTACGGAACCTGAGTTCAAGGTGCTGCATGGGTCCCAAGCCTTTAGGTAAGTCATTTTCATTCTCAAAGCCTCATTTCTCACTAGCAAAATGAGAGGTCTGGACTGTCCAGCATCCAGCTTTTTGGTCCCAGAATAGAATCTTCCTGCACATGTTTGCATAGTGGTACTGCCCATGACCCGACTATCTCTTTCATGCCCAGCAGGTCATGCAAAGGGAGCAGCAGTGATCTGTTAAGTTCAATAAGTATAGTGGGCTTCTGGGAGGAAGGTATCAGGGAGCCAGAACTTTAAAGAGGACACCCACATGGGGCAGAACAGCCAAGACCAGCTGCTGGCTTCACCTTCTACCCAGGAAAGGAAGAGATTAGTTCTGACATCTCATTTCTCTGGCAACTCAGCTGCAGGAAACAGCACACCTAACCACCCAGATCCTGTGCTAGTGAGGAGCGGGTGTTTTTCAGCTGTGTCCTTACAACACCCTTCCAGCTCATGCCTCACCTCCCTGTTGGCCACAGAAATTCTGAGTTAAATTATTTTACTGTAACATGAATGCAATCCTGTAGGTAAGCAGGTTCACATTTATACCTCATTCCCATGCAGCAAAATAGCGATTGTGTGTCTCAGGGATATTATTATTGTAATAGGTTTATTCAATTACAGCACTATGGCTTGTTCTTGGATGTTGAGTATTCATAGTTCTTGAAAATAATTGGAATCTTGTTGTCATTTAACATCCAGGTACCCAAATTTCTAGATAATAAATAGTAAAACTGAAACCAGGCATTCTCCAATATTAATATGTAGAGGAATGTTAAAGTTTTGGAGTGTTTCTTAATATGCAGATTCCCGAGCCATGCCACCAAAAATCCTAGGTTAGAAGATCTGGAGGAGCCTGGGAGTTCGCACTGTAAATGGGTACACTAAGTGATCCCAAAATTGGTGGTGGGAGGAGACGCAGCTGGGGAGATACTGATCTCAGTCCCACCCCTCTGCCAGTTTCCCTTTCCCAGACGCCTGTCTCCTGTTTCAGACCTTAACTGGTTCCTCCTGAATCAGCCAAACAAGTCTCCTTCCTGTCTCCCATCTCCAAACTTAGTGAACATGGATTTCCTGGGCACCAAGTCTGAATTCACAAGCAAACATCACCCCACCTGACTCAAGAATGACCTCCCATGAGCCTGAGTTCTAGACTTTCCTGTTCCATCCTTTGGATTTCCCATTTGCCTGATCATTTGACTGCAGGGAGCTCAAATTAGTACGCTGAGTGTTTCTACTTGCTACATTATATTTCATCACCCTAATATTTCTCCTGGAAAATGCCTTTCAGTTCTAGCATGGGATTCTAGACTCTTTTCTCCCCCAGGAAAAGGCTTTAGAGACTCCTTGGTCTCTCCACACTTCCTAGACATGGGAGTAGGATGTCTCACTCCCAGAACCTAGTGAGCAGGTCCGAGAGAAGAAACTTCCCCAGGGATGGGGGCAGGGTTGTTGCAGGGGCGCGGCCTCCAGATGGCCTCCCCTGGGCTGCTTTTCTGCCTTGGGTCCATTAATTCATTTTCTTCCAAGAATTCTTGGGCTTGTCCCATTGCTTTGATTTCCACTGAACCCACCTGTTTCTTGGGATCAAGGTTTCCTTCCTTCTCTGGCTCCTAAGCCTTGGGATCAGCCATAAATACCCTCCTACTCTCTGACTCCTGAAGTAAGCCACAATCCTTTAATCCTTTTGAAGTTGGAAACAGCTGGAAACAGGCTGAGGGTAAAAAGAGCAAACAGAGACCCATGGATGTTAAGTACAAAGTCTCCCTGGCCACTCTGTTCCATCAGACATATCTCCATGTAACTGAAGCCTGAGGTCAGGGTGCTTCCCGGGACACCCCGCCTTCTTGGGAGCCCCTCACAAATCCCCTCTCCCTGAATCCCAGACTTGTCTTCCTCTACCGGTCTCTCTCTCTCTCTCTTCAGTAGTCCTTCTCCTGATTTCATTATGTTATTTATTTCATTTCATGCTTCCCTCCACCTGCCCCACCTCCACAGGAGAGAAGAAAATTGGAACGGCACTATTGATAGGCCTCCAAAAGATCCCAAGAAAGATCCCTTTACCTTGTAGAGAAGCAGACTGTTCTCCCAGTATCAACTTCTTTTTGTTTTAAACCCAAAAAAGTCCACATTCTCTTCCTCCCGGGAACCAGGGCTGGCACAAAAGCATGATAGGACTTTTGGAGCTGGCATCTGAGAGGCACTGGAGAACTGGCGGGTGATGGCACCCACTGGCACTCGACCAGGAAGCGACATTTTTGTCTGTCCACCATGCTGCCCTTCCTCTCTGTTTCATGTCACAGAACACTTTCCCACAGATGGTCTCTCTGAATTAATATCTCTGTCCCTGCCTGAGGGGAGGTTCATCTGGCTCATTCAGGGGTTCACCATGAGCCCACAGAAGGAAGTCACATCCACATCCACCTATGTAGCCATTCTGGCTGCAAAAGTAACATTTGCCAAGGCTGTTCCATGTAGCCATTCCATGGGCAGCCTCAGGAGCTGAAAGCCTGGGTTCAAAGCCCAATTCAACACTCATACAACCCTCAGCAAGCCGTTGAAATAAATTCTCTTTGCCTCTGTTTCCTCATCTGTAAAAGTGGAGCAGTAAAAACCACCTTATAAGGATTGCTGTGAGAATTAAGTGGGTTAACCCATAAAAGGCACTTAGAACACTGCAAGGTATTCATCGTTGACCTCAGTTCTTTAAGTATAAACCCCTCCTATTACTAGTTCACCTCCACCTATCTGCCTTCTTTGCTTACTCCTCGGCTCCCTCAAAAATCGCCAGTTCAATCCAAGTTGTAACCTTTTCCAGACAGTCAAAAGCAACATGTTTCCTAGTAAGTTGCTTTGGAATTTTTCTAAACATGTATAGAAATTTTAACACCTTTTTGATCACATTAGATAACCTAAATGCAAATTCACTCACATACAATTGATCAATAGGTAATGAGGTTAGGAGAACCAGGAAATTGTTTTGGTTCATGATCTTTCTCTAGGAAAGGGGTGTCATTCTAGCAGCAATAGAATTGTAACCTTCATCAGCAAGAGTAAAAGAAAACCCAGATTGATTACCACACTGGCACCTATAAACAATTATTATTATTTTTGCTTTAAGTTCTGGGATACACGTGCTGAATGTGCAGGTTTGTTATGTAGATATACATGGGCCATGGTGGTTTGCTGCACCTATCAACCCGTCATCTAGGTTTTAAGCCCCACATGCATTAGGTATTTGTCCTAATGCTCTCCCTCCCTTTGCCCCCCAATCCCCAAAAGGCCCCAGTGTGTGATGTCTCCCTCCCTGTTTCCATGTGTTCTCATTGTTCAACTCCCATTTATGAGTGAGAACATGCAGTGTTTGGTTTTCTATTCCTGTGTTAGTTTGCTGAGAATGATGGCTTCCAGTTTCATCCATGTCCCTGCAAAGGACATGAACTCGTTCTTTTTTATGGCTGCATAGTATTCCATGGTATATATGTGCCACATTTTCTTTATCCAGTCTATCATTGACGGGCATTTGGGTTGATTCCAAGTCTTTGCTATTGTAAATAGTGCTGCAATAAATATGCATGTGCATCTGTCTTTATAGTAGAATGATTTATAATCCTTTGGATATATACCCAGTAATGGGATTGCTAGGTAAACGGTTATTTTTAAGCAAATAAACAATGCTGGCCTCTGGGGCACCCTCTGTAGAGAAGTGAAGCCCAGCCTGTGCTGTGAGGCTCTCTTCTTGTGGCAGATAGATGCCTCGGGACCCACCCTACCAGCAGCCCAGAGCCTCCTTCACCTGCCCCATTGATTCTCATGTAAATGTGGCCAGCATAGCCACTCTATTGCTACATGGTGGCATTTTCTAGCTGCACTGAGCCGTCTATCTGGGCTCTTAAGGTTATTGTTCCTGGAATCAACCAATTTTTGTTTTTATACTGCTCTGGTTACAAAGTTGCATAGTTTCGAGTGGCCTGCTCCAACCATAATTTTTCCTAAATTTTGTTACTTTAGTACACGGTTTTGCAGAGCACAAGGTTTTGTAAGAAAACACATATCAAGTTAAAGCAGAAACACCTGTATTATTATCCCTACTTTGAAGACATATCTCAGTGTATCCACATTTTCTTTGTAACTGGATTTCCAGTCCTTATGTTAAGTCTTGAAATTACCACAAAGAAAACTTATGGGCTCATTTGTTTGGAAATTAGATAGTGCTCTAATACTCTTTCACCCAGGTAGTATTGATCCAGTGCTGACTGATTTCTAAGATCAGTTGAAGATACTGTCTAGACTTCAGTTTTTGAGCTACATGATTTATTCAGAAACTGAGCATGCCCTCTCTCCCTCCCTTCCTCCTTCCTTCCTTCCTTCCTTCCTTCCTTTCTTCTGTCACTCTTGGAGAGGAGGGCTAATTTTATTAAAACCTATTTCTTGACAGCACAGTGGATCATGCCTGTAGTCCCAGCTACTTGGGAGGCTGAGGCAGGAGGATCACTTGAGCCCAGGAGTTCAAGGCTGCAGTGAACAGTGATGGCACCACCACACTCCAGCCTGGAAAACAGAGCAAGACCCCTTCTCTTAAAAAAAGTTTTTGTTTTTACCTGTTTCTTAGTGATTGTTTTATTTTCAGTGTTGTCAATATGATATATCATACTAAGAGAATAATTTATATTCCTTGAAAGAGAAATAAAGAAAAATGATATTGCATAATGTGAATTTAGAGAGATTACTTAGGTGTTCATTTGTTTGGATATTTCACATGTAAGGTCCCCATTACCTTGCCTTGTGATATGTGATTCATTTGCCCAAAATGATGATGACATCAAATCAAAAAACTTAACTGATGTTCATACAGAATATACCCCTTGCTCTGAAATCCATCCAGATCAAATCCTTGTTATGGCCAGGCTCAGTGGCTAACTCATGTAATCCCAGAACTTTGGGAGGTCGAGGTGGGTGGATCGCTTGAGGTCAGGAGTTTGTGACCAGCCTGGCCAACATGGTGAAACCCTGTCTCTACTAAAAATACAAAAATTAGCTGGGCATGGTGGCAGGTGCCTGTAATCCCAGCTACTCAGGAGGCTGAGGCAGGAGAATCGCTTGAACCCGAGAGGTGGAGGTTGCAGTGAGCTGGGATCGCACCACTGCACTCCAGCCTGGGCGACAGAGCAAGACTCCATCTCAGAAAAAAAGAAAAAAGAAAAAGAGAAAAAAAATCCTTGCTATGTTAGGTTGGTGCAAAAGTAATCACGGTTTTTGCTATTAAAAGCAAAATGGCAAAAACCGTGATTACTTTTGCGCTGACCTAATAACATTTACACTTACCATTTTCTTTACATTATTTAATTTAAAAATCATCTCAATATCAAATAAATTAGTAGCCTATGTTTATTAAATGCTTATCGTGTGCCAAGTCCTCTTCTTTTTTAAAAAATGCTTTTATTTCCATAGGCTATTGGGAAACAGGTAGTATTTGGTCATATGAGTAAGTTCTTCAGCAGTGATTTTGAGATTTTGGTGCACCCATCACCTGAATAGTATACAGTGAACCTGATTTGTAGTCTTTTATCCCTCACCCCCTTCCCACCCTTTCCCCCTGAGTCCCCAAAGTCCATTGTGTCATTCTTATGCCTTTACATCCTCACAGCTTAGCTCCCACTCATGAGTGAGAACATACTATGCTTGGTTTTCCGTTCCTGAGTTACTTCACTTAGAATAATAGTCTCCAATCCCATCCAGGTTGCTGCAAATGCCATTAATTCATTCCTTTTTAGGGCTGAGTAGTATTCCATCGTATATATATACATTCCAGTGGTAACTAATTTATCCTCAAATCGCCTCTTAGAAGGTAAGTGCTCAATTTTCAGGAAAGGAAACAGAAGCCCAGAGGGGCTAATGTGCCTAAGGTCAGGCAGCTAGTGTGTTGTGAAGCAGACACTGACAGCCCAGCACGTGGCTCTGGAGCCTGCAGCACAAATGTCTCCGCCCCTCAGCACTACCATGCTGCCCTATGGAGGGAGAAATATCATTTCCATTTATGTAGTTGAAGAAGGTGAGGCTTGGAGAGGTTAAGTTCCTGTTCCAAAGCCACAGGTGTTAAGTGGTAAAGCAGGAATTTGAGCTGAAAACACACGCACTTGACCTCTTGGGTCCCTCCTGAATTTTATGCCCCTCTGTTGTTGCAGGCTCCTATAACTTCATGTCTATTGTCCCTTGAATATTTTTAAGGCTTCAGGCAGAAAAACCTCAATGCATTGCACGTATTACTTTTAAATTTACATATTTATCATTTATTTCTAAAGTGTATGCAGAAATATCTGGTTGAAACAGGAGGTCTTTAGTAAAAAGACATCAATTTGAAAGAATTCTCAAAAAAAGTTCTCAAATGTGTGAAGACTTTTTTTCTCCATTTAAAAACTATTCGAATGAACTGGGCAAAAGACTGGCTATTCCTGATAACTTTGCGATTCCTTCCAATTTCTCTTTAAAGTTCTCCAGGAAGATAAACAAAAAGATTAAACGGGGAAATGAAAGCTGAGAAGATCATATGCAAAACACCAGCCTGATTCTCCACTCTCTGTATCATTCAAAAGGGATTGTATAGAGCTGCACATTTTTTGGATTAAAAGTTACACACTCCACAGCCCGAATCAAAACAGGACAGATGCTCCCAGAGGAGACTGGGCCTGCTTCTGAGTCATGCGTTCTGTTACTGTGAAACATCAGGTTAGCACTAACCAGAAAAACAGACAGATTCCCCCACTTTTGAAGTGGTCAAAGCCAGATTTCTGCTGTCCACCCACCAGTTAGCATCTCCTGTTTTGTTTTAGTCAATCTCTTCTACTGTTCTTCTTTGGCCAGAGTGGTGGTAGAAGGTGGAGGGAGGGAAGCAAGCAGGGAGTACTGGAGAAACAATTTAGTAGCTCCCACTGGAAGAAGCCACTCACAACATGCAGTTCCCAAAAGAAAAGGGATCCAAATCTAACCCTCTCGCCCAGGAGATCGGCCCTATATAAATCAACTGACCTGGGTTCTATACAGCAGCCTTATCCTCCACCCTGCATAGGAAAGGGGTGCTGCCAGCATCCACATCCCCTTTCTAAGCCAGAATCTCCATCCCCCACGTGCTATGAGCTGAGCCACTCTCGAGAGTTGACAGGAGCTGCCTCACTTGGAAATGTAATGTTCATCCAATGAGTGACACTGTGCAGAAGCCCAGACCCTTGCTTCAAGGGAGGACAATGCTGTGGGGTTGTTCACACTTCAGAGCTCCCCATGGGCTCAGACTGAGACCAGACTTCAGCTTAACCCACAATAGCATCAAGCTCCATCCTCGGCCACATGCTGCTGTGTCTCTTACAGGTTTTACCCCCAAGCGCTGTCTCACCACGTCACTGCACAAGAATCCCCATCCCACGGCCAGGCATGGTGGTTCACGCCTGTAATCTCAGCACTTTGGGAGGCTGAGGTGGGCAGATCACTTCAGGTCAGGAGTTTGAGACAAGCCTAGTCAATATGATGAAACCCCATCTCTACTAAAAATACAAATATTAGCTAGGTGTGGTGGTGTGCACCTGCAGTCCCAGCTACTGGGGAGGCTGAGGCAGGAGAATCACTTGAACCCGGGAGGTGGAGGTTGCAGTGAGCCAAGATCACACCACTGCACTCCAGCCTGGGTGACAGATGGAGACTCCGTCTCAAAAAAAAAAAAAAAAAAAGGAAAGAAAGAATCCCTATCTCAGGCTCTGCTTCTCAGAATACCAACCAAAACTACTACCCATTTTAGGTACACTTAGTATCTTATAAATAAAGGTGAAACAAAACCTTCCTATATGTATTTTTTTATTTTATAGATTTCAAATTAAACTCCAAAAAAACACAGAGCCAGGCTGTTTTGGAGTTCTGAAAATGCATTGCCAAATTATTTTTCTATAGGGATTGTCCCAGTCGTACTCCCTCCAGCAATGTTTCAGAGTTGAAGCCAGCACTAGAGCTCACCAACGGTCCAAACCAATAAGGTTATGTTATTGCTGCTTTTATTTGTATATCTTGGATTGCTAATGAGGTTGAACGTTTCCCCACATTTGTCTACTAATTGCACATCTTTCTTATGTGGATTTCAAATTTGAGAAGAAAATTCCACGTCGACTTTCCAGAAGTTTCAACACCATGAGATTAATTTCAATGTGTGTGAGGGCTTTTCAGTTCCATGAAAGACAATTCCAAGTTTAAAAACTGGGCAAAGTCATCAGGACTGTTTTTCCTGTGTAGAAAGGTTAAAGTAAAACAGATGTGAAACTCGCCTCCAATCTCTTTTCTGACTGTATTATTTGTCAGGGGATGTTAACTCTTGAACGTACATGCACAAGAATGCTGGAGAAATGATTTAATAATCATCCAACTTACATGCCACGCCCTTTTACTAACAAAAGCAAACACATTAATTAAATAAGCATAATTGTGATAAGTGACTGCCTTGGCCTTATTTCCTCAGTCCACGGCAACTGCTTCTTGTCCTGTTGTCCTTCTCATTTTCTTCCCTTTATTCTTCTTCAAGTGCTCTGAAGGTATATACTCCCCAAATTTCGGTCCCTGTGCCTTTTGCTGTTTCCTCTTTACACTCTCCCGTGGCAATGTGTTTTGTTTTGTTTCGTCTTGCTTCTGAGACGGAGTTTCGTTCTTGTTGCCCAGGCTGGAGTGTAATGGCGTGATCTCGGCTCACTGCAACCTCCGCTTCCTGGGCTCAAGCCATTCTTCTGCCTCAGCCTCCCGAGTAGCTGAGATTACAGGCATGCGCAACTACGCCCGGCTAATTTTGTATTTTTAGTAGAGATGGGGTTTCACCATGTTGGTCAGGCTGGTCTTGAACGCCTGACCTCAGATGATCCACCCACCTCGGCCTCCCAAAGTGCTGGGATTACAGGCGTGAGCCACCGCGCCTGGGAGGTAATGTATTTAAAGTGTGAGATTAAACTATCTGGAGGGATTTTTCCAGATCTTTCCATCTTACCGAGGACTGTCAAATTCCTCAGGGTTCCCCACAAAGTAAGCAGTGCTCTCACATGGGAAGAGAACCTTCACACTGAGGACACGCACTCCTCAGTAAGCACTATTCAGGAGGAAATGCCACAGAGATAATATGGTTGTTTCTACATCATTCCCGGACCACCATCTGCACACTGATCTGCTGTGTCAAGACAGCTTGTTCTCCACAGCAATGAACTTTTTGTTATGCGCATGAAACAGGAGTTGTTAGACAAATTTGGCCGGGTGTGGTGGCTCACGCCTGTAATCCCAGCACGTTGGGAGGCCAAGGCAGGTGGATTGCTTGAGGTCAGGAGTTTGAGATCAGCCTGGCCAACATAATGAAACCCTATCACTACTAAAAATATAAAAATGAGCCGGGCATGGTGGCACATGCCTGTAATGCCAGCTACTAGGGAGACTGAGTCAGAAGAATCACTTGAACCCAGGAGGCAGAGGTTGCAGTGAGCTGAGATCGTGCCACTGCACTATAGCCTGGGCAACAGAGCAAGACTCTGTCTCAAAACAAACAAAACAAAACAAAACAAAAAGAACAACAAGAGTTGTTAGACAAATTCTGCCCAAGGATGTGTGTTTCTGGCCTGTGTTAAGTCTAAATTACAGTGGACCCTTGAACAACGCGGGTTTAAACCGGTCGATGCATTTATACCTGGGGACCTTTGTTACCCCGAGACAGCAAGACCAATCCCTTCTCTGCCTCCTCCTCCTCCCCTTAGCCTACTCAGCATGAAGACAATGAGGATGAAAACCTTTATGATGATCCACTTCCACTTAATGAATAGTAAATGTATTTTCTCTTAGGATTTTCTTAATAACATTTTATTTTCTCTAGCTTACTCCATTTTAAGAATACACTATACATATAATACAGGTATTAGTCTGTTCTCACACTGCTATAAAGAAATATCTAAAACTGGGAGATTTATAAAGAAATGGGGTTTTTGGCTCTGCAGGCTGTGCAGGAACTATAGCAGCTTCTGCTTCTGGGGCAGCCTCAGGAAGCTTCCAAACATGGTGGAAGGCGAAGAGGGAGCAAGACGTCTCACATAGCAGGAGCAGGAGCAAGAGAGCGACTAGGGAAGTGCTAACACTTTTTTTTTTTTTTGAGACGGAGTCTCACTCTGTTGCCCAGGCTGGAGTGCAGTGGCACGATCTTGGCTCACTGCAACCTCTGCCTCCCAGGTTCAAGCGATTATCCTGCTTCAGCCTCCCAAATAGCTGGGACTACAGGTACGTGCCAGCATGGCCGGCTAATTTTTTGTATTTTTAGTAGAGATGGGGTTTCACTGTGTTAGCCAGGATGGTCTCGATCTCCTGACCTCGTGATCCGCCCACCTTGGCCTCCCAAAGTCCTGGGATTACAGGCGTGAGCCACCACGCCCAGCTGCTAACACTTTTAAATGCCAGATCTCGCGATAACTCACTCACTCACTCACTATCACGAGAACAGCACCATAGGGATGGTGTTAACCATTCATGGAAGACCACATCCACCATCTAATCACCTCCCACCAGGCCCCACCCCCAACACTGGGGATTACAATTCGACATGAGATTTGATGAGGACGCAGATCCAAACCATATCACTACATATAGCATACAAAATTATACGTTAATTGATTGCTTATGTTATTGATAAGGCTTCTGATCAACAGGAAGCTGTTAGTAGTTATGCTTTTGGGGATTCAAAAGTTATCTATAGATTTTCAACTGCATGGAAGTCAACACTCCTGACCCCCACGTTGTTCAAGCGTCAACTCTACTTGCCAATCTAAAACGGGGAGATCTCATATCCAATTCCTAGCTTCTCTTAAAAAAAAAAAAAAAAAGCATCTGACCATATTCGGCTCCAAATTCCCATGTGGCAAGGTACTGGCCTCTCTCTTTAATTGAGGCATGTAGTCTACAGTTTACTACAGTCCCCATTGCTCTCTCTGGCCTTCAGCCTCCATACTTTTTTGCCTCTTAGTACCCTTTTTTCCTTCCCTTCCTTCCTTCTTAAACATCCTCTTGGCCGGGCACGGTGTCTCACGCCTGTAATCCCAGCACTTTGGGAGGCCGAGGCGGGCGGATCACCTGAGGTCGGGAGTTTGAGACTAGCCTGACCAACATGGAGAAACCCCGTCTCTACTAAAAATACAAAAAAATTAGCCGGCCGTGGTGGCACATGCCTGTAATCCCAGCTACTCGGGAGGCTGAGGCAGGAGAATTGCTTGAAGCCGGGAGGCGGAGGTTGCGGTGAGCCAAGATCGCGCCATTGCACTCCAGCTTGGGCAACAAGAGCGAAACTCCGTCTCAAAAAACAAAAAAACAAAAAAAATCCTCTTTCCCTGGCTGGGATTCTCTCTCTTTATGCACCCTTCAACTTACACCTCTATGTGGCGTGGTCTATTCCATGGAGAATGCTGACTGATGGTACTTCTTCTCCACAGCCTCTACTGACTGCCCCCACCAAGTTAATCCTTGACTCTTCCATATTTCTTCTCTGGAACATGTATACCTGCATGTGTTTACCTATAAACATTGGGCAGCAAATTTACATTGAGAGACTAGAATACAACAGACACTCTGTGAGGGGCTTCACATATAAAATGCTCCAGGGCAGCATGGAGTACATAGTTGGTGGAAAATGCCAGGATCACAGGTTGTGCAGGGCGTCATGGGAGGATACAGGAAAGGCCACTCCATCTGAACCAGACTTCCTGGAGTAAATGACTCATTTGATCTGAGATTTGAAGGACAAGGAGAAATTAGCTTAGCTAACAAGTTGAGGAAAGGTGAATTTCAGGGAAGGAAAGCAGTACCTGAGAAGGCACACAAGCCTAAAGTTTGGCTGCAAGAAAACAATATATGTCATTTATCAAGCCTATCATGCTGCTTTGTTTTCATAGCCAGCAATGCAAAAATTGAGGAAAAAGTTTTCACAAGCATAGTCAATGAAAACTGGATGAGGACATGCAAAGCTTTCTCACTTATTTGGGGTTAAATAAGAACCCATTTTATCCAAAGCTTTTCCAAATTGTTTTCTGGAAGTTGCAATGAAATTAAATCTGATTCCCCAAATCTCCTTGTGGGGATCGTTTAGCAAATAAAAAATGTCTAAGTGAGTAACAATTTCCTTCCAAACTTCCAAATGAAATTTTTTGCTATAATGTCACAAAAATTATTACCTGAATTTATCTTGCAGGCAAATTAGATGATGTTTTACATTCTTTCCCCCATGAAATCACTTTCAAGAATTAAGTCAGAAAGAGAAGAGGCCAATTTTAGCAGCAATTTGCTCTTGCTGTAGCTGGATTTTGGTTAAAACTGCCTGAAGTAAACTTAATACACACTAATATCAGGATCCACCTCTTAAAATTTCAGGTTCCATGTACAAAATTCCAACTGAATCTGCCAAATATGCAAAGCCCCAGTGAAAGGTATTAGTTTTGACAGTGTGAAGTTATTGGTAGCTTAACACTCTGAAAATGAAGTACCTATATTCTTTGGCCAAATATCTTTCCTTGTGATAACTTGGAAACTTCAGGATAGAACATGAGAACTTTGCCATGAGCATTCAAGTTCTCACAAAGCAAGGCATGTATTCTAATACTTTCCATGGGATTGACAACCTTGATAATAATATGAACAATTCTCTTAGATTGCCAGGCAGGGTTTTGGATGCTTAGCAGTGAATACCTGATTTTTTTCCTGTCAAATTCCTCACTGTGAATTCCACATTATTGGAGCAATATTAAATGCACATTCTTATCAAGTTTTTAAAAAATTTAATTATTTTATTTTTTTAGAGGCATGGTCACTGTCTGTCACCCAGACTGGAGTGCAGAGATAACAATCATAGCTCACTACAGCCTCAACCTTCTGGGCTTAAGCAGTCCTCCCACTTCAGCCTCCCAGGTAGCTGGCACAAGTGGCATACATACAACACCATGCCTGGCTAATGTTTTTATTTTTTTTTGTAGGGACAGGGTCTTGCTATGTTGCCCAAGCTAGTCTCGAACTCTGGGCCTCAAGTTATCCTCCTGCCTCAGCCTCCCAACATGCTGAGATTACAGGCATGAGCCAGTACACCTGGTCCTGTTATCAATTTTTAATATCTCATTTGTTTGGAAGAATTTTGACAGAGCTTCAAAGATATTATCAGGTTTAGTTGTAGCACCAAAGGCTTGAGAAAACAGCTCCTTTTATTCTGCATCCTATTTAACCACAAGTCATGCAGAAACACATGGTGTAGCCCAAAGTTCTTGGGGGAAATCATAAGATGCATCAAACTAATGATAAGAAAATGCAGGCCGGGAGCGGTGGCTCATGCCTGTAATCCCAGCACTTTGGGAGGCCAAGGCAGGCAGATCACCTGAGGTCGAGAGATCGAGACCATCCTGGCCAACATGTGAAACCCCATCTCTACTAAAAAATACAAAAATTAGCTGGGCATGGTGGTGCATGCCTGTAGTCCTAGCTACTCGGGAGGCTGAGGCAGGAGAATCACTTGAACCTGGGAGGCAGGGGTAGCAGTGAGCCAAGATCACACCACTGCACTCCAGCCTGGCCACAGAGCGACACTTCATCTCAAAAAAAAAAAAAAAAAAAAAAAAAAAGAAATGCAATGATTTGATCTTTTGCAGAACTCAAAGTGTGATGTCAGCAGGTAAGACATTCTAACGTGTGACTGTAGATTAAAAGAAACATTCTGGAATAGCTTCTACATATCCACTCAAATAAACTTGTGGCAGCACTCAGAACACATAGTTCTTTGAAAATTTCTTCAGCATTGTGAAATTTTCTTCTCCAGTGATTAAAACGGCTAGTGATATGGTTTGGTTCTGTGTCCCAAATCTCATCTCAAGTCGTGATCCCCATGTGTTGGGGAAAAGGCCTGGTGGGAGGTGATTGGATTGTGTCCGGAATTGATGGGTTCTTGGTCTCACTGACTTCAAGGCTGAAGCCGCGGACCCTCACGGTGAGTGTTAGTTCTTAAAGACTGCATGTCCGGAGTTTGTTCCTTCTGATGTTCGGATGTGTTTAGAGTTTCTTCCTTCTGGTGGGTTCGTGGTCTCACTGGCTCAGGAGTGAAGCTGCGGACCTTCGCCGTGAGTGTTTCAGCTCTTAAGGCGGCGCGTCTGGAGTTGTTTATTCCTCCCGGTGGGTTCGTGGTCTCGCTGGCTTCAGGAGTGAAACTGCAGACTTTCGCGGTGAGCCTTACAGCTCATAAAGGCAGTGTGGACCCAAAGAATGAGCAGAATCAAGATTTATTGCAAAGAGCTAAAGAACAAAGCTTCCACAGTGTGGAAGGGGACCTGAACGGGTTGCCCTGCTGGCTTGAGCAGCCTGCGTTTGTTCTCGTGTCTGGCCCCACCCATATCCTGCTGATTGGTCCATTTTACAGAGAGTTGATTGGTCTGTTTTACAGAGAGCTGATCGGTCTGTTTTGACAGGGTGCTGATTGGTGTGTTTACAATCCCTGAGCTAGGCACAAAAGTTCTCCACCTCCCCACTAGATTAGCTAGATACAGAGTGTTGATTGGTATATTTACAAACCCTGAGCTAGACACAGAGTGCCGATTGGTGCATTTACAAACCTTGAGCTAGATACAGAGTGCCGATTGGTGCATTCACAATCCCTTAGCTAGACATAAAGATTCTCCAAGTCCCCACCAGATTAACTAGATACAGAGTGCCCACTGGTGCATTTACAAACCTTGAGCTAGATACAGAGTGCCGATTGGTGCATTCACAATCCCTTAGCTAGACATAAAGATTCTCCAAGTCCCCACCAGATTAGCTAGGTACAGAGTGTCGACTGGTGCATTCACAAACCCTGAGCTAGACACAGGGTGCTGATTGGTGTGTTCACAAACCTTGAGCTAGGCACAGAGTGCTGATTGGTGCACTCACAATCCCTTAGCTAGACAGAAAGGTTCTCCAAGTCCCCACTAGACTCAGGAACCCAGCTGGCTTCACCCAGTGGATCCTGCACCAGGGCCGCAGGTGGAGCTGCCCGCCAGTCCCGCCCTGTGCCCACACTCCTCAGCCCTTGGGCAGTTGATGGGACTGGGCGCTGTGGAGCAGGGGGCGGTGCTCGTTGGGGAGGCTCGGCCGCCCAGGAGCCCATGGCTGCACGGGGAGGCTCAGGCATGGCGGGCTGCAGGTCCCGAGCCCTGCCCGGCAGGGAGGCAGCTAAGGCCCGGGGAGAAATCAAGCACAGCGCCTGTGTGGCGGCACTGCTGGGGGACCTGGCGCACCCTCCGCAGCTGCTGGCCCAGGTGCTAAGCCCCTTACTACCTGGGGCAGGGGGGGCCGGCCAGCGGCTCCGAGTGAGGGGCTGCCAAGCCCACGCCCACCCAGAACTCTAGCTGGCCCCCAAGCAGGCAGGCATTGCCTGTTCCCGCCCACACCTCTCCCTCCACTCCTCCCCACAAGCTGAGGGAGCCAGCTCCAGCCTTGGCCAGACCAGAAAGGGGCTCCCACAGTGCAGCGGCGGGCTGAAGGGCTCCTTAAGTGTGGCCAGAGTGGGCACCAAGGCTGAGGAGGCGCCAAGAGTGAGTGAGGGCTGCGAGGGCTGCCAGCATGCTGTTACCTCTCGGGATCATGGGGGCAGATTCTTGCCTTGCTGTTCTTGTGATAGTGAATTAGTTCTCATGAGATCTGATGGTTTTAAAGTGTGAAACATCCCCCCTCACTCTGTCTCTCCTGCTGCCATGTAAGACGTGCCTTGCTTCCCCTTCACCTTCAGCCATGATTGTAAGTTTCCTGAGGCCTCCCTAGCCATGCAGAACTGTGAGTCAATTAAACTTTTCTTTATAAATTACCCAGTCTCAGATAGTTCTTTATAGCAGTGTGACAACAGACTAATACAGCTACTTTATACAAAATCTTTACAGCCATTACATCTTCTGCATATGTTCCCATATTAATATTATATATGCAGAGAATTGCACTCTATAATAATAAAGCCTACCCATATAAAAATAAGGTTTATGTAAATTGGATTTAAATGCATTAAAGCTAAGCGAGGGCTACATAGTTCCTTTGACTGGTGTTTTCTTCACATGAAACACACTGAGGAAGTTGAATCCCTGTTGCTTGCAATATACCTGGATCTAACTTTGATATATAAGTAAGTCTCATCAGATTTGTGTGTTTGGGCTGCCATCTTCAGCTGCCTTATAGAAGAAAAATATTAATGAGGGGTATTTTCAAGAATGCCAAGCTGGTTTTGAAGAGTAATTAGTGCTGCTAATGGCAGTTGCTACATGACTGCCTGGTTTCTTCTCATATCTGAACCTTATAAGCACATTATTTGTTCATTCTATGAGTACAAATATGTTACAGGTCTAAAATATGCCACCCATTAGAAACCCAAACGTCAATATCATGCAATATACCATGTAACAAACCTGCATATGTGCTCCTTGAATCTAAAATAAAAACTAAGTCTGGATACATTGGCTCACATTTGTAATCCCAACAATTTGGGAGGCAAAGAGCGAGGATCACTTGAAGCCAGGAGTTCCAGACCAACCTGGGCAACATAGCAAAATTCTCTCTCTACAACTTTTTTTTTTAACAAACAGCCAGGCATGGTGATGCATGCCTGTAGTCCCAGCTACTTGGGAGGCTTAGGTAAGAGGATTGCTTGCATCCAGGAATTTGAGGCTGCAGTGAACTATGATTGCACCACTGCATTCCAGCCTGGGTAACAGAATGAGGCCCTGTCTCAAAAAATAAAATAAAATAAAATAAAATAAAATAAAATAAAATAAAATAAAATAAAATAAAATAAAGTAAGATGCTACCTTCTAATAGAGACTTAGGCTAGGTTTAAAATATTTTTTATGATTCTCTGATTTTTGTTGTTGTTGTTTATTCAGATGGAGTCTCGCTCTGTCACCCAGGCTGGAGTGCAATGGCACGATCTCAGCTTACTGCAACCTCCACCTCCCAGGTTCAAACAGTTCTTTCGCCTCAGTCTCCCCAGTAGCTGGGATTACAGCCACCCGCCATCATGCCAGACTAATTTTTGTATTTTTGTAGAGACGGGGTTTCATCATGTTGGCCAGACTGGTCTTGAACTCCTGACCTCAGGTGATCAGCCCGTCTCAGCCTCCCAAAGTGTGATTTTTAAATTTACTGTTGGACTGAACTCCATTGTTAAACAATATAAAGATACATAAAGAAAAAAGAATCATTCCCCCAGCCTCTCTACAAACTAATCCCTCTGATGTAAATCAAGTTATCCATCTACCCTATTCTTCATGTACCTATAAATGTATTCATACTTACATTAACATACACACAAACATGCAATGTTTTTATCTTATAAAATAAAATGGTATTATATTGCACATTTTCTTGCAACTTGCTTTATCACTTAACAGTTTCTCATAGATGATCTAGCTGGTCCATAGATGGATATATAACTCATTTTCATTTTAAAGAACACCATAAACTAAGATTCTGATTTAATTTGCATTAAAATAGAGAAGTTTTTTATCATACTATATTTCCATCCAGTAACATGGCATAAGTTTTCATCTATTAAGGTTTACTTTATATTCTTCAAGAAAAAAGATTTGCATATAGACACTGTAATTTTTTATTAAATTTTTTTAGAGTTTTTTTTCTTGGCTGTTGGGAAGAGGGCTTTATTTTCCATTTATATTTAACTACTTTTTGTGAGTATGGTAAATTATATTATTTGTCATTAACTACTCCCTCCTTGGTTAGAGGACTATACATTCATGCATGTTGGGTATAATTTACAATACCTTCAGAGATGAAGCATGCTTCCTCCCCCAATTTGGGCTGGCCATGGGATTTGTTTTGGCCAATGAATGTGAGTGGATGTGACACAAGTACATCCAAACAGAAACTTTAAATCAGCTCTGTGATTTCTTTTGGCCTCTTGAGCTTCTGCTCCATGACATGGAAATGTCCAGGTAGGGGCTACTTCTTCAGTCTAGATCCCAGAATGAGACAGCTTGTGAAGCAGACCTCCTACTGACCTCCTACACAGCATGAAGCAGTGTAGCAGCCAACTGTGAAGAACTGGGAAGGGTCTCATATTTCGCCTTACTTTCAAGCCAACATGTTAACTTGCCAGTTTCATGGATGCTGAATGAAGACACTTGGGTTAGAGACAAAACACTTGATTACAGCAAAAGCAGTAGTCAGAATGTCAGCATGTCTGTTTTGGTTCCCTGAGTCTTCATTTTCAGTGATGATGTGAATAGGCCCAGATGGATGCCTGAACAAATGCTGGGTTGCGCTACAGGAAAGGAATATAGAACTTAAATTCCCATGATTTCATAGCAAGTAGTGAGCAAGCCAGCTCTTTGTCCCAGAGGTAAAAATCACCTCCTCCCTCGAGGTTGCTTGTTGTAAACATAACCCTGAGAAAAGGCTGGGTAGGAAATGATTAGGCCCTTGCATGCTTAGCACACCCAGCAAGATGTGTAGGAAAAAGAGTAACATATGGAGGAGAGTTTCCCAACACCAACCATCAGCCCTCATGTAAAGTTAGTGAGAAATAAACGTTTGCTCTTGTAAGCCACTGTGGTATGATTGTTTTGATACACAACAAAGTTGTAGCTAGTACAAATTACATTATATTTGTATATTTATCTTATATCTTGCCACCTTACCTAATTCTCTTATTTTAAAACATGTTCTAATACAGTTTTGTGGGTTTTCTAGGTATAATAATGTCTTTGCAAATAAAATGAATTGCCCCCTTTCCCAAGCATTTATATTATTATGGTTTATTTTGGGTTTTTTAAACCTTCCGGGTTAGCCTAAATCCCAAAACTATTTTGAATAAAACGATGATAGTAAATATGCCATTTATTAAGTTATTGTGTCTTACTTCCAAAGCCAGCCTTTGTTACTGGGCTGGTAATGCCTGGGCTAGAACTTCAAACCTTATTTTTGCTTTGCAAGTTGGCTCCCATTAAACTGTGCTGATAGAGGTGCTTCACGGAGCTCACAGGCTGAAGGAGGAGGAAGAGGCTTGTTCCTTCCTGCATGTTTTTTTGGGGGCTCCCTATTTGCCTCTTTTTCATATGAGTGGCATCCCACCAATGCTTCTTCATCTTGGCAGCAGCAGTTCCTTCCTGTAGCAACAAGTGAACCCAACTGACAGTATTTCTAAATGCCGTATCTCCCCCGGAGATACTATCAGCACTTTCTACTCAGAAGTCTGAGCTTCATTTCCAAGACAGCCCTTCTCCAAGCTCCTAAGCTTTAATAAATCCAACCTCTTTTCTTGATCCCACCCAATCACAGAGCAGTAGCAGTTTTCTGCAGTTCCTATTTCTGTGATCTCAAGTTCTCTTTTAGCTACCTCATGAACAATTTAATACCTAGTTAATAATTCTTTAGATTAAATTCTCTCTGCTAAAATAACTGGTGTAGCTTCTGCTTCCTGACTGACCCTTGACTAATACAGTAGGTATTCCGACCTATTTCCTGATTCTAACAATAGTTGCTTTAGGTATTTGCCTTTTAACATTACGGTTGCTGGTTTTGAGTTTTTGGCTAATCACTGCTGAAGTTTATCAAATGTGTTTCTTGTGTATATTTATAAATACATATATTTTCCTCCCTTAATAGTTAATATGATAAACTAAATATATCTCATAATGTTGACTCATCCTTATATTCCTGGAATACATAACTAATAGTATAACACATATGTAGTACTTACTACATATGTCCTAAAACTGTATACATATGTATGTATACATATTCCCTTAATAAACCTATATAGGTTTATACAGTTTATAAATACAGTTATAAATACAGTTTATAAATACACTTATAAATACAGTTTATAAATACACTTATAAATACAGTTTATACTTATAATTAATGTTAATGTTGCCAAATTTGCATTACTAAATATTTATTTAGAACTTATATTCATAATTAAAATTGAACTATACTTAGAATTTTCTATCTTGTACTATTATTACTTGTTTTCTACCTATCTGATCTCCTCTGTTGAATTTAAAGATTATTAAAAGTCAATGCCTTACTGATATTTTTCTCTTACAAAGTCTATATTATAGTATCTTGCACAGAGCACGTGATTGATAATACATGTTGAATGAATAAACACAGGTAATAGATATGAAAGTAAGACTTTTAAAAAAATTAGCATTTATTCTGTAACATAAAATTCTAATTTCATACATTAAAAGTATTTGTAAGGAATAAAAATACTTAACGATAGATAAATTTGGTGTTCAATTAGGTTTTTCTGGGCATATGTGTTCATTTCAGAACTCGGAAATCTTTAAAATTAATGTAGATCCTGTTTCATTAAATGTCTCTTCACAGAATTTTTAAAATTCTCCATTTAGTTAACAGCAATAATTGCTTTTGTATACTTAAGAGTTACTGTATTATGTTTTATGACACAGATTATATCAAAATCAGTTCTTTTTCCAAAAGATTAAAGAAAAATTAATAGAAGGTATGCATCAAGGATTCTTAACGTATAAAACCATTTTCAACAGAATGCTTTTTATTTAAGTCAAAATTGGATTTCCATGGTTTGGGGCTTGAGGGTTTCTAAGGTTTTGCTCCTGCAGATTCAAGACTTGTACTAGACATCAAAGGTTATCATGTTGCCCTTTCAAGACACTAGCTAAAGGAATTGGCAACTATTTACAATTTAGCTTTGCTTGAGTCCTTCCCTTCAAAGTAGCTATCAATATGTCTTTGTAATTATGTTTAAGGACAAGACATGTTCTTATTTATTTCAGTGTGTTTTAAAAATTGTATTTTAAGGACCTTCTGTGAACACAGCACAATACTGGGAGACAAATAAGAAAAGCAAAAATGTATCCTCTACTACCAAGGATCTTACAATACAAGGGAGAAACCATATGCAAACCCAAATTTTATATTAGAAATAACAGTATAGGACAAGTATTGTTTTCAGTCCCAATGATACTAAAAAGAAAAATCCATCAAAATGGAAGGAATAGAGTGCTTATGGGGCACTCTGAAGGTTTTTTTTTTCTATTTGTTTTTTGTAGTTTTTTGTAGTTGTTTTAATTCCAGATTCTAATTTCATGTGATTGGGGAGGTAATAATTGGCCATTTATGATCAGGATAACAAAGAACATTTTTCTCATATCCTCAGGCATGCTTGGAAGCAGTAATGTAAACAGTAATAATGGGAATTATTTTACTTCTTATTTTGAAAATAAAAATGTAAATATTTGTTTTTAAACTTCCTTACAACCCTAAGGTTTATAACTGTAATGTTTATTATAAAGAAAGATTACTATGTATCATTATTACTGGAAGACAGTAGTTTTACAAAGCCTGGGTTGTAATTATTTGAGAAAACATTATTTTTGAGTTTATTATATATCCTAAAAGTAACATAAAATATATTTTATCAGTTCATTTCAGTTTATGTACCTCCACCTATGTGGTTTCAATGTGTGTGTGTGTATCATACATCTGATGATGTCAAAAATCTACAAAAAGTTCTGAAAACCATGCAATTTTAATGAAACTCATCTAAACTTTAGAAGTAAGTGAGGGTATAGAACTATATAGTGAGGGTATAGAACTATATATATCGTGTGTGTGTGTGTGTGTGTATATATATACCTATATATTAGGTATAGTTTATATTACTATCCTTTTTTTTTTTTTTTTTTTTTGAGACGGAGTCTTGCTGTCACCCAGGCTGGAGTGCAGTGGTGTGATCTTGGCTCACTGCAACCTCCACTTCCTGGGTTCAAGCCATTCTCCTGCCTTAGCCTCCCGAGTAGCTGGGACTACAGGCATGCGCCACCATGCCCGGCTAATTTTTGGGTGTGTGTATTTTTAGAAGAGATGGGGTTTCACCATGTTGGCCAGGCTGGTCTTGAACTCCTGACCTCAAGTGTTCCGCCTGCCTCGTCCTCCCAAAGTGCTGGGATTACAGGCGTGAGCGACCACGCCAGGCCTACTATCCTATATTTTTAATCCCAGTTTTTACTTTTCTTCTCTGTATAGATCCTTCTTATCATTGGTTTTCTTGGATGACGATTTAATGACAAGGAAAAAAGAAATACATATAGTTTGCAGGTTGCTAAGGGACACAAACATCTATTTTAGGGAATTAAAATGGCAACTTGGGGGAATTTTGTTTTCTTTTTCATTAGGTTTATTAAGAAATATAAGTTTTACCATTCACATCAATTATGTTATATTTAAAAATACTAGAGTTGGCAATTTTAAAAATCCACACTTTTTAAAATTAAAGAAGATGTTTGCAAGGAAAAAAGAGAGAAGACCCAAATAAACAAAATAGAAACAAAAAAAGAGACATTACAACTAGTTATCACAGGAATACAAAAGATCGGCCAGGCATGGTGGCTCATACCTGTAATCCCAGCACTTTGGGGGGCCGAGACGGGTGGATCACGAGGTCAGGAGTTTGAGACCAGCCTGGCCAACATAGTGAAACCCCTCTCTACTAAAAATACAAAAAAAAAAAAAAAAAAAAAAAAAAAAAAAAGCCAGGCATGGTGACAGGCTCCTGTAGTCCCAGCTACTTGGGAGGCTGAGGCAGGAGAATCACCTGAAGCCGGGAGGCGGAGGTTGCAGTGAGCGGAGGTTGCAGTGAGCAGAGATTGCCTCATTGCACTCCAGCTTGGGGGACACAGCAAGACTCTGTCTCAAAAAAAAAAAAAAAAAGAAATACAAAAGATCATTAGAGACTATTATGAACAATCATGTGCTACAAACTGGAAAACCTAAAGGAAATGGATAAATTCCTGGATGTATACAACCTACCAAAATTGAATGAGGAAGAAATAGAAAACCTGAGCAGACTGATAACAAGTAATGAGATTGAACCAGTGATTAAAAAGTCTCCCAACAAAGCAAAGTCCAGGACCAATGGCTGCATTGCTGAATTGTACCAAATTTATAAAGAAGAGCTAACCTCAATTATCCTAAAACTATTTCAAAAAAACTGAAGGGCCAGGCGTGATGGCTCATACCTGTAATCCCAGCACTTTGGAAGGCCGAGGTGGATGGATTACAAGGTCAAGAGATCGAGACCATCCTGGCCAACATGGTGAAACCCAGTCTCCACTAAAAATACAAAAATTAGCTGGGCGTGGTGGCGGGCGCCTGTCGTCTCAGCTACTCAGACCCAGGCTGAGGCAGGAGAATCACTTCAACCTAAGAGGCGGAGGTTGCAGTGAGCCGAGATTGCGCCACTGCACTCCAGCCTGGCGACAGAGTGAGGAGGAAATTCTCCCTAACTCATTATCTGAAGCCAATATTACTCTGATACCAAAACCAGACAAGGGCACAACAATAAAAGAAAACTGCAGGCCAATGTCCCGAATAAAGATAGACGCAAAAATCCTCAAGAAAATACTAGCAAACTGAATCCAACAGTACATCAAAAACACACCACGATCAAGTGGGATTTATCCCGGGGATGCAAGGATAGTTCAACATACACAAATTGGTAAACATGATACAACATGTCAATAGAATGAAGGACAAAAACCACACAATCCTCAGTAGATGCAGCAAAAGCATTTGAGAAAGCATTTGATAACATTCAACATCCCTTCATGATAAAAACTCTCAACAAATTAGGCATAAAAGAAACATACCTCAATTTAATGAAGGCCATATATGACAAACCCTTAGCTAACAGCATACTGAATGCGAAAAAGCTGAAAGCCTTTCCTCTGAGAACTGGAACAACACAAGGACACCCACTTTAACCACTCCTATTAAACACAGCATGAGAAGTCTCACCAGAGCAATCAAGTAAGAAAAAAAAAAAAAGATAAAAAGGCATCCAAACCAGAAAAGAAGAAGTCAAATTTTCCCTCTTTGCAGATGACATAATCTTATATTTAGAAAAACCTAAATACTCTACCAAAAAAGTCTTAGATCTATCTGATAAACAAATTCAGTAAAGTTGAAGCACACAAAATCAACATCCAAAAATCAATAGCATTTCTACACACTAATAACAAATTATATGAAAAAGAATTAAGAAGGATTCCATTTACAATAGCTACAAAAATAATAAAATACCTAGAAATCAATTTAACTAAAGAGGTGAAAGAACTTTACAATGGAAACTACGAAACACTGATGAAAGAAACTGAAGAGGACGCAAATGAATGAAACGCCATCCTGAGCTCATTGGTCAGAAGAATCAATATGGTTAAAATGACCATACTATCAAAAGCAATCTATAGATTCAACGCAATCTTTATCAAAAGTCCAATCTAATTTTTCACAGAATTAGAAAAAAAATCCTAAAATTTGTTTGGAACCAAAAAAGAACATAAATAGCCAAAGCAATACTGAGCAAAAAGAACAAAGCTGGAGGCATTATGCTACCTGACTTCAAAATTTCTTTCTTTCTTTTTTTTTTTTTTTTAGCCAGAGATTTGCACTTGTTGCTCAGGCTGGAGTGCAATGGCACAATCTCAGCTTACTGCAACCTCTACCTCCCAGGTTCAAGCGATTCTCCTGCCTCAGCCTCCCAAGTAGCTGGGATTATAGGTACGCATCCCCATGCCCAGCTAATTTTGTATTTTCCTAGTAGAAACAAGGTTTCACCATGTTGGTCAGGCTGGTCTCGAACTCCTGACCTCAAGTGATCCACCCATCTCGGCCTCCCAAAGTGCTGGGATTACAGGCATGAGCCACTGTGCCTAGCCCAAAACATATTTCAAGGCTATAGTAACCAAAACTGCATAGTACTCACATAAAACAGACACACAGACAAATGGAACAGAATAGACAACCCAGAAATAAATCTACATATTTACAGTCAATTGATTTTCAACAAAGGTGCCAAGAACGTACTTTGGGGAAAGGACACCTTTTTCAATAAGTGGTGCTGGGAAAATTGGGTATCTATATGCAGAAGAATGAAACTAGACCTGTATTTCTCACTATATACAAAAATCATCTCAAGATGGGTTAAAAATGTAAACGTAAAACCTGAAACGATAAAACTATTAGAAGAAAACAGGGTAAACACACTAGGACATTGGTCTAGGCAAAGATTTCATGCTAAGACCTCAAAAGCACAGGCAACAAAACTAAAAATAGGCAAATTAAACTACATAAAACTAAAAAGCTTTTGTACAGCAAAGGAAACAATAAGCAGAATGAAGAAACAAAAATGGGAGAAAATATTTGCATATTTCTCCCTATTCATCTGCACTATTCATCTGACAAGGGACTAATGTCGAGAATATACAAAGTACTCAAACGCAACAGCAGGAAAAAAACAAGTAATACCATTTAAAAATGGGCTAAGGACAAGAATAGACATTTCTCAAAAGAAGACATACAAATGGCCAACGAGTTTGTGAAAAAATGTTCAATATCACTAATCATCAGGGAAATGCAAATCAAAACCACAATGAAATATCGTCTTACCCCAGTTAGAATGGCTATCATCAAAAAGACAAAAAATAACAGACAAACTGGCAAGGATATATAGAATAGGGAGCTCAGACACTGTTGATGGGAATGTAAATTAGTACAGCCATTATGGAAAACAGTACAGAGACTTCTCAAAAACAAACAAACAAAAAAATGGAACTACCATGAGATCTAACAAACCCACTAATGGGTATTTATACAAAGGAAAGGGAGTCAGTATATCAAAGGGATACCTGCACCCCCGTATTTATTGCAGCACTGTTCACAATAGCAAAAAATATAGAATCAACTGAAGTGTTCATCAACAGATGAATGGGTAAATAAAATGGAATACTATTCACACAATGGAATACTATTCAGCCATAAAGAATGAAATTCTGTCATTTGCAGCAATAGGGATGGAACTGGAGGTCATTATGTTAAGTGAAATAAGCCAGGCACAGAAAGATAAATATCACATGTTCTCACTCATATGTGGAAGCTAAAACAGTTAATCTCATGGAGGTGGAGAGTAAAATGATAGTTACCGGAGGCTGGGAAGGGTGTGGGATGGGAGGGATGAAGAGAGGTTGGTTAATGGGTATGAACATACAGTTAGATAGAAGGAATAAGTTCTGATGTTACATAGCAGAGTCAAATGACTATAGTTAACAACAATGTATTGCATATTTCAAAACAGCTAGAAGAGAAGGCTTGAAATGTTACCAACACAAAGAAATAATAAATACTGGAGGTGAGGAATACCCTAAACACCCTGACTGGATAATTGCATATTCTATGCATGTAACAAAATACCACATGTGCCCCATAAGTATGTACAAATATTATGTATCAATAAAAAATTAATTAAAAAAAAGAAAAAGAAGAAGTTTGTTCAAAGTTTTCTTACTAGCTCTCTGGAATGCCAACCAAAGGATGAAAACGTAAAACATACACTTATTGTTAATATGTTGTTAAAAGCCCCTTTAATGTATGGCTTAGGGACTGCTCAGTTTTCTCTACAGTTTATTTTTTCATTTTTAAAATTTACTAGTTTGATTTTTTGTTGATTGTTCAAAAAATGTTATTTTTGCATACAAAAAATGTATAGATGAAAGGAAGAAAATTATATCAAATAAATAGTAAAAAATTACTTTGGATGCTTTGCTAGTTTTAAAATGGAAGTTGATACTTCAGAGCTGTCAAGGTTTTTTGTGTTTTGTGTGTTTTTATCAAAATCTCAGATTTCATTAGAACTATTGAAATTTGAAGATGGTCCTGAATGGAAAAAGATGGAAGACAAAGGTGAAATCAACTAATGGAGAAACTTTAGCAAATGTCTCAGTTCCACAACAACATCTTTCCTGTTTCGAAAATGAGTCTTTGCAGGTGTGTTTCCTATCTTGCTTTCTTGCTCAAGAAGAATGTTTATCATTTTCTGAATTTACCAGCAATTGGTGTGTGCTGAGGGCTCATTTATTACAAAATGTCGCTAACTCACTCCTGTCCTCTTAAATTTAAAACAGCTGCTACCCACTGCCAGGATTTAAATCTTCACAGACAGATTTCCAGACTCTCTGTATGCCTGTATTACATTTTTGTTAATAATAATCTCTGTTCATCAAGGTGACAAGGGGACATTGTGCTTCTACGCACATATTTTCTCTGTCCATATATAAAAAACTAAAGCTTTCATTTTGTTAATACAAAGCCATGATTTAACGTTTTAAAAAAACCACTGATTGTTGGTGCCATTTGAAGCACTACAGTTTAGTTTTGCTTCAAGAATCATAACTTCCAACATTGTTCCCTTCCCATGGAATTATTTTTTTTAATATTATCTCTGAATTAGAATAGCTCATTTACTGAGTGAAAGTAGCAGAGGGATCCCAACTAAATGTTAAAAGACAGAGCAGGCCGGGTGTGATGGCTCACACCTGTAATCCCAGCACTTTGGGAGGCCGAGGCCGGTAGATCACGAGGTCAACAGATTGAGACCATCCTGGCCAACATGGTGAAACCCTGTCTCTACTAAAAATACAAAAAATTAGCTGGGCATGGTGGCGGGTGCCTGTACTCCCAGCTACTTGGGAGGCTGAGGCAGGAGAATCACTTGAACCCGGGAGGTGGAGGTTGCAGTGAACCGAGATTGCACCACTGCACTCCAGCCTGGCAACAGAGCAAGACTCTATCTCAAAAAAAAAAAAAAAAGACATCAAATTTGGAAAAAGAAACTTATGCTGTAATTTTAAATTGGATTATAATTTTGTTTTTCAGATTAAATTTTCACAATTTGGAATTTACAGTCTTGTCAACATTCATTTGTAAAGAAAGTATAATTTTGAACTTTTTCAATGACCACTTCACTGTCTTAAAATATATGAAAATATGGGCCAGGCATGGTGGCTCAAGCCTGTAATCCCAGCACTTTGGGAGGCCGAGGCGGGTGGATCATGAGGTCAGGAGATCGAGACCATCCTGGCTAACACAGTGAAACCCCGTCTCTACTAAAAATACAAAAAATTAGCCAGGCCTGGTGGCGGGCGCCTGTAGTCCCAGCTACTCGGGAGGCTGAGGCAGGAGAATGGTGTGAACCCGGGAGGCAGAGCTTGCAGTGAGCTGAGATCATGCCACTGCACTCCAGCCTGGGCAACAGAGCGAGACTCCGTCTCAAAAAAAAAAGAAAAAAAAAAGATATATATATGAAAATATTAATTTTGACATAATCACTAAATTCTTGGATTTTCAAAGATATCATTTTCATTTTACTTTGTTTTTTACATTGTTACCTTATCAGAAAGAAATAATTTTGTTTCTTCCCATTAGAGTTCCTTCTGGAACAACTGTTCAATTTCTATAAAGAGAGAGCAATCTGTTTTGAAAGATGCTAAAGATTACGTTCATGCATAAGATAAATCACTGAGACAGTAAAAGATTCAAAAGGTACTTCATGTTCTACCAGAGTGAAATCCAAATCATTCTTCTCCACAGTGAATTCATGGTTTCATGCAAGATAAGATCTCATCCTGTTAAGGACCTTATCTTTGAAGAAAAAAGAACATAATTTCTCAAGGGAACTCCAGTATCGTAATTCACAAAATCAAAGATATTAATATACACAACTTTTATTTTAAAATAGTCATCCAAGGCTTTGGAACCTAGAGTATAAAGTATGGATGGTAAATTGTAATACTGCATAATAAAATAAATATGGAGAAGTGAAAAAATAATTCTAATTACTTAAAAGTTTTCATTCTGATGAATAAAATTAAAATGCCCAGTAATCCTTAATTAATACATTTAGAATCCCTTCCTTAGTGATGAGAATTAATTTTGCAATTTAATTTGACACTTTACGGTGTGAAAAAGAAAGATAAAAAAATAAGCCTCTTGGGAATGGAAAGAAAATTTCCAGTCTCTCACCAGCCAACCCAATTTAATCAGGTCTTTCTCTTATTTTTTCTGAAATCATTCATGTTTCCACACCTAGCCCTTTCCATTCCCTGTGTTTTATAAACAGAACTAGCTTTAAAGATCTGGGGTTTGGATTTCATTTTGTCTTGAAATGTATACTTAGATTTGCTGCTGGTCAACATGGTAGTCCATCATCTCAAAGATTTTTTAAAAATAGACTCTAAAAGAAGATACATGGTATTCTAGATATAAGATACCAGGAACTAAGTACGGCACAAATTTCCAAATGTTTAATACTTTTAACAGTGTCCAGCTTATCCTGGTGTTTATTCATTCATTATTCATGCATTTATTCATTCATTCACCAAAATTATATTGAGAATCTACAATGCACAGAAGAGAGCATAGGGCCAACGATATAAACTCTACCTAGAGGCACTCATGGCTTAGTAGGAGGGTCAGGTACATAAATAAGTTTCAATTTTAGATGGTATTACAAATTATACAAAGAGTTGTATGGTGCTATGGGGAAAAATGAGAAGACCTCCCAGAGCAGGTGACACCTGATTCAAGCCTTTAAGAAAGAACAGAAGGATAAGCAGAAGGTGGGAAATTTATCCTTGGCAGACAGAAGACCATATGCAAAGAAATGGGGATCAGGGATTTGGGGATGCAGATATGAGGTTGCCTGAAGGACAGAGTCATGGTGACAGAGGAAGCTGAGGAGAGAGAGAGAAGGATTGGAGCCAAACTTTCTGTGCCAAATTAAGGACTTAATACTTTAGTCTGTTCGCAAAGGGTTTTAAGCGGAGAAATGACATAACCAGCTTTAAGATTACAGCAGGTCAGACTCCCTAAGAAACGGTCTCTGAAACTCTGTGATTTGCATGCCGGAATTCATATGGGGAATAATTTTGGGGACAATATCTGTAAGGAAGCGAAGAGAAGCAGGGAGGGAAGAAGAAACACTGGGCTGCCATGCAATATATATGTTTTTTTTTTTTCCTGGTTCCCATTCCCCGTCCTTGGGGTTGTATACAAACCCATAAACAATGGGGAAGAGCCTCTGGTCTTTGGTGCTGGTGGCTGCCACGCCTGGTCATCCTAGCCCACAGGCCCATGTAGTCCATTCACAGACCTGAAGTCTCATGCCTCTGAGTCAGATCTGGCCTCAGGATTGTCTGTCCAGAATCCTAACCTGGGCTTTCTGAAGTCCAGCTCTCCTGGGCACACATACTTCTTATGGTTCTGTATACAAGTGAGTCATTGACAAAACCTGCAGTGTGTGTGAACCCACTGGTAACTCATTTTTTTGAGACAGGGTCTCACTCTGTCGCTAATTTTTAACAAATTATTTTTCTAGAGAGGAGATCTGGCTACATTGGCTATGCTGGTCTCCAATTCCTGGCCTCAAGTGATCCTCCTACCTTAGCCTTCCAATGTGCTGGGATTATGGGCATGAGCCACTGCACCCAGACATGCAATGGTTCTTCAAGTATGGATCCTGGACCAACAGCAGCACCTGAGAAATGCTTTTAAAGTTTGTCAGGTAGCCCTAATTTACTGTTTTTATATCTAGAATCTCCACCTTACAATCTTGTTAACAACCTCCACCTCCTGGGCTTAAGCAATTCTCCTGCCTCAGCCTCCTGAGTAGCTGGGATTACAGGCACACGCCACCACACATGGCTAATTTTTATATTTTGAGTAGAGACGGGGTTTCACCATGTTGGCCAGGCTGGTCTCGAACTCCTGACCTCAAATAATCCACCTCCCTCAGCCGCCCAAAGTCCTAGGATTACATGTGTGAGCCACCACATCCAGCCTAAACTCTACTAAAAGTAAGTTTCTAGTTAATTCTTAAGAGAAATTACCAATCTAATCTCTCAACTAGCTGAGAAAGGATTCTTGGAGCAGGTAGAATTTAAGGAGTTCAAGGGCAGAATCTTCTGACCCTTCTCCTTCCTACAGGCTGGGGGATCACCAGAGCTAGGCTGAAATCCTGGTGATTTTGGGAATGTAGATCATGCATGACCAAGCAACAGGATGGAAGGAGCCTGAGGCCCAGGCCTCACCCTGGGCAAACTGATCCTGGACCACCTATATCCAGACATTCTTAAATAAAATAAGCTTGAATCATCTTGTTTAGGCCTGTTGTCTTAGTGTTCTCTCATTCACTAAGAAGTTATCCCAACTAACATTAATAATACCAATAGTAGCACATATTGTATGACTAGGCAAGAGACTCTCACCATAATAACAGAAGAATTAGATACCCACATTCTGTGCAGCCTTGGAGTTCAGTTTTAAATGTAATCAGAAAGTGACTGCTATTACCATTTGTGGCATAAAATAAAATGTGAACATGATAGCTAACAAACATTCACCTCCCTTCTCTCATGTGTTATGTGAGAAGAGAGGGCCCCAGGGAAAGAAACACATGGGACTCTTAGCTAGGTAGGACTGTGTGTTCTGTGAGTGCCATCAACACAACATTATACATGCAGGGCCACACTGGAAACCCAATTTCCTATTTTACACTTCAACTTTATTAAGTATTTTTCTCTTTTGTTTAAATAGCAAAAGTTGACACCTTAACAGGTAATTCCTAATGCACAAAAAGTTCCTTCTCCAGAAGATAGATATAAAAATTGTGAAAAATCTATTCATAGGGGCAAATGTAACTATTAAAAATCATGAATTCATGTACAACATTAATGAATTTCTGGGCAAAGCTGTTCATTTTGCAGGTTTTATGATCATTCTTAAGCTGGAGGCTTAAATGATCAAGCTCTTCACTTAAGAGTCATCATAAACTCAAGGGCCTTCAGGAGCCAGGCAGATAGGTTAAATAATACCCAGTTGGGGTTACAGGAAAATGTGGAACATCTGTGCCTTTGAACCAGGCAGCCTCATTCCAATAATAAATGCCCTGAGTGAGTGGGGGAACAACACTGTCAGAGCTTCTGATTTTTCAGAAAAAGCCAAAATACTTGTGATATGGTTAGGTTTTGTGTTCCTACCCAAATCTTATCTTGAATTATAATCCCCATGTGTCAAGGGAGAGACCAGGTAGAGGTAATGGAATCATGGGGACAGTTTCCCTCATGCTGTCCTCCTGATAGTGGGTGAGTTCTCACGAGATCTGATGGTTTTATAAAGGGCTCTTCCCCTTCGTTCAGCACTTCTTCCTGCTGCTTATGAAGAAGGTTCTTGCTTCCCCTTCTCTTTCTGCCATGACTGTAAGTTTTCTGAGGCCTCCCCAGCCATGCAGAACTGTGAGTCAATTAAGCCTCTTTCCTTTATACATTACCCAGTCTCAGGCAGTTCTTTATAGCATCCTGAAAATGTACTAATACAACTTGCTTTTTAAATGTGTTTTCTGATATTCATTTCAAAATTTAAAAAACACAATATGAATCAGACCAAACACCTCTGAGAGCTGAGTGCCACCTTCCACTTAAACTCTAAATGCAATTAGACTTGAGTTTGCAAAATCAGATTTTAAAATTTTACTTTGTCATTAATATAACTGCCTTAATGGATTAAAAATGGCCTGAACCAAACATGAAGGATGGAAAATAAATGACAATTTGTCAAGCAGAGAAGGAACCTGCTGAATTAATTGCCAAGGGGAGAAATTACAGGCCTTTAGAGGCAGATAGAACTTAACTGGGATAAACTTCAGAGAAGTTGTGACTTTGTTTTCACAGGCCATTAAGGTCTTGGGGACATCCATGAGTTTTGGCGACAACAGTAATGACTTTTGACTCCTAGATTCTACCCACCCATCACCCCATTGGGTGGATGACCTTCCTTCTTCAACTGGATTAAAGAAATTTGTAAAATTCCTTTTTATTGTGCCAGAAACTGTGCTTGGTATTAAGAACACAAAGTTGAGTAAATCGGTGTCTGTCTTCAAAGGATTCATAGCTGAGGGGGGGCAAAAGAAGCATAAACAATTATAATATGTGTTACTCAATCTAAGGTGCTACCAATTATAAGAAACCATTAGTTTTTTTTACCTCCTAAAATTAAACTATGATATTCTTCAATTTCAAGATGAATTCTAATTTCAGAGATACTTCAATGTTAAAAAAATAAGTGTGTTTAAGTGAAGAAATACTGTATGCGTTATAGGAGAAGTTGTGTTGAAGAACAGGGAGAAGAAATGATCTGACCACCTGGGCAAAGCAGGGAGATACAGTAAAGTTTGTAAGGGGGAGTCAGATTACTTTAAGCAATGTAACTATCTTAGTACGCTTGGGCTGAGGCTTAAACAATGGAATTTATTTTCTTACAGTTCTAGAGGCTGAAAAGTTCAATATCAATCAAGATCTTGCAGATTTGGTTCCTTGCTGAAGGCCTTCTTCCTGGCTTGCAGATGAGTGCCTTCTCACTGTGTCCTCACATTGTGGCGAGAGAGAACTCTGCTTCCTCTTTTTCTTATAAGAACACCAATCCTATTGGATTAGGGCCTCGTCCTTATGACCTTATTTAATCTCACCTCCTTAGTTCATTTGTCTTACTATAATAAAATACTATAGGTAATTTATAAACAAATTTACTTAGACACAGTTCTGGAGGCTGGGAAGTCTAAGATCAAGGCAGCAGCAGACTGCCTTGTCTGGTGAGGGCTGCTCTCTGCTTCCAAGATGGTGCCATGATGTTGCATCCTCCAGAGGGGAGAAACACTGTGTCCTCACATGGCAGACAAGAAAGGATGAACTCCCTCTATCATGCCTTTTGATAAGGCACCTAATCCCATTCACAAGGGCTCCACCCTCATGACTTAATCATCTCCTAAAGGTGGCTCCTCTTAATGCTATTACATTGGTTATTGAGTTTCAACACACATTTGGGAGGGGACACCAATATCTAAAGCATAGGACCTTCTAAAAACTCTGTCTCCAAATCCAGTCACACTGGGAGTTAGGACTTCAACACACAAACTGGGGGGTTGGGGGCAGAAGAGACACCATTCAGTCCACAGCAGTGACCCATGGCTTTGGGTCTCACTTTTTTCCCTCATATGCAAAATAAGATAATAATAGTAGCTACCTCATAGAGTTGTGAAGATTAAAAGATTTCATATGGAGTGCTCTGTGACGTCTTAGATCTAGTACCAGTTTAGTAAAGGCTGGCTGTTATCAGCAGAGGTAATTAATGATAGAATTTGAACTCCAAGAATCAGTAGACCTTCGCCAAGGGCTAAGAAAGCAAGCAGATTCCAGGGAAGAACAGAATGCCTAAAGGACTGTTTCTGGAACATTCTGCCTGTCTGCTATGATGTCTTGATGTAGTTGGCGAGGTTTTTTTCCCTTGAGGAATTAAAAATCTTTTTTTTTTTTTTTTTGAGACAAAGTGTCACTCTGTCACCCAGGCTGGAGTGCAGTGGCATAATTATGGCTCACTGCAACTTCAACCTTCCTAGGTTCAAGTGATCCTCCTGCCTCCACCTTCCAAGTAACTGGAACCACAGGTGCACACCATCATGCCCGGCTAATTTTTGTATTTTTTGTAGAGATGGGGTTTGCCCAGGCTGGTCTTGAACTCCCGGTCTCAAGCTATCTGCCTGCCTAGGACTCTCAAAGTGCTGGGATTACAGGCATGATCACCGTGCCTGGCCAGAAATCTTTTTGGTATCTTTTCTCCTGTACCTTCTTCCCTGTTCTCCAATCCCAATACACGCACAAGGACAGTTTGGTTCTTTCCGTTTTACAGTCAGAAGCATGCTCCAGGCCCTGTACTCAAATCAAGAACTGGGCTTCTCAGAACAAGGACACAGGTTCCTTGTCTTTCCATTTCCCTCCTCGCTTCCCTCCACCCCTTCTTGTTGGGGACAGCCTTTGTCTAACATCCTTTGTTTAAGAGAATTAATTGCTATCCCCCAGTGGCTGTCAGTGTCTTTCAGGAGACCTCATGTAAATAAGGCTCCAGGTGGCCTGCTCTGATTTCCGAGTTACCAGAGGGATAACATCCTGTTAGGACATTCATCAAGGATAACATTTAGTGAGGCCCAGAGCAGTGACTCATGCCTGTAATCCCAGCACTCTGGGAGGCCCAGGCGAGAGGATTGCTTGAGGCTAGGAGTTCGAGACCAGTCTGGGAAACACAGCCAGATGTCATCTCTATGAAAAGTAAAAATAACCAGATGTGGTTGTGCATGCCTGCAGTCCCAGCTACTCAGGAGGTTGAGGTGGGAGAATCCCTTGAGCCTAGGAGTTCAAGGTTATAGTGAGCTATGGTCTTTCCATTGTACTCCAGCCTGGGCAAGAGCCTGTCTCAAAAATAAATAAGTAATATTTAGTAAGTCTAACCCCATTTGAGGCTTGCAGAAGTTACTGGACTTGCCATAAAGTACCCAGTTAATAACAGAGCTGGCCCTGTTCAGTGCTTTACTATGTTATGCTGCATTGCCATTCAAAATGACTTGTCTCCTAAAGGAATTTTCTCATCAGAATTATTTCTATTGACAGTATCCCCTTTTTAGAAAATAACTAGCATCTTGAGTAAGAAAGCTACCCAGTCTTTGAATTCGAGTTCATCCATCCATTCACCACGCATTCCTCTACACATATTAACTGATAATCTATTTGGGATACTACATGTAGAGGATTCGAGGTTAAGACTCACATTTCCCCTATTCTCACAGAGCTTACAGTCTAGGAGAAGAAGCAATTAAAATAATTTGCAATGCAGAGAGCCAAAGCTGCTTAGGGAAGGCTTCTCAGAGTCAGTTCCTGCAAAGTAGAGACCTAAAGGATTGGGGAGAATTAGCTAAGTAAAATGATGAGGGAAGGGAGGTGATAAAATGAGATGAAATACTGTGCAAACTGTGTAACTGCAGACTTGTAAGACTGTTATTAAACAGACATCCCTCCAGAGCTCTCCAATCTCTGTCCCAGGTCTTCTTCCAGCAAAGTCTCTATCTCTGCTCCTTTGGCAGAATAAGCCCCCTTTTAACCTGTGTAACTCTTGTTTTATAGATGGTTATTTTGTTGTTATTAGTATATTCTTGGGTTTGAGTTGGAGACAAGGGCCTATCTCTAATCAGGAGTGACCTGATTTTTATGTCAATTACCTGGGAAGAGATCATCAAACCAGATCCTGGGACTTAAGAGAGGAATGTAAGGGGATTGCAGAATGGGATTTTGTTTCCCTTGGTCTTGATCCTGAAGGATAAATGATGCATGTTAGTTAGGCAAGGCGTGGTTATAATAGTGTTTTTCAAATTTTTTTTGATTGAAATCCATAGTATGAAATACATTTAACGTTGCAACCCAGAATACACACATGTGGCTGAAAGTTTCCCCTAATTTGTGTTGGGAAAAAAATACCCTTATTACATGTGATACAATCTGATATTTTGTATTTTGGATTCTGATTAGTGTTTTTCTGAGTAGCTACCCTTTAACCGATCACAAAATCAACTTACTGGGTCATGATGACCACCTTAAAAAATCAAATAAAAGCAGTCATGCAAAGATGGGATGGAAAACAGTGAAGAAGATACCCATACACTGTGGTCAGTATTTTAGAGCTAAGTCCATATTTTGGACTTCCTAAGTCCCTCTGTTTCTTGCATAATTTGTGCCTGGTTGTATGAAACTTGAGACAGATTAGTGGTTATGGCTGTGGGTTCTGAAGTATGAAGTCTGGAATCTTGACTGTGTTACTCAGCAGCTGTGTGACATGGGCACTTAACCTACTTACCTTGTGTTTAAAATGGGGATAGTAACAGTTCTTATCTAGTTGCAAGAATTCAAGGAAATAATGCAATGCTTGGCACAGAATCAATACTCAGGAAATATTAGGAATTATATTTCTTTCACTTTTATTTTCCCCATACATTAAGTACTCTGTTTTGTCTTAATTCAGCTTTTCTTAGCTTGCTAAGCAGGACCAAGGGAAGAGATGTGTGTATTGACATAGAGGGCTCTGGAAGCCAGATTGCTATGGGCAGCAGATATCAAAGAGAAAGAATCACAAGGGGGAACTGAAAGCCCAAGGGCCATAGTGGAGGGCCTCAGTGCTTCCAGTGCTAAACCTCCAAGGTCCAGGGTTTTATTTTCTTTAAAAAAGCAGATCCTCTCTTTAATAACAACACTTTTGGCCCTAGCTTCTCACTTCCTGTCTAGGTCAAATTCCAGTTTGTTACAGAAAGTTGACTGAACGTGAGTGGTATTTTCCCACAAATTTCTACTTGACATTCCTTGAGACTGTGATCCTTGCTTGGGTACCTTTACTGTTGGCCATCTTTTGTTCACTGCGTTTACTTTTTTCCTGCATCTAGCAAAACAACGACTTTTTTTTTTGAATACCTGAGATTTCAAGAGAAAGTATACTGAACAATACGATGAGAAGACTATATTCTACAATGCCATCTTTCAGAGGCAAAAGTATCTATAGTAAAAACATTTGATACATTTGGTGTATGCTTCTTACCCATTTCCACTCCAAAAAATAACAGATGACATGTACCTGTGAAACACTCCCATAAGGTATACCTAGAAACTCACTTAAAAAAATTACGATTTTTAGAAATGATATATATAAAACATTTTATAAGCATGTAAACTATTAACAATTTAAAGGTTTCTTAAAATTGTTTTGCAAGGAAAAACATAAATATCACTGTTTTAAAAATATGCAGGACTTTAAAAAATGTTAATTTTTCTATACCTCTGCTCTACAGAAAAACCTTATTGTTACAATTATGGTACAGCCTTTACAAATTTCTTTTACATCATTTGATAATAACTAATATTCAGATAAAATATACAAATATTTTTTCAAATCAGAACATTTAAAAACACTGACGTAGATTTTTCTGGAATAATAAACGTTTTTATTTTTAACCAGCTCAGATCTCGAATTAAAGCCTAATATTCCCATCATCACTCTTTCCTGTAAAAATAAGACAGCACTTTCAATGAGAGTGGAAATAAACCATTGTTTCAGGTTTTACTTACAACTGGAGCTGCCTTGCAAAATCCCTGCCCTGGCCATCTGCCGTGGTTCCAAATAAGTTTGTAAAAGTGAATCTTGCCATTTTCAATACTTCCTCCTTTGGGTCTATTTATTCCGAAGTCTGTTTTTCTCATTCTTTTAATTTTTTTCCCCCCAAGACGGATTTGTCTGAGACACTTTTTTGCCATAACATTTGTTTTTTCTGCTTACGAGAGTGTAAGAATTCCACAAGCCAAATGTTAATATTTTGTTGTCAGTTCTTTAAGCCTTCATTTTTTCCGTCTATCGAGCCCTTTTTTTTAACCAGAACTCATTGCTTCTGAGAGTATAAAAGAGCAAAGAGGCCGGGCGCGGCGGCTCACACCTGTAATCCCAGCACCTTGAGAGGCCGAGGCGGGCGGATCACGAGGTCAAGAGATGGAGACCATCCTGGCCAACATGGTGAAACCCTGTCTCTACTAAAACATAAAAATTAGCCGGCTGTGGTGGCGCGCGCCTGTAATCCCAGCTACTCAGGAGGCTGAGGCAAGAAAATCGTTTGAACCCGGGAGGCAGGGGGTACTGTGAGTTGAGATCGCGCCACTGCACTCCAGCCTGGGAGACAGAGAAACACTCTGTCTCAAAAAAAAAAAAAAAAAAAAGTGGGGAGCAGAGAGCCGGACTTGGACACGGGAAGGTATCGTGACATGAGTGGGTCGGGGGCTGGAAAGTTTGCCCAGGCGAAGAAGTGAACATGTTTATCCGGATCACCGTTTGTTAAATGAACAGCAACCCATAGGTAGCTTCACCGAGCCGAAACGGGAAAGGCGGCAGGCAAGGGAGAAGCTAAAATCTGCAAGAAACGGGCTGGGCTGGAGGCGGCGCCAGGGCAAGAAGGGCAGGTGGGGGCCCGCGGGAGCCGGGAGCCAGGGGCGGGAGCCGGAAGGGCGGGACCCAGGGGCAAGGCCTAAGTGGGCGTGGGAGGGGCATAGTCAAGAGATGGGCGGGGACTGCTCGGGGTCTGGGCGGAGTCTAGCGGGAGCCGCGTCGAGCCGGGGAGGAGCGAGGGACCCTGGGAGAGCTGTCTTTTCAGGGCTGAGGACCCGCCAGCACCTGATGGAGAGCAAATGGCTGTTTCCACACGTGGAGAACTTTTAACGAACACGTGAGGAAGGCGGGCAATGTCTGTGGAAAAACTACCTCACAACCCAGGCGTCTTACTCCAGCCCCCAGGGCGACAGCTTGTTTACAGTATTTCTGAAGGTCTCCGTCCCCTTTTGTCGGCCCCTCCTCCTCCTCTAACCCCGACTTCAGGCTTTGAGTGAGGCTTTGGTAGAGCAGTCGCCGCCGCAGGCGCCCCGGTCGGCGAAGCCCACAGGCATGCGGGCGCAGAGGCCGTCTGCGCCTGCGCGGGGTGTCTGCTACGGGGAGGTGCGTGGAGCTCGAGGGCGTGGAGCTCGGGGGCGTGTCTCCCGCCGCGGCGCCGGGGCGGGGCGAGGGCGGAGCCTGGGGGCCCAGCGGCCCGCGCCCCGTGGCTTGACCTCCCCGACTGCTGGGCCCGTGACGTCACCCCGCTGTGACGCGCACGCTGTAGGAAAACTGTAAGTTTACGAGGATTCCTGCAGCTCCTAGGGCTTGCGGGGCCCGCTGGCAGCTGGCAGTCCCGGCGGTGGTGGTGGCTCTGGGGGCGTCAGTTCCTTGGGGAGTCGCCGATTGTGGCGAAGGGACAGGTGTCTGCTCAGAGTGGCAGCGCGCCCTGCTGGGCGGTAGGGACCTGGGGTGCGGGAGGCGAGGCCGCGCCCCGTGGGGCCGGGCCAGCACCTTTTCCCCTGGGGCGGGGCGCGTCTCCGAGCCTGGGAGCGAGGCCTTAGAAGGGGCGGAAAGTCCAAATGGAGAGTCCCTTTTTTTCTTCCGTGATAAAGGGACTTAGATTCCTTTTCTTCCCCCTCTCAGCCTTGGAGTTTGACATGTTAAGTAGGGGATGGAAGCTTCCTCTCAGAGAATAGGAATCCTATGTCCTGGCCGTTGGGATCCCACAAGTGACCAAGTCATCGTGGACACATTTATAAGATAACCAGTTGCTGCCTCAGTTTTCTTTTTTGTGTAAAAGGGAGGTACAGCAGCCTCTGGCCTCCCTAATGGTTGTTCCCACAGCACTAGGAACACGTGAGATAACACAAGTGTGTAAATTTGCTAGGAGAAAGCTTATACACAGACACTTGGTTATTCTGAGGAATGTGGTAGCCACTGGCTATTTGACCAGGAATCTTGTAGAAGGGGAACTTTTTCACTGTTTTGCCTCCCCCCGACAACCTTCCCTCCATCTGATTCTATACCACACTGGAGCCTGTTGGGTGATCGAACTGTTGTCACTAAACTTGATAGAATGGGGATCCCAAGAAATAACAGGTATCGTTAGCACGGTACTCTTGGCAATTACAATGCCCCCGTTGTCTGGGTTTTGCAGAGGAAGCTTTCAGTGTGCTGGAACTAGCACATTATAGACAACACAGACTCACTGAGTTTTAAGGATTGCTGTATCGATTTGGAATATCCAATCATCGTATCTGACTGCTTGAATATTTTGGTCAAGGGGTACTACATTATCGATTAGTTATTACTAGACTATAATGCCTCTCAAACTCCGGGACTAGTAGTCTTCAGGAACTTTGAAGGGAAGAATACTGTGCACACTTCAGGGTGTATTTATACAGGAGCTCGAGAGTTCACATTTCTGTAAATTCATTTCAGGAGTGTGATATCTTTTCATCCAGGTAGGAAGAGCCTTTGAATCAGAAAGCAGGGCTTCTAATTTTTGTTCTATTCGTTAACTAGCTTCGTGTCCAAGGACAAGTCACGCAAACTTGGAACTTTGTTTTTCTTATCTAAAATGAGAGCCGATGGTTTATCTGTTTGTTGGTTTTTCCAGGATCAAATGAGATCACGAGAGTGCAAATGAAAGGCTAAGTGTGCTATTGTTATTAGGAGATTCGCATTGGTCCCCTAGCCTGGATGAGATGTGAGTCAGAAATCTCTGGAAATAGAGCAGCAAAGAAGACAGCCTCCAACCTAGCAGGGCTCATATTGCAGTGGGAAATAGACAACGAACAATACGTGCATAATGTAATTTCAGGTAGTCATAAGTGCAGTGAAGGGAAGGAAGAAAGGAGGACAGTGGGGGAACAGGGAAGGTTGTTTTTGGTGGGATCTGTCAGGAAAAGCCATTCAAAGGCAGGGACACTTGAAGTGTGAGGGAAAGAGCCTGAGGTAAGAACATTTCAGAGAGGAATAATTAATAGCAATGAACACTTAAAAAAAGTAGAGCTTACCATATGTAAGGCACTATTCTGAACACTAAATTAAATTTTTACAAGTCTTTTGATGTAACCTAGTATCTCCCTTTCATAGATGAGGCAACTGACACACAGAAAGGTTAAGAATTTGCCAAAGTTGCACAGCTAAAACGTGGTAGAGACTATTTGAACGTGGGCAGTCTGACTTCAGAGTCCAGGCTCCAGGTGACTGTATTTTCGGCCTCACAGCAGGAACAGCACAGGACAATGCTCTGAGGTGGTCCAGACACAGTGAGAGTGTTTAGAGCACAGCCGGGAACGGGGAAAGTAGTGGCCAATGATGGTCAAGGGCCAGGCAGGCCGTGGGGTCCCTTGTAGGCTGTGGTGAAGTAAAGATGTTGTTCTAACTGTGATGGAAAACCATTGGAAGGTTTGCATCAAGGGACTGGTGTCTGATTTAAGTTTTATTGTATGGAGAATTAACTGTAGATTAGAGTGGGTCGGATGGAGTGAAAATCGGGAGAAAGCTGCTGTGCCCTGCAGGTGAAATGATGGTGGTTTGGGCTGGGGGAGGTTAGTTGTGGAGATGATGGTAGGCGGTAGAATTGGTGATACGTTTTGAAGGTAGAGCTGACGGGAAACGAGCTGATGTGGAATTTGAAGAAAAGGGAGAAGTGATGATTTTTTAGGTTTAGGCTGGAACAACTAGAAGTATAGTGGTGCTGTTTACTGAGGAAAATTACAAATTTAGTTTTGCACAAGTTCTAAATGCCTGTTAGACATAGTCATAACAACAGTGCTAGTAAAAATAGTATTATGTAAGCGTAAACTGAGTCCCAGGCAGGGTTTTAAGTACTTTAACCTATATTAATTCATTTAATCATCATAAGAATTATATGTGCAAGGAACCATTATTGTCCCCATTTTACAGCACGAGAAAATAGAGGCAAAAAGAGGTTATAAGTGACTTGTCTGAAGTCACCCAGCTGGTGAGTGATGTAGCTAGGATTCAAACCTAAGCATTGTGGCTTTGGAGTCCATGCATTGAATCCCTGTAACCACCTCCGAGTGAACATGTTGAGTATGCATGCCTGTGAATATGGAACTCAGGGGAGTGGTCAGGGTTGGAGATACCCATTTATTTTTCTGAAGAGAAAGCATGCTTTTGTTTTTCATCTAAGCTTTGGTTGTCTGTGGGAGAAAGATTATAGGCAGTGGGACTGTGCTAACTGGTCTTTGATTACGACCTGACTGGGTTCATGCAGCCAGTATCTGGTATTCCCCACTGTAGGTTCCGTAGGGGCAAGGTCTGTCTCTTTGACTTCTCTATCTCTAGTCCCTAATCCAGTGCCTGCTGTGTAGTAGATGTTAGGGATGACTTTATATAATGGGCATTTGGTTAGGTTTTGGAAGTTCAGAGATGAATAAAACAGTTCTTTACCTTAGAGGAGCAGGGTATGAGGAAAAACCTGTGGGAATAAAATTAGAGTAGACTAAATGCATAAATACATGCCGATTAGTTCATTTGGGTTTTCTGCACCCTCCCCTCCCCAGCTTCCATGACTTGTGAGATGGGGCATGAAAAGGGCAAAGGGGCAAAAGAATGCCTAAGCTGTTGCAGGATGAAGTTGAGGCTCCCCAAGAGTCCTTTTCAACAAAAGAATTACTCAAAATCATGCATATTTTACTATATTTGCATTAGCTTTATTTGGCAATGATAGAATTTTTACCAAATGAAATAAATTCTGATATTTGACTGTCCTTTTGAAGTGATGAGTTTTTCCAGTTCTATTACCTCAGTGTTGACAGGGCTCACCAGAGAAATAAGGGAGTTGGCTTGAAATGTTGCAGCTTGCATAATAGAGGGTGATGGAGGGGTTGGGTGAAGTATTCAGGCAGGTTTCCACCGGTTTAAGTGTGTCATGCCAAAGTTCCACCTATTGGAATAAGTTTGAGTTTCTTTGCTGACCATCTCTAACATTGACATGTATTTTTTTTTTGTCATAGAAAGGGGATCTGGTGATATATATTGTAGGTGGAATTGCAGATTACATCTCGTATAGCTGGATCATTGTAGAACATGGAGACTAGAAAAATACAAACAAAAAAAGATGTGTCTTGTTCCCGTAGATCTTTCATGGCATACCATAACCTCAACAGTTGTCACAATTTTGTTACTTCCTAACATGAGTATTTCAAATTTAAACCATGTAAGAATTATATAAAATTGCACTGCCGTAGATTTTATGGTTAATTTCAGAATTTTTAAAAATATATAAAATTATATTTTGTTTTAAGCTTTCATTGGGAAAGTATCTAAATAACCAGATCTATGATTACTCTAAACAGAAGCCCTCTACTAACGTAAATGTAGAGGGGTGCCATCTCATTTTGCAGTTCACAACGTTTTAAATCTGCTCTTGTAGCTTCCCTACATTTAATGGAGTTGAAATGATTAGTCTTTATTTACACCACATTTGCAGTTAGTTTCCCAGGAACATCAGATACCCATATATGGTATAAAGTAAAATTGCATAGTCAATAGCCTATTGATGCTCAGGTGTTATTGACTTTTAAGTTCAGGCACAGTGAGGGCAGGTTGATGGTTATTTAATTGTGTCAGGTAGCTCCCAGCAGAGGGGGAGTGATGGTAAGTTCTATCTGAAAACAACAGGACCCTCTGTTTCTAACACTGACCATGCGAAATATAACATCCTAGATAGTAAATAAAATTCAGATTCCTTTTAAAATTTACATTTGCACAAGCAAATTTTAAACTATTTTATGAGTACTTTTATATATATGAAGATTTATTGTTGAAAACAGTGTGTCTAGCCCAGTGATAGTACATACTGAGCATTTAAATATAATTCTTTTTTTAATTAAATTTATTTTTTAAATTATACTTTAAGTTCTAGGGTACATGAGCACAACATGCAGGTTTGTTACATATGTATACATGTCCCATGTTGGTGTGCTGCACCCATTAACTCGTCATTTACATTAGGTATGTCTCCTAATGCTATCCCTTCCCCCTCCCCCGACCCCACGACAGGCACTGGTATGTGATGGTCCCCACCCTGTGTCCAAGTGTTCTCATTGTTCAATTCCCACCTGTGAGTGAGAACATGTGGTGTGTGGTTTTCTGTCCTTGTGAAAGTTTGCTCAGAATGATGGTTTCCAGCTTCATCCATGTCTCTACAAAGGACATGAACTCATCCTTTTTTTATGGCTGCATAGTATTCCATGGTGTATATGTGCCACATTTTCTTAATCCAGTCTATCATTGATGGACATTTGGGTTGGTTCCAAGTCTTTGCTATTGTGAATAGTGCCACAATAAACATACGTGTGCATGTCTCTTTATGGCAGCATGATTTATAGTCCTTTGGGTATATACCCAGTCATGGGATGGCTGGGCCAAATGGTATTTCTAGTTCTAGATCCTTGAGGAATCGCCACACTGTCTTCCACAGTGTTTGAACTAGTTTACAGTCCCACCAACAATGTAAAAGTGTTCCTATTTCTCCACATCCTCTCCAGCACCTGTTGTTTCCTGACTTTTTAATGATCGCCAATCTAACTGGTGTGAAATGGTATCTCATTGTGGTTTTGATTTGCATTTCTCTGATGGCCAGTGATGATGAGCATTTTTTCATGTGTCTGTTGGCTGCATAAATGTCTTCTTTTGAGAAGTGTCTGTTCATATCCTTTGCACACTTGTTGATGGGGTTGTTTGATTTTTTCTTGTAAATTTGTTTAAGTTCTTTGTAGATTGTGGATATTAGCCCTTTGTCAGATGGGTAGATTGCAAAAATTTTCTCCCATTCTGTAGGTTGCCTGTTCACTCTTTATGGTAGTTTCTTTTGCTGTGCAGAAGCTCTTTAGTTTAATTAGATCCCATTTGTCAGTTTTGGCTTTTGTTGCCATTGCTTTTGGTGTTTTAGACATGAAGTCCTTGCCCATGCCTATGTCCTGAATGGTATTGCCTAGGTTTTCTTCCAGGGTTTTTATGGTTTTAGGTCTAACATGTAAGTCTTTAATCCATCTTGAATTAATTTTGGTATAAAGTGTAAGGAAGGAATCCAGTTTCAGCTTTCTCAATATGGCTAGCCAGTTTTCCCAGCACCGTTTATTAAATAGGGAATCCTTTCCCCATTTCTTGTTTTTGTCAAAATTCTACTTCTTGCAATCACTTTTATTTTTGCATTATTATCTTCAACTCATATATATTTGTAGTAGTAGCTGGATGCTTGTTTGTGTACTTTACACTCTAAATGTTTGAATATATTTAAATAATTTATATAAGTAGCACTTATTTTTGCTTCATTTCACATTTGGTTGCTTAAAAATTAAAATCTTTAGGTTTGATTTTAACACATTACACTAATGGCTAATAATTAGTAAGTCTAGGTGGAGACTAAGCTTTAGTGACAGGTTAACCAAGTTTTAACCCCAAAAGAACACCCAGAAGAAAATTCTTAGGGAATAGTAAGCAAAACCAGTATGTCGATGAAAGGAATAATTTAACCATAACTACGTAGCTATTATTCTTCAAGTTGTTACTATTCTACAGGGAGTATTTTCTTATTTGGTTCTTCAATTGCAAAGCTATTAATTTCAGTCTGCATTGCAAGCCACCAAGCAGTGTGAAATAAATACTGGAAGATGATACTGTGAAGAATCTGAACTCAGAATGATTTTTTACTTTCCAACACACTCTGGGGACATTTGGCAATGTCTAGAAAACATTTTTGGTTGTCACATTTGTGTGTGGGGACATTACTCCTAGCATCTAGTGGATTGAGGCCATTATAGCATGTCACTGAATGTCCCACAATGTACAAGACAACTTCTCAACAACAGAAAATTATCCAGTTCAAAATGTCAGTACTCCTGATGTTGAGAAATTCTGTAATATCTTTTCTTCCTTCACTCCCTCCTTCCTTCTGTTCCTCCTTTTTTATTTTTTTATTTTTTTGCTTTAGAAATGGAGGTGGTAGTTTTAAGTGGCAAATGCCTGACTTGGACAAAGGATTGTGTTGTACTGCTTTTAGTTTGTTGGATAGCTGAGCTAATTTGGTTCATTTACTGAATGGGAAATAATTCTTGGAGCTAATAATAGTAGCCTTGAATTTTTTTGGTTGCTAGTGTGTCTAGTGGTTTTGTATTTGTTTTTGGCTATGAATATTTTTCTTACTAAAATTAATTTAATCTGGACTTTATATAATCCTGGATTGTAACAGGTTTCCTAGTGTGAATTCCCTTTATTGTTGTATATGTTAAATTAGCTATTTCACAGTTTCATGGTTTATATCTGTCAAAATCCTTTTCACATTAATTTTCATTTTTGATTGTTACAAACAGCCCATAAAATGTGTAGGGCATGCATTATCCTCACTATTAGACCAATGAAGAAACAGACTTAGGTTAAATGACTTTCCATATGTGTTAATAAGTTAGTGATGAAAGCAAATCTAGAACTTTATACCTAGGAATCTTTTTTTTTTTTTGAGACAGAGTCTCGCTCTGTCGCTCAGGCTGGAGCGCAGTGGCGCGATCTTGGCTCACTGCAAGCTCCGCCTCCCGGGTTCACGCCATTCTCTTGCCTCAGCCTCCCTAGTAGCTAGGACTGCAGGCACCCGCCACCAAGCCCGGCTAATTTTTTGTATTTTTTTAGTAGAGGCGGGTTTTCACCGTGTTAGCCAGGATGGTCTCGATCTCCTGACCTCGTGATCCGCCCGCCTTCACCTCCCGAAGTGCTAGGATTACAGGCGTAAGCCACTGCGCTCGGCCGTACCTAGGAATCTTTTAAAGTTACCAGTTATTGTTATCCCATTTAATCTTCTTGACAATACTGTGAAATAGAGTTATTACTCTCATTTTATAGAAAAAGAAGTTGGTTTAGAGATATTAAATAACCTATTCAGTGCCACCCAACTCATAATGTAGTTTGGCTGTTTCCACTGAGCTATTCTGTGTCTTCAGATATTCTCCAATAAATAAATCTGACAATTTCTGGATAAATTCACAGAATCTTTGCCTAACTTAATTAGGTTTCTTGAAACTCATGTTGCCACTTGAATCATTGGTAATTCAGTGTTTGTAAGCCTATTCTAATTTGACTTAAGTAGAAACTTACCTGAGTTTTGGTAAACCATACTTGCTGGGTAGGGGAGAACCGTGCTTGCAGAAGACAGTCCTTTAAACAGGCAGAGACGTTTTTATGTAGGGTTTTGAGGAAGCACAGAGTTTGAGATTGGCTGATTTTGAAAAGTGCAAAAATTTAAGGATTAGCCAGCTTTAAACTTAGAGTTTAGAGACTGACCGGCTTTGAGGAGCAAAGGTACTGAAGCGGGGCAGTTGCTGATTGGCTTACTTTGTTGGCAAAGTGCTTAAGTGGAAAGGTTGAGTAGACTTTAAGGATGGATTGACTGGGGTAGATTTAAAACTGGTTTTGTGGTTACTTGTTTCCAGCTTAGGACTAGAGCCAAAGAACAATCTTTTCCTTTCTTGAAGTTGAAGAATACGTACTTTTTATGTCAAACATGTTGATGTTAGCTATGGCGCTAATATAACATACTTTTGATTTTGCTTTTCTTCTGAAACTTAAAAGAAAAATGGATGTACAAATATCACTTGTTTTCTGTCTATCAATTTCAGGACAATATATTTGGAACCCAGGCTGCCTCAAGGATTATTTTTATATGTAGTTCAAGAGGTAATATATTATTTGTGGAAATATATTAATGCTTTAAAAATTATGGTGAAGGCTGTGCTGTCTATGGTGAAGGTTATGTCTATTTTTTTTCTCTTTTGGGAGTGTGTTATATTATGTGCCTGCCACAATTAGTCTTGATAGATGCCGAATTATAGATCTAGAAGTCTGTTGTTTTTGCTGTTATTAGAGATACATCTAGAAGTGATTACTTTTTGAATGTTACTTGGAAAGTATTCTGATCAACATTATGAAAGATTAGTGATTATATTACATATATTTTATAGAACAAGGCAAGCAAAATATTTTAGTATTTGCAAATCATGTTACTATAATTATTAGATCATAGTACCATTTATATAAAGTATTAGGTTGGTGCAAAAGTAATTGCGGTTTTGGACCGTGAATTTTAAATCATTATAAGTCGGCTCAGACACGTCTTTATTAATCAGAGCAGGAAGCATTATAATCAACACATTTTTGCCAATGAGAAATAAGTTTGTTCATTCCTGTAGCTTAAAAATTCATGCTTTGGGATTTGGAAAGCATTTTCTGCTTTCCAAAAACCTGCTGGTTTTGGAAGCATTTTCCTTTCAAATAGTTGTCGAGATGCTTGAAGAAGTGGTGGTTGACAAGAGGTCAGGTGAATATGGCGGATGAGGCAAACTTCATAGCTCAATGCATTCAGCTTTCGAAGCGTTTGTTGTGTGTCGTGCGGTTGGGCATTGTCATGAAGAAGAATTGGGCCCTTTCTGTTGACCAACGCTGGCTGCAGGTGTTGCAGTTTTCAGTGCATCTCATTGATTTGCTGAGTGTACTTCTCAGATGTAATGGTTTCACCAGGATTCAGAAAGCTGTAGTGGGCCAGGTGTGGTGGCTCACGCCTGTAATCCCAGCACTTTGGGAGGCCGAGGTGGGTGGATCACCTGAGGTCAGGAGTTCGAGACCAGCCTGGCCAACATTGCGAAACCCTGTCTCTACTAAAAATACAAAATTGGCCAGGCATGGTGGTGTGCACCTGTAGTTCCAGCTACTTGAGAGGCTGAGGCAGGAGAATTGCTTGAACCTCGGAGGCAGAGGTTGCAGTGAGTTGAGATTGTACCACTGCATTCCAGCCTGGGTGACAGAGTGAGACTCCGTCTCAAAAAAAAGAAAAAAAAAAGGAAGAAAGCTGTAGTGGATCAGAGCGGCAGCAGGCCACCAAACAGTGACTATGACCTTTTTTTGGTGCAAGTTTGGTTTTGGGAAGTGCTTTGGAGCTTCTGGGTCCAGCCACTGAGCTGGTCGTTGCCAGTTGTCGTATAAAATCCACTTTTTGTCACACGTCACAATCCGATTGAGAAATGGTTCATTATTGTTGTGTAGTATAAGATGGCACTTCAAAATGACAATTTTAAAAAATTTTCCTTCAGGTCCTGAGGCACCCATTTATTGAGCTTTTTCAACTTTCCAATTTGCTTCAAATGCCAAACGACCGTAGAATGGTCAATGTTGAGTTCTTTGGCAGCTTCTCACTTAGCTGTAAGACGATCAACTTCAATGATTGCTCTCAATTGGTCATTTGTCAACTTCTGATGGCAGGCCAATGATGTTCCTCATTTTTGAGTCTCCTTTGCAAAACTTCTTGAACCACCACTGTATTGTGGTGTAGTTTTTGGTAGTATTTGTTAGTAGTTCCTAGGCCAAATGCGTTGTTGGTGTTGTGAGTTGTCTCTGCTGCTTTATGAACCATTTTGACCCCGAATAAGAAAATCGCTGGAATTTGCTATTTGTCTAACATCATTTCCATAGTCTAAAATAAATATAAAATAAACAGCAAATAATAAATCATTAAGAAAAAAAACAAAGTGAGAAATGTCCATTAAAATGATATATAGCATAACCACATTTATTTTAAGAATGTATTCCAATATCAAACGGCAAATTCCAACAATACAAAACCTGCAATGAACGTTTGCACCAACCCAATATTTCAGTTGTTTAACATTTATTTAGAATATTTTTCTTTTTCAGTATGAAATAAAGAACTACTGTACTATCTATAACTATTTACTCTGTGACAAAACATTTTTCTAAATTGATCTTTCACAGTAATATTTTAAATTATTATTTTCCTATGGAGATGTTAAAATAAATTTAGGGCATTCATTATCTTAGAAGTTATAGAAGTCAGAATGAGTTTTTGGTGTAATTTCTTTTTTGTATTGAAGTTTTATTTTTAAATGCCCTAAGTGCTGTCTGTATTTATGTATGTAATAAGTTCATAACATGTTAAAAAATGGATGCTGTTGTAAGCTGAGATTGCGCCACTGCACTCCAGCCTGGGTGACAGAGTGAGAGCCTGTCTCAAAAAAAAAAAAAAAAAAAAGTTGCTGTTGTTTTTATATGCAGCCCCTATTTCCTTCCTTAATCTACAGCTTTTGTGTCATACCTTCATTCCTGCCTTCCAGGTAGGAATAATCCAGTGGTAAAACTATGTGTGATTTAGATATTTTTATGGAAACACTCTTTGAAAATGTAAAGTCTGATTCTTGTCTCTGTTGACAGACCAAATTTCTGACCTGTATGATAGTTAACCTTAAGAGGTTAATCTTAGCCTAGTGTGAAAATTAATACTATAGTTAATATATTATAAAATTATTTATAATATAACATTAACATTATGAACAATAAGTAATATTGTTTTTGACAGAGCTGTTGTTTACTAAAAGATATTCAAACACTGTTATCTTTAACAGTTAAACTTTATAAATTTATACTAAGGAGAAATAAAAAAAATCCTTTTTATTTGGGAATGCAACCTCCTTTAAACCATCAGGCCCAGAAAGGAATTTAAAATGTAACAGCAGTCACATCTCATTCCCCCTAGAGCTAAATAATGACCTCTTCAAGCTGCTTGCTATTGGGGCTCCAGACTAACTGACGCCAAGTACCCATAAAATGCCATATACCCTGTAGTTCAACAACGTATATCCAATCACCAAGCAATGTTATTTTTGTAAACCAATGAGAATTTCTGATGAACAGCTTTTGTAATTGCCGCCTCTCCTGATTCGTCCTTTTTTTCTTTAAAAACTTGAGACTCTCTTTTGTTTTCTGGAGCACTCAGCTAGGCAACTTGGAAGTGTGTCCCTGGCTGCAGTCCTCAACCTTTGTGCTTGAATAAACTCTAAACTACAATCTCACCCTTTTGATTGTTTTAGGTTCACGCTAAATATGTACTTAAAATTCCTAGGAAAAAATTGATTCCTGAATATGGTTACTAGCATTATTCTTGTTATCTGCAGTATGAAATAAATGGATTTGAAATGTGTTTTTCTCTGTGTACATGCAGTGAATAGTTGGGCTCTTATTTGCCTAGTGATATGATAAAGAATCTTAGGTTAGGTTATCTTTTGTAGTAAAATGGAAAAAAAGAGTTACATGTTCTTCAATAAAAGCCTTATTTTCTAGTCTTTGCTGGTATAATGGGTAAAATGGTAGCTCAAATTTTAATTTGCATTTTTTTAATTACTAGTGAGTGAGAGTGAGATTCTCTTCATTTACTCGTATGGATTTCACTTACAGTTCCAAATTTAGCAAATAAAAATACAGATACCTTGTTAAGGTTGAGTTTCAGGTAAGCAACAAATAAATTTTTAGTGTAAGTATGGGCCATGCAATATGCAGGACACGCTTCTACAAAAAACAACAATTATTTATCTGAAATTAAGATTCAGTGGGGCATCCTGTATATTATCTGGCAAACTTAACTTCACTTTCTGTGAATTGTCTGCCTCTGCCTTTTTGTCAGATTTTCAGTTGCACTTTCTATCTTTTGGTTGTTGTTTTTGCAGCAGTTCTTGGCATACACTGGATTTTAATCCCTTGCCTTTTTAGATGTTGCAAACATATTCTTCCAGTCTTTTGCCTATCTTCTAATTTTGTCTGTGGTGTCCAATTCATCAAAGTTGACGCCATCAAAATTTTTCCATGTTTATGCTTTTGAGATCTTGAAGAAATCTTTCGTCATCCCAAGGTTGCAAATATGTTATTTAACTTTTTCTTTCATTAGCATTATAGTTTTAGCTTTTATACATTGGTTTTTAATACATTTGGTATTTATTTTATGGGAACAATATTAGGAGATGAGGTTAGAGAGGCAATGAAGGGGCACATTGTGTGAAGACTTGTCGGTCATTGTGAGGACTTTGGTTTTTATGCTAAGTGAAATAGGAAGCCCTGGAGGGTTTGGAACAGAGGGTGCCATTGTCTGAACCGTGCCTTTAAAGAAACTCTGATGACTATGGAGAATAGATTGTATGAGAGTGTGGCAAAGACTGCTAATTCTGCTCCAATATCTAATTCCTCCTTTCTTCTACTACCAGAACCCTGTTGGTTTAGCCAGATACATGGCTATGTACATAGAGACTGTTTTTAAACTCCTCCTGCCAATAAGTATGACTTTGTGATTAGATTTGGGCCAGTTAGATAAGAACACAAGTGATATGTGCAAATTCTGAGTTATCTTTGTAAATATAAGGTGCTTGTCCTGAACTTCGTCTGCCCACCCCTCTCCCTTTCCCCCTAACTGAAAGCAGCAGCAACTGGAATGGCAACAGTTACCTTGAACCTAAAGATCCCTCTGCCTAGGTTCCTGGATGACCTTGTGGAACAGAACCAATTACTACTCTTCATCTTCTCCCTGGCCATCTGCCTATCTCTCTCTTGTTTCAAGGAAGAGAATAAACTTTCTTGTTTTAGCCACTGGTTTTTGGCATCAGTTTATTACAGCAGTTTAGCCCATAGCCTGTATAGTACAAAAATTGGCGCCTGAAGTGGTGTTCCACAATTAAAAAGCTGAAATGTATAGCACTGGTTAAGTGGTTGGTCGACAGACAGTAGAAAACATGTTATAGGCTGGAAAACTGGTGACCCTTATTATGTGGTGGCAAAATGTTCAGTGAGACTGTCACCTCTAATAACTTGGAAGAGAGTTAATTTGTCTACCCAGTTTGTACCTCCAGGGAAGTAGTTAGAAAGAATCAGACTGTTAATATGAGTTGATTCGTCCTTGCCAGTAACTACAAGAGGGCATCAAATAAGAGAACGATTAGCCAGTTTGCAATTAGAGTTGAAAGGGAGTATAGTTTTTAGTTATAATATACAGCTAAAGGAGGTTCTCTCTGCCAATGGCCTGTGGTCTGAATTGACTGAGAGGCCAGTAATATGGGGCATTGCAGTGTTGGAAAAAATTGCTTCTCTGTGCCAAACAGCAAGAGGTAAGATAGTCATTCTCAGGAATCTCCTGTTAGATTTTCTTGGCCTGACAGTGGCAGACAGTCCAGGCAAGGTTCAAATTAAGGATTTGCTTTTCCACCTCAACCAGTCATTTGAACTATGTAAAAGCTTCAGTTATACATACAAAATCTCAGTTCCTTACAACAACAAAGGTTTATTTCTTACTCATGACATGTTAGCTGTGGCTGTGTTCCACATACTTTGTCACTTCATTATTTAAGCCAAAGGAATAAGCCTGTTTGGGACATTGCCATTCTTGTGACAGGCAAAAGAGATATGGCAGAACCAGTGTCTTGGAAGTGGTACGTGTTACTTTTGTTCATATTTTATTGGCCAAAGCAAGTCAAATGGCTAAGCCTGAAATCAGTCAGGTCAGAAGGATTATCTCAAGTCACATGGCCTGTCCTGATGTCAGTGGGTTGGAGTGGTATAATCCTCCTGATGTGAATCAGATAATCTCAAGGTAGCTAACCTTCAATCAAGAGAGGGTTGAAGAGAGGGAGCGATGGCTGCGTCACAGAGGCCAGCAGATAAAACAGGAGAGTTGACAAGCTTAATATCTATGACCAGATTAAATCCTTAGTTGTGGTTACTACTTTCTTGTGGAACTGACTGAGGCAAACAGACCTTTTGAAATTTTTAGGAGATTATGTTGCCAAAGATCCCATAAGTTTGGCTTGCAAAAGCCTCTGCTGGTTTGATATTGTTTGACACCTAAAGCAACCCTTGGTCCCAAATTTGCACCAGCAGGAAGTAGGCTATTAGATCTTTGCTGCCCTATTGGAGCATATACTCTTCCAAGTTTGTTTCATGTATGACCAGAAAGGATAATGGAAAAGAAAAAATCTTCCAAAGGCAAAGCCAAGACTGCCTGGACAAGGGTCTTCCCCTCAGAGAACAGAATCTGAAATGAACCAAGGGACTTGCCTTCTTGCTAGAGCAGAGATACTTTGCAATTCCTTTCTAGAAGTGTTTCATCATTGATAAAAATGTGTGTTTGCTATTCTTTTATTTTCAGAATGGAAGACTTAATTGCATTAATCTCATTTGTATTCCACAGTTGTATTTTGTGTGCGATGGTGGTGGTGGAGAGCAGAGGTTATACTCTTTTGTTAGTTTGCGAGCCGCTGGACTAGGAAGGAGCTACACGGATGTGAATGAGTTGAAGAGGGTTGTATATTGCCCAGAGACCTAGACCTTAAGCTAAATCCAGTAACTGGATGAGACTTCAAGTTATCCCTTTAGAAAGGAGATGACTATTTCAGAGTGGGAAGAAGGATGCACTCCCACCTTTGGTACGTATTTAGCTAGGCACATAACCCCTACAAAGAAATTGTATTTCTTACGCTCCTTGTAGCCAGATGAAGCCAGATTTCTAAGTTCTGGCCAGTGGGATGAGAGTGGAAGTGACATATGCTACTTTTAAAAACATATTTGTATTAAAAAAGAGGCTTGTTAGTCATATTCTTTTCCCTCCCATCCCCGTAAATGAAGCATTGGTGAGTTAGCTTCAATCATGCACCTGAGGGCAGTGCCCCAAGGAGTGGTAAGAGAAAACAGGAGGAATCTTAGTCTCTGGATGACCTTATAGAGCAAAGCTACTTACCTTTCCTTGACCACTTGTCTGCCTCTTGACTGTAACGTGAGAGAGAAATAAATTCTTTTTTTATCTGAGCCACTATATTGGTCTCATTACAGGAGTTTAGCTTATATCCTAGTTAATAGAGATGGTAATGATATAAGCAGGAATCAAATATAGAATGTTAGATTGGAAATTATTCTTGATTTTTTTCAGTTGAAGCTTTTCATTTATGTATTCTTTCTATGAAAATTTATTTTTCAGATTGTCTAATTGTACCAACACTTTAGAAATAAAGCTCTTACTTTAACATCACCCCTGTTATAATTATGCTATGTTTCTTTTTATTTTCATAAGCATGTGCTTTACATATTTATATTAAAATTTTATATCCTGATATTTTCATGTGATATCTATTTTCTTTCTTGCTTTAGAGTTCTTATATTTGCATGGTTATTATTGTATAACACTCAGTTTTACTGTACTTAAAATTTTATTATTATTGGTCACTGTGGACTAGTTATGTCCCCCCAAAATTCATATGTTGAGGCCCTAACCTTCCACATGACAGTATTGGAGATGTGGCCTTTAAGGAGGTGATTAAGGTTAAGTAAGGTCATAAGAATGGACCCCTGATCAGATAGAACTGGTGCCCCTATAAGGAGAGGAAGAGATACCAGAGCTCTCTTTTCACCTGTGTGAAGACACAGTAAGAGTACAGCCATCTGCTAGCAAGGAAGAGGGTCCTCATCAGAACTTGACAATGCCAGCGCCATGATCTTAGACTGCAGCCTCCAGAACTGTGAGGAAGTCCCAGTCATGGTATGTCATTATTGCAGCTGAAGTTGATAGTATATTGGCATTTAGATTGCTTTCAAGTTTTCCTTCTATAAATAATGCTGTTTTTTGTTTTTGTTTTTGAGACAGAGTCTCACTCTGCCACCCAGGCTGGAGTGCAGTGGCATGATCTCAGCTCACTGCAACCTCAGCCTCCCAGGTTCAAGCAATTCTCCTGTCTCAGCCTCCTGAGTAGCTGGGATTGCAGGCATACACCACTACGTCCGGCTAATTTTTGTATTTTTAGTAGAGACGGGGTTTCACCGTGTTGGCCAGGCTGGTCTTGAACTCCTGACCTCAGGTGATCTGCTTGCCTCTGCCTCCCAAAGTGCTGGGATGACAGGTGTGAGCCACCACGTCCGGCCATAATGCTGTATTCTTGTAAAAATTATTTATTTGTTGAATTATCTTACGTAGGACTCGATCTAGAATAATTTTATTTTATCACTGGTAATAATGACAGAAACAATATTGATAATAATAGTAATAACAATGGCAATCAGCAATGATGATTATAATAAAGACAGCTATGATAATGACAAGATCAATAACAGTAACAGACTGGGTATGGTAGCTCACGCCTGTAATCTCAGCACTTTCGGAAGCCGACGTGCTTTCGGAGGATCGCTTGAAGCCAGGTGTTCAAGACTAATCTGGGTAACATAGCAAGACCTTGTATCTACAAAAAAAGTTTTCTTTTAATTAACTGGGCATGGTGGCATATGCCTGTAGTCTCTGCTACTCAGGAGGCTGAAGTGGGGGGATGACTTCAGCTCAGGAGTTGGAGTTATGATCACACCACTGTACTCTAGCTTGGGTTACAGAGTGAGACTCTGTCTCTAAATAAATATATATATATATATATACACACACACACACACATACACACACATTTATATATAATTATAACAGTAAGAATGACATATTTATTGCATGTTTACTGTATGCAGGCACTGTTTTAAGCGTTTATCTTATTTGATCCTTACAACAGATTTATGTGGTAAGTACTGTTGCTCATGTTTTGTAGATAAGGCAAGTGAGGCACTGGGAGGTTGGGTACCTTCACCGTCATCACGCAGCTGATTAATGGTAAAGTGTAGATTCTCGCTAGGCTTTACTTGCCACAGAGCATGCTATGGACTGAATTGGATCCCCACCAAACTCATGTGGAAGCCCTAATCCTCCATGTTTATAGTAATTAGAGATGGGGCCTTTGATAGATAATTAGGTTTAGATGAGGGCCTGAAGGTGGGGCCCTCATGATGTGAATAGTGCGCTTATAAGAAGAGACACCAGAGAGCTTACTCTTGCTCTTCCGCTGCCATATGAGGACACAGTGGTAAGGTGGCTGTCTGCAAGCCCAGAAGTGGCCCTTATCAGAAAGCGACCATGCTGGCACCCTGATCTTGGACTTCTCAGCCTACAGAGCTGTGAGAGAATAAATTTCTGTTGTTTAAGCCACCCAGTTAAATTTCTGTTGTTGTGGTAGCTCAGACAAAGACAAAGCCTATGCTCCTAACTGTGACATGACATGATTAGAGGTTTTTTGTTTTTTTTCAGATCACACAGTCAGTATAGCAAATTGGACTGCAAAGAAGGGACCAAAAAAGTGGAAAGGACACCAAGAAAGAATAATGTTACTGAAGCCAAGAGACAAGCATTTTAAGATCAAGGATATCATTATTAAATTGATAACACTTTGAGGGAATTTTCATTTAAGAAGTCATCTGTGCTTTGGGAAGAGCAGTTTTGTGTTTGCAGTCCAGATTGCAGAGGGTTAAGTAGGAAATGATGTGGGGTAGGGGAGACAGTAAAAACAGTTTTAACTCTTTTTCGGACTTGGATGTGAAGGAAAAGAGGCAAATAGGAAGTGGCAAGAGAGACATAAAGTCTGGGGATGTATATTAGTTTGGTTCATTTTTTTAAATGAATCAAATGATGGGAGAAATGTAAGCATTTATGTGCAGCGGGGTAAAAGAAGAGAAGGAGAGATAGAAAATGTGGAGGGGGAAGTGGATAAATGATGGCATCAGATCCATAAGGAGGTGGATACCTTAAGTTGCAGATTAGCTTTGAGCGGGAAGTTTCTTTCCTGCATCTTCCTGGCACCTTCCTCCACAGTGCCAGGAAGGAGGGAAGAATGTGCGTGTGTTTGTTGGTCAGTGAGGGTGGAGGAAACTGAGGGAGTCTGACCTAATAACCCCTCTTTTGTTTCTGTGGAGGTGATGTCATTTTCTGAGTGAAGGGGGTGTAGGGAGCTTGAAAGTGGTGGACGTTTGGAATTGAATCTGTGGGACATCAGAGAGCCTGAGAGAGGATTGATGGCAGCAGTGAGAAGGGTCTGCTGAGGTGGGAGGCCATGTATTTGTGGAATTCCCAGCTTGTGCAGTTGGGGATTTTTTTTTTTTGAGACGGAGTCTCGCTCTGTCGCCCAGGCTGGAGTGCAGTGGCGGGATCTCGGCTCACTGCAAGCTCCGCCTCCCGGGTTCACGCCATTCTCCTGCCTCAGCCTCCCGAGTAGCTGGGACTACAGGCGCCCGCCACCGCGCGCGGCTAATTTTTTGTATTTTTAGTAGACACGGGGTTTCGCCGTTTTAGCCGGGATGGTCTCGATCTCCTGACCTCGTGATCCGCCCGCCTCGGCCTCCCAAAGTGCTGGGATTACAGGCGTGAGCCACCGCGCCCGGCCCAGTTGGGGATTTTTATAACAGTGATCTCTAGTCTGGGTATGGGACTAAAGAAGTAGACTCTTACATTGGTTTAGGGAGTGTATGTGGAAGGACAAGCCAGTAAGACAGTTGAGAATTTAGGCCAGGGAGTGAGAGGTTATTAGGTCAGATTCCCTCAGTTTACTTCACCCTCACTGGCCAATAACCACACACACATTCTTACCTCCTTTCTGGCATTGTTGGGGAAGAGGGTCCCTCTTTCTGGGAGATCAGATTCTGGGTTACAATGGATAAGAAGTGAAGCTTGGAGGATGGTTAATGGATTAGGAAAGATAGAGAGTGAAGTGGGAAAGAGAGAGTCAGGTGGAGAAAGACCAGAGCTTAACAGATTTAAGAACAGAGTTGGTGTATGCAGTCATTCCTTCAATAAATGTGTGTTGAGCATTTATCTTCTAGACACTGTTCTAGGTGCTATGGCCCCCTAGATCAAAACAGTGATCAAAACAAAATCTGCCCTTGTAGAGCTTAATTCCAATGGGGAGGTAGACGATTAACATATATTATGTGTATAAACATATACATACTTGTATGTATAATTTCAGATGGTAAGAAAATGTCAAAAAGAAAATGAGATTGGCCAGGCACTGTGGCTCATGCCTGTAATCCCAGCACTTTGGGAGGCCGAGGTGGGCGGATCACAAGGTCAGGAGATCGAGACCATCCTGGCTAACACTGTGAAACCCCATCTCTACTAAAAATACAAAAAATTAGCCGGGCGTGGTGGCGGGTGCCTGTAGTCCCAGCTACTTGGGAGGCTGAGGCAGGAGAATGGCGTGAACCCAGGAGGTGGAGCTTGCAGTGGAGCCAAGATCATGCCACTGCACTCCAGCCTGGGCGACAGAGCGAGACTCCATCTCAAAAAAAAAAAGAAAAAAAAAAAAGAAAATGAGATCAGGGAAGAGACTCTGAGAAGTGACCTCTGAGCAGAGACATGAGTGTTATCAGGGGCACAGCAATGCAGATGTCTGAGAGCATTCCAGGGCAAGGAAACAGCACATGTTTGTGCAAAGCCCTGGCAGGGGCTTGTATAAGGAACAGCCATGGCACTGGGGAGCGTGAGTGAGGAGGAGGACAGTGGTAATAAATTAGGGCCATGATACATTAGGGCCACTATAAGGACCTAGGATTCTATTCAAGGGTCGTGAAAAGCCGTTGAAAGTGTGAGTCAGAGACATAACATCTGTTTTACTTTTCTGAAGGCTCATACTGGCTGCTTTTTGGAGAGTTGATTGGCCATGGGCAATTAAGTAATCCAGAGAGGTAGAAGGACAAGAGATGGTGGTTCACAAATAACATATGGGAATTTGAGATTTCAGCAGTTGAGTGCTTCTGAGTGAGAATCTCGTTGCTATTCCTTTAAGCAGACACACCCACTCCACAATAGACGTTCTTTTCTGTGGATGAAGGCCTGACCCTGACCCTTGGCTTATACCGCACCCTTTCCTGTTTTTGACTCTCTTCCTCACCAGCTCCATTATTCATTCTCCCATTTTGTCCTCACCTTGTCTTTCATATCTGATGCACATTGTTGTCTTCCTGGCCAAGACTTCCTCTAGATCTAGGTTTTCAGACCTTTTATTCAGTCTGACTTCAGACTTCAGTCTGCAGAAAACTTTGATGGAAGCCCAGTGTGTCAGCCAGGGGAAACCGAGGGAAATGGGGGTCAGGAGTGCAGTGCTCTGCCCACTTGCAGTTGTACTCTGACCTCCAAAACAACTTTGAGACACCTTCTGAGAACCGTTAGCCTGCCAGCTCACAGTGTGGAAAAGCCCCACGTTGAACTGTTGCTCTTTTGCAGCAGCTCATCCCTGGGATCACCCCAGGCCATGCTCTCTCTGCTCAGCCTGTGCCTTCTTAATCCTCAGGCACCTGTTTTGCCTGACAGTGGTACGTGCACCCTCCCGTTACAAAGTGGTGTGCTGAGGGCACTCAGAACCATGAAGCATGCATGGTGCATCTTCCTGAGTGTTAATTTTCCTCACTGGCTATTATTTAATCCACTACATTTTTATAGTAAAAGTTAACATAGTTCTAATTATACACCATAGGTTCTGTCTGTCCTTCTCAACAAAATCTTTTTTTTTTTTTTTTTTTTTTTTTTTTTTCAAACAGGGTCTCACTTCGTTATCCAGGCTGGAGTGCAGTGGTGTAATAATAGCTCACTGCAGCCTTGAACTCCTGGGCACAAGTGATCCTCCTGCCTCAGTCATGCAAGAAAGTACCTAGAACTACAGATGTGTGCTACCGTGCCCAGCTAATTTTTAATTTTTTTTTTCTGGAGCAGGGTCTTGCTTTGTTGCCCAGGCTGATCTAAAACTCCTGGCCTCAAGCTGTCCTCCCTTCTCAGTCTCCCAAAGTGTTAGAAACACAGGCATGAGCCATTGTGTCTAGCCAACAAATTTTTTTAATGACCCTAATTAAACATGTTCAATTTTTTATGCCAAAAGAAAATAGATGTACTATAGTTTAGAATGTAACATTTGTGTACAATTTTTAAGGAAAAAAATAAGATCAAGAAATTTAAAGTTTCCATGGGCCACTTAGGGTTATGTCTTTAGTCTTCCCAGGATTATTTGGTCCCTCAGCTCTGAATTAGGACTACTTTGATGGAAAAGGTTAGAACTACCTATTTAAGTTGTCAGATTTGTAATTCTGTATTTTGGTTTTGTTCAGTGGAGCTATTATAACATTTTTATTCAGCATGGAATAGGAACTGGCCATGGGTTGGTCTCTGAATCATCAGGCTTTTCTGGTTAAAGGTAAACATATAAGTATTTTTTCTTTTAGCCATGTTTAATTTTGAAAAATGTCATTAAAGTAAGCATTGCTGCATTATAAAAATGATTGACAAGTCCGGGCACTGTGGCTCATTTCTGTAATACCAGCACTTTGGGAGGCCAAGGCAGGTGGATCACGAGGTCAGGAGTTCAAGACCAGCCTGGCCGATATGGTGAAACCCCATCTCTACTAAAAATACAAAAATTAGCCGGTTGTCATGGCAGGCACCTGTAATCCCAGCTACTCAGGAGGCTGAGGCAGGAGAATCGCTTGAACTTGGGAGGTGGAGGTTGCAGTGAGCCGAGATTGAGCCACTGCACTCCAGCCTGCTGGGTGACAGAGTGAGACTCCATCTCAAAAAAAAAAAAAAAAAAAAAGAATTGATAAGAACCAGGTGATGGCCTAGCTGTTGGAGCAGTACTCAAAAACAAGGTTGTCCTAGGCCACAAAGTAAGTTTGATGCTTTGCATTTAAAAAAAATAGGGTATCTTGTGTTAAGCTTTGTAATGCTTCCTCTGAGTTGAGAGTGAATCTTTAAGATAAAACATTTCTTTGTCAGGACTGTTTGCAACTAAGGAATTTAAGGTTGAGGGTTTTGCAGGATACTGCCAAATTATAAGACTAATGAGGGCAAGGATTGGATCATGTTCATGGATGCACGTGAGCTAGGAGTAGTGCAGCACCTCACATATAATACTTAGTATTTTTTGAGTGAAGGAATGAACTATCCTTGGTATAACTGTGGAAAATATTGTTAGGTTGTATAATAGATAGAGGATAGCTTCCCTGTATCTATTGAGTTGAACAAGGCAGCCTTCCTGGACGTGTTGTCACAATATTGCTATCAGTATATGGCTCTTTTAAATTAATGGAAGCAGAGGCACAGCTGTACGTTTTCTTTAAAAGAGTGCCAGTTATCAGGTCTGTTTAATCACATGCCAATTCTGTCTGCAAAATGGGGATAGCAACACACAATCTATCTAGTGCAAGTAGCTGCACTAAGGTTAGATGAGGTATACAGGGTAAGAGAAAATACTTGCAAATTATATATCTGATAACGGACTTATATCCACATTTATAAAGAACTCTTGCAGCTCAATATTAAAAAGACAAAAATACCCCATTAAAATGGGCAACGGATCTAAATAGACATTTCTCTAAGGAAGATTTATGAATGGCTGATAAGCACACGAAAAGATGCTCAACGTTGTCACTCATAGAGAGAAGCAAATCAAAACCACATAAGATACTACTTCATGCCCACTAGTTAGCTGTAATCAAAAGCAGATAACAAGTGTTAGTGAGGATGTGGAGTAATTGGACGCTCCATACATTGCTGGTAGGAATTTAAAATGGGCAGCCACTTTAGAAATAGCTTGGCAGTTCTTCAAAAGGTGTTACCCTATGTTACCTAGCAGTTTCACTCCTAGGTATCTGTGCAAGAGAAATGAAAACATACCTACATACAAAAACTTATACATAAATGCTAGTAACATTATTCCTAATAGCTAAACAGCGGAAACAACCTAGATATCTATCAGCTGATGAATATATAAACAAAATGTGGTACATCCATACAATGGAATATTATTCAGCATTAAAAGCATAAAGGAATAAAGTACTGACACATGCTATAACATAACAAAACATGCTAAGTGAAAGGATCAGACATAAAAGGCTATATGTTGTATGATTCCATTTATGTGAAATGTGCAAGGTAGGCCAATCCATAGGGACAGAAAGTAGATTTGTGAGCTGAGAGGGTTAGAGGAGGGAGATGGGGAATGACTACTAATGGATAGGGAGTTTCATTTTGGGATGATAAAAATGTTCTAAAGTTGCGGTGATTGTGGCACAACTCTGAATATACTAAAACCATGGAATTGTATATTTCAAAAGGGTAAATTGCATGGTATGTGAATTATACCTCAATGAAGCTGTTAAAAAAGAAGAAGTGAGGTAATATGTGGGAATATACTTTGAGCTGTTTGAAAAGATATTATTATTATTATTTCAATTTGACTGTAAGGCCATTAAATAAAAGCAGGATGACTTAGATATTTTTCCTTGCTTGCAGGCTTGTGATTTTTATGCCATGACTCAACTTTATAAGGCTGTAACTCAGCAATATAAAATATTGAAAATGTTGAAACATAAAATGAAAACTGCTTTGTCTACTGTTTATATTTAATAGGATTTTCTGAATCAGTTAATTAGCAATAAGTGAATGTGTCATTAAGAAATTAGATTTTAGAATCGTAAAGTTTTAGAGCTGGCAGAAACTTCAGAAGTCATCTAGTCCCCCCTCATTTTGCTTTATGAGAGAGCTGAGTCCTACAGAGACAAAGTAAGATGTCTTATGTCATGGCATTGAGTAAATTCTAGAACTGAGTCAGTGTTCTTTCTGCTGACTATTTGGTTTCAGTGCTATTAAGTGTGTTCTACTATTAATAGAACTAACACTCTTAATAGCTATTTAAATGCTTCCTATATACTAGGCACTCTCTGTTAGGTACTTTATATATGTTATCTTGGTTAATCTACACAAAGCTTATGAAGACAGTTCATTTTACCTGTGTATTAGTTTTGTATTGCTGCTGTAAAATAAAATGAAACAAACAAACAAAAAACAAAAGATCTGGCCGGGCGCGGTGGCTAACGCCTGTAATCCCAGCACTTTGGGAGGCCAAGGCGGGCAGATCACGAGGTCAGGAGATGGAGACCAGCCTGACCAACATGATGAAACCCTGTCTCAACTAAAAATACAAAAATTAGCAGGGCATGGTGGCGTGCACCTGTAATCCCAGCTACTCAGGAGGCTGAGACAGGAGAATCGCTTGAACCTGGAAGGTGGAGGTTGCAGTGAGCTGAGATCACGCCACTGCACTTCAGCCAGGGCAACAGTGTGAGACTCTGTCTCCAAAAAAAAAAAAAAAAAAAAAACACCAAAAAAACCTTTGTGACTTAAAACAACACAAATTTCTTATCTTACATTCTGGAAGTCAGGAGCCCAAAATGGACCTGACATCCTGTTAGCAGGGCTTCCCTTCTCCCTGAAGGCTTAGGGGAGGTCAATTTTCTTGTCTTTTCCAGCTTCTGGAGGCTGCCTGCATTCCTTCACTTTTAGTCTCTTTGCATCTTCAGAGACAGCAGTGGCTGGGCAAATCTTTCTCACAGTGCCATTTTTCTGGTTTTAATTCTTTTGTCCCTGCTTTCCCCTTTAAGAACCCTTGTGATTACTTTGGGCCCATCTGGATAATGCAGATACTCTCCTTATTTTAAGGCCCACTGATTACCAGCCTTAATTCTGTGTGCAACCTTCATTCCGCCTTACCAAATGAGTGGAAAAAACACACTCAAAATGGTTTTTTTTTTTCTATTAGCCAACAGCAATCAACACAGAAGACTTTTGTAATCACACGTGTGGGAGTTCCCCCCCCCGCCCCCCGCCAACCACACCAAGACATTTTGCAGCAGACACCACTCGGGTTGCCTTCAATTCAATGCTGACACCACCTGGAGAGAGTGTCAGATCCCATATCTTCAGGCCTCAGTCTCACAGCAAGTCTCAGGAGGCTCTACCTGTGCTTCTGACCAACCTGCTATAAATTGGGGTTCCCACAACCACCTCTTTGGGTTCATTTAATTTACTAGAGGGCTCACAGAACTTAGGAAAACACATCTACTGGTTTATTATAAAGGGTATTACAAAGGATGCAGATAGAGAGGTGCACAGGGCCAGGCATGTGGAAGGGGCAAGGAACTCCCTTGCCCTCCCTGGGTGTACCACCATTTGCGAACCTCCATGTGTTCAGCTATTTGAAAGCTCTCCAAACCCTGCCCTTTTGGGTTTCTATTTAAGCTTCATTGGGTAGGCATGATTGATTGAATCATTGGCTGTTGGTGATCAACTTAACTTTCAGACCCTTTCCCCTTCCTAGAGCTTGGAGGGTGTCACTGAACGTCCCAACCCTCTAATCAAGCTTTGGTCTTTCTAGTGTCCAGCCTCCATCCTGAAGCTACCCAGGGACTGCCAGCCATCAGTCACTCATTAGCATACAAAAGACATCACTTTGGAGATTCTAAGGATTTTAGCAGTTGTGTGCCAGGAAATGAGGATGTAGACCAGATATATATTTCACAATATCATACCATGTAATATAGGGTAGACAGAGATTCCAGGGAATAAGGGATGGACATCCTTTGAGGGAGGCAATATTCTGTGTACCACAATCTGTTAATAAGCTGAAGAGATTTAGGCTCAGAGAGATTAAGTAAGTTGTCCAAGGTCACAACATAATAAATGAAAGAGCTGATATTTTAACCCAGATCTGTTATTTATCATATATGCATATCTTTCACAATAACATGATCTTTCCCACAAATACCATTTGATCCTACTTAGGAAAAGTAAATAGGATGATGAGCATTGTTCAAATAGTAAATACCTATTTTTTTATTGTATATATTTAACGTATATGATGTTTTGATGTATACACACAGTGAAGTGGATACTACAGTCAAGCAAATTAACATCAGTCATCTCACATAGTTACTCTTTTTAGTGGCAGGAAAATCTCTTTTAGCAAAAATCTCAAATACAGTACAGTATTAACCATAGTCCTCATGTCATACATTAGACATCGAGACCCCTTTATCCTGCGTATCTGCAGCTTTGTATCCTTTGACCTACATCTTCACATTTTCTCCCCCGTCCACCCCTGTTTACCATCATTTTGTTCTCTAAGTATTCAACTTTCTTTTTCTTTTCTTTTTTTAAGATTCCACATATAAGTGAAATCATGCATTTTCTGTGTCTTGCCTATTTCACTCTGCATAATGTCTTCCACATTCATCCATGTGGTAGCAAATGGCAGGATCTCCTTTTTAAAGCTGAATAATATTCCATTTACGTACGTGCATGTACATATATATATACACACACACATATGTACACACACATAACTCACAGTTCATTCATCTGTTGACAGACACTTTGGTTGTTTCAATATCTTGGCTATTATTGTTTCTAAATCTTGGCTCATGCTACAGTGAACATGGGAGTGCAAGTATCTTTATGAGATGGTGATTTCATTTCCTTTGGATATCTACCCACTGGAGGAATTGCTGAGTCATATGGTAGTTGTATTTTTAATTTCCTTAGGAACCTCTGTATGGTTTTTCACAGTGGCCGCACTGATCTGCATTCCCACCAACAGTGTATGAGGTTTCTCTTTTTCACACCATCACCAACACTTGTTATCTCTGGTAACTTATTAAAGTAATAATCACATTTGCTTAATAATATCAAGAAATAGGCTATGTTATTATGAAACAGTTAAAAGCATATAGGAAGTTTATTTATTGATGTGGGAAAAGTATTTATGACTCATCATGACTTCCAGCCCCCTCCCCCACATTTCTACTTATCACTTCCTTTCTGTTACCAGTTCCTTCCTTATCCAGCCTAGATGCTTTGATTCAAATTATTTTCCGGCAAATTCTTTCAATTCCTTTGTACCTCTTTGGTCTCTCCAATCTCAGAACTGGATGAGCTCAACTACCTGCCAGTTTTTTCACTTTAATGATACGCTCAGCAGCCTTAAAATTGTCCAGCAGTCTTCCGACGTGTCTATTATCTCACTCCCTCACTCCTCACAGCATACTGCCTTCATTCTTCTCAAACCTTTTAACCCCCTATCAGTGTTATTTGATGTCTTAGCAGTTTTCCATGCAGTTGACCACAATTGACCATTGCTTCCTTTTGGAAACACTTGTCTCTTGGCCTTTGAGACAAACCCTTCCCTGGTTTTCCTTCTCCCATTCTAGTTGACCATTTTCTGTCTTCTGTGTTACCTGACATCTAAAAGAGGAAAGGTTTAGTTCTCTTGTTTTTCATCTTGTACTTTTGGTTAAATATAATCTTTTTGTGTAAGTCTTATTATCTCTAGCCCAGAGTTTGTCATCTTCAGCACTATTGACATTTTGGGCTGGAAAATTTTTTCAGTGTCAGGGGATGTCTTGTGGATTGTAGGATGCTTAGCAGCATCTCTGGCCTCTATGCTCTAACTGCCAATAGAGTTCCCTCTACCCTTATTGTGACAATCAAAATGTCTCCAGATATTGCCAGATGTCTCCTGGGTGCATAAAATCACCCCCCATTGAGAAGTACTTATGTAGCCTGAAGTTCTCTTCTGAGGATCTGGGGATAACACCTTTCTGACATCTCCACTTGAATGTCTCCTAGGCATTGCAAATTTAATGTGACCAAAATGGACTCTTGTTTTTTCTTCCATATATGCTCTCCCCCCAGATTTTCAGATTTTAGATTATTTATGATCTTGCATTGGAGGTACCAATAAAAGCCATTGGAGGCTTTTATTTGGAGTAAACTAGGGAGCCACCAGAGAGTTTTGGGCCAAGAAATGACATGATCTCACGTAGATCAGCTCTTTCTTGAGCATAGACTATGACTTGGAAGACTGAAAGCAGGAAGACCAGTTAAGAGGCTACTGTGGTAATCACAGTGAAAAATGGTAGTAGCTTGTATAAGGATGGTAGTAGGGCATATGATAAGGAGTGGCATCTTTAGTTTAGTGCTTAAACACAAATAGCCCTGAGAAGAATGCACTTGTACCTTCATGAGGTTAGTATCAGAGTATGCTTTGTTTTTCAGATGTTTTCTAAGAACTTGCAGGGAACAGGTTTTGGTGGGTCAGAATGAGAAGACAGTAGCCAAGTTCCTGGGTTCCTCCAAGCCAGAACTTCCTGGGATGTTACTTGAAGGGATTCAGGCCAGAACAGGGTTTTAAAACAAGGGACCCAACGGGAAGAGTAAGCAAGACATCCAATACTACCTGTTCTACCTCACAATCTTACTTAGGGCTGGTCCTCCCACGGTAAAACATGTACTGGGTGGCAGGGTAGATAGAACAATTGGAAGTCAGGAGTGTTTCCTTCATTAAATATAGGAAGCACATCATCTTGGGCTGGAAGGCCCTTAGCTGAAGTGAGGTGGCTATCGGCATTTGGGATGGGACAGGTTTTTGTTGTACAAGATTGCCCTACACATCTCAAGACTTGCAATAGTGTGCTCTCTCATTGTGACATCTAAAAAATGCCTCCCCACATTTCCAGACTCCCCATGGGAGTCAGACGTGTTCACCTGTATACCACTGGACTGAGCCCCCTTTGCTAATTTGAAAACTGCCTTCTGTAATAGGAAGTTAGTCAAAAGGCTATACATTCCAGGCCCTTAAAGAAAACCTGCATTACTTGTTTGGGGACTTAGAAGGTATCTACTAGTACTTTAAATTAGCATCTATGTTTATTGCTGATACATCCCATAAATGTTTTCTGTCCATGTTATGTACCTTAATATACTACTTTGTAATTCTTTTGTAGGGGTCATAGCCATTTCAGGGCCATCTCTAAAGACACTGCAAAGGACACATGCTCTAGCTGCTCTCTTCTCCGTATTGTTATATAAGGGAACCTGAATTAAAATGAATTAAGAGTTTGGATGAAAGGGCATTCCCTAGCCATCTTAGCAAAGGGAGTGGGAGTAGGATTGGAAGAGGGAGGATAATGGCCTGTATGTGAATGTTTATGCACATCATGTTTTTTAAATCAGGTCTAGCTAGTATCAAGAGCTAAATATTTTTTAATCGTATTTTTGAAAAGTAGTAGAAAATAGAACAATATTCAGATTTGTGAAGGATTGATGACTCAGTATTAGAGGGAAAACTCACCAAGGAAAAGATCTAATAGTTTTGAACATATAAAATGTAAGGTTTATTTACAATGAAAAAAATCACACAACACACTGGAGGAAATGCTTGTATCAAATGTGACTAAGGGTGAATATCTATAATATCTGAAGAGGAAGTTCTCTCGAACTTAATGAAGAAGTTTTAATACATAAGTAAACAAAGTATTTTAGCAGTTAATGATTAATAAAAAGGTGGGATTATGTTTACCGTCACTGGTAATCAAAGAAATGCCTTTTAAGTTAACCTTGAGTTATCTCTTCTATTCTTTCGAAAATACTGAAAATTAAAATAACTGACAATTCTGGAGAGGCTTTAAGGAAATGGACCCATTCAGTCTTATGTGTTTCTTGTGCTACTCCCAGCCACTGCCTTTCCCTGAACATGCTGTGCCATTTTAAATTCTTACGTCTCATCTTTATGAGTCCTTCCCCTCTTCTTTCTGTTGACTTTCCATCTCTTGAGAGCAGCATTCAGATCCTGGGGGCATCCCTTCTTACTCAGCCCTGCCAATGAGCACTCTGATTTGCATTCGGCACTGTATTGCAGCCATGGGTGTATGAATCAGTCCCTACCACTTGGCTGGGGAGTTCTTGAGGTTGGGACTGGTCAGGCCCTGCATCAGGGTCTGGTATACAAGTAATTATTCAATAACTATTGAACTAAATTATTGGATTTTGGTGAATGTTTTAATGAACTACAATATGTTAGGGTGATGGAATAACATGATCACTAAAGTGCAATTATAAGTGTAACTTATGGCAAAATTTTGTAACCAAATACAGAATGATATGTTTAGTGTAATTTCAACTGCATTAGAAAGGTAATATGCAGAAAATGAATTTTTAAATATTTTAAAGTTATAGGTAACAAACTTTTATTTCTTTATTACAATCTTTATGATACAATATATAATTTTTAAAATCAGTTGGCACACTTGACCTCCCTCTCTTCTCATCAGAATTAACCTCTCTGTGTCCTGTCCAATTATCTGATTGAACTCTCAGGAAATAGGGTGGGCCTCCCCAGAATGTGGGCTTTTAAGGATAGCTGCATTTATGTGACTGAATTAGGTCCCCAAGCATTTTTTGAGCTTTTACTGTGCCTGGGTGCATATAACTTGAAAGATATGGTACTTAGTATTTTATAGTTTGTAAATACATTCACATTATCAGCGATGAGTTCTACAGCTTTTAATAATGTCAAATATAAATGGTAGTTGTTTTTTTAAAACATTTTTTGAGTATCTACCATCTGCCAATGACTGAAATACAGAATTCCTTTAAGGAAGTCCTTGTCTGACAGGAAAGACAGACATCCATGGGCCTTTCATACAGCAAGATGAGTGTTGTAATCGTGTTGTAATGAGTGCAATGGGTTGTAGAGTGAATGGAGAAGCAGTTATTTCTTAAGAGGGCTGGTGAGATGAGATGACTGTTCTCTGGTAAGATAACTCTCGAACAGGACTTTAGAAGATGGGCAAGATTTTTGCAAGATGGATAGGAGAAAAGGGGAAAAGCATGAACAGAAAGGTAGAAGTGTAGAAATACATGATGTCTTCAGAAGCCACTAAAAGATTTTGGAGAGGGATATGACATGATTAGGTTTGTATTTGGAAAGAAAATTGAGATCAGTGATTATAACAAGGAAACACAAGAAAAGTTTTTTTTTTTTTTGCATGCTTTTCTATGTGACAATTTTGTGAGCATCCCCAGATTTTAAATTGTAACATAGATAGGACAGGCTTTACATTATGCACAGTTCTGGCCAGCCAACCATATGCCCTCTCATAGCTGTACATCAGAGTGTCCCTTCTAAAAGTCTGGGTGAACAGTGGGCTACAGGAATGAGGTCAGCTAAGAAGCCATTGCAGTGTTCCACATCACCACAGGAAGTGATGGCTTAATCAGGGCCATGATAACAGAAATGGATGGGAGGGAATATATTTGCCTATGTAGACTTGGTATCAGAGTTTTGTGGGGGTAGAGAGAAAAAGGAATTATACATCAGTGTTTCTCAGATTTTAATGTGCATGTGAATTGTCTAGGGATTTTGTTAAAAGGTAGATTTTGATTCAATAGGTCTGGCAGTGGGGCCTCAGATTCTGCTCCCAAGTGATGCCAACACTGTTAGGCCATGGTCCAGTGAATAATTAACAAGGACGAGATAACGTGGGTGTGAGACTCCGCTGGCTAGATGGTGATGTCATTATCTGAAATACCTGAAATGGGGAATACCAGAGAAAAGAAAGCTTGGGCAGGGGGATGGGGTGAAGTTTTTGTGGGACATTCAGGTATAAAAATTGTAGACAGCTGAAAGTTTGGATTCTAAGCTTGAGAGAAAAATCAAGCATAGAGACACAAATTTGGGAATAAGCATTTCGTTGCCGACATAAAAGTCATGAGAATGAGTGACATTACCTACAAAAAAGAGATAAAGTTAATATTAGAAAATATACCTATTCCTTCATCATTCAAAGGCCTCATCTTCTAAAAAGACAAATAAAGAAAATATACCTATTTGCTAAAATTTTAATGTCCATTTAAGTGACTATAAACCAGCAATGGGAAAGAAATTGGATAGGTAGCTTCCTCCCTATGAACAATCTCTAGGTGTAAATTGAGGGGAGGAGAAGTCTTCTTTGGAAACCCCCCCTTTTCCTTGGTAATGACCATAGATCAAGTTAAAAACGATTAAAGTATCTTATGAGAAATCATTCATATAAATAAATATGTGTAAAGAATCGTCAAAATGCCAGGCAGTCTTCTGACCTTAACATTAATAGCAAATGAAATGAATCCCTGAAACAGTGGAGCTTATGGGGGAGATTGACAAATGCTGTGTTAGGAAAGTATAGTGTCATGTGAGAGCACACACATCAGGAACACATGACTCAGTGTGGAGACAAGGGATGGCCTTCCTGAGGAAGTAGCATTAAGCTGAGACCAGAAGGCTGAGTGGTGGTGACCTACAAGAAGAAGAAGGGAAGGTCATAACAGTAATGACTTGGAGTGGAGAGGCCCTGCAGGTTGGAGAAGTTCAGTGTGGCTCACCATGGAGTGTCAGAGTGAGGGAGATGACTGCTGAGCTCCGAGAGGTGAACAGAGCCCCTGGTGAGGCCCACTCCTCTGGGACTTAGTAGAGAGAAGAGGGAGAAAATGATGTATTTTCCCAAGGAAAAACTGTTATTCTACTTTGGTATAGTTCAAACAACAGTCTTATGCATATGGTTTTACAAGGCTTTTATGGACTGGCCTAGTAATGACATGACTCATAGTAATGTTGTTTCTATAGGAAAAATGTTTTGGGCTTCAAAAGCTGTCTTACAATTTAACTTTCAGATTTTTTTTTTTCCATTTGGGAACCGCTTGGATAAGAGCACAATTCTAGTGTTTTTTGTTATTTCTGTTAAAAGTGTGCTTTCTCTGGTATGTATCTATGTGGCTACAGTGTTGATTTTCCGTCTTCTGATATGAATCAAAGCTATCATTGCACAGATGCAGTTGAAATGTTGTTTTATTTTCTTGACCAGATTCAGAAAGTGTATGGAAATAGAGAAATCTTTTTATAAATTGTTTAGTTTTCAAAGTGTTTGTTCTTCAAAGTTAAGGATTCCCTCTGTAAACTATATCATGGTATACTGTGTTATATACCATGAAAGTATGAAAAATGAAACTGCCATGAAAATTGTTATAAACAGAAAGTAAAAGAGATCGGTGTGTTTTCACTATTGAAGTCAAATAGAATGCAGAAGGTAAACAATAAAGGATAAAATACCTAGCTTTAAAAATACTTTAATAACCATGAGCTTATGATCATAATCGTCTTCATTACTAGCTATTGTTATCATTAGTAATACTTGATTTTTTTTTTTTTTTTTTTTTTTTTTTTTTTTTTTTTTTTTTTTTTTGAGACAGTCTCTCTCTGTCACCCAGGCTGGAGTGCAGGGGCGTGATCTCGGCTCACTGCAAGCTCCGCCTCTCGGGTTCACGCCATTCTCCTGCCTCAGCCTCCTGAGTAGCTGGGACTACAGGGGCCCGCCACCATGCCCGGCTAATTTTTTGTATTTTTCTTAGTAGAGACGGGGTTTCACTGTGTTAGCCAGGATGGTCTCAAACTCCTGACCTCATGATCCACCCGCCTCGGCCTCCCAAAGTGCTAGGATTACAGGCATGAGCCACTGCGCCCAGCCAATACTTGATATTTTAAAGCAAGAAACAGCAGCTGTTAAGGTCACTCCCTTTGTAAAATGGATCTATATGAGTTTCATTTTCTTTAATAAATGAAACTTTAGGCTGAAACTCTCAAATTCCCTTATCTCCAACATGCAAAGTTAATTTCATCCACATCTGTCTTGTGAAAGTATCTTTCTTTCTATATCAGTTAGAATGCTTTCAGCTGGTAAGTGACAGAGACCCAACTGAAAGTATCGTATGTAATAACTGCATTTTATTGTCTCATATAACTAGAAATCTGGAAGAAAGATAGTTTTTTTGTTGGCTTATATAGCAGCTAACTCTTATCATCAGACTCTCTGGCTCTGTCTTTTCATTCTACCATCCTGATAAGTTGGCTTTTGTCTTCAGACTTTTCCCCTCCTCATCTCAAGATGGCAGCTTTAACTCCAAGAATGACATACTCATATCAAAGCACCCATGACTGTAAGAAAAGAAGGTGTCTCTCTTATGTCTTTTTTTAAAATGAAGAAAACTTTCTTAGAAGCCTCCTAGAAAACATGACCTCATTAGCTAAAATTGCATCCTATACCCGTTTCTAAGCCAGTCAGTGGTGAGGGGTACGGAAGTCCTGTGTTTGGCTTAGACTAGTCAAGATTCATGGCCCTTCACTCCTCCCAAGGTAAAAAAAAAAAAAAAATAGGATTTTGTTATTCAGAAAGAAGGGAAGACTAGGTAGGCAACCACTAGTGTCTGCCGTATCTTCCAAGGCCAATTTATTTGCCTAGAGCTTTAATTCCTTTCTGCCTCTTAGAAGACTTTGTTAATAATTTCTTTTTGCGTTCATTTTCAGTCTTCTCATTCTTTTTCTTCAGGCTTATTGAAAGAAGAGTCTGCATATGCTGCCTTCATTTTTTTCCCCTCCCATTTATTCCTTAAATTCCTTGCAATCTGGATTTTGTTCCTCCTAATAAGAACCTTCCTTTCTATCAACAGCAATAACCACCTGATTCCCAAATCCTTTGCCAGTGTCTTTGTTTTCTGGATTTTCCATTCTCTGTTTCATTTGTTTGTACATTATTCTTTATTATTTCCTTCCGTCTGCTTGCTTAGGTTTAGTTTGCTTTTCTTTTTGTAGGTTCTGTCTTAAGGTGGAAGATTAGATTATCCACTTGAGATCTTTCTTTTTTAATATAGGCATTTATAGCTACAAATGTCTTTCTGGGTATTATTTTCTTTAGCTGTATCCAATAAATTTTGGTATGTTGAGTTTTAGTTCTCACTAATCTCAAGGTATTTTCTAATTTTCTCTCTGATTTCTTTGACCCATTGGTTATTTAGGAGTGTGGTTCCCTCCCATCTTTGTGAATTTCCTAAAATTCCTTCTGTTACTGATTTGTATTCTAATTGCATGCCATTGTTTCAGAGAACATTCTTTGTGTGATTAATCTCTTTAAATTATTGAAGGTTGTTTATGGCCTAGCATGTGGTCTCTTTTGGAAAATGTTTCATGTGCACTTAATAATGCATATTGCCTTGTTGAGTGGAGTGTTATATAGTTGTCTGTAGGTCTGGCTGTCTTACAGTGTTGTTCAAATCTTCTGTATTCTTGTTGATTTTCTTCCTGGTGGTTTTATCTAGTATTGAAAGAGGGAAGTCTCCAATTATTATTTTTCAATTGTGTATCCCTTCAACTGTCTTTTCTTCCTTCTCTTGTTAAGTGCATATATGCTTCTAATTGTTATACCTTCCTGATGGATTGACCCTTCTGTCATTATGAAGTGTTTCTCTTTATTTCTAGTATTATATTCTTGCTTTAAAATGTATTTTGCCTGATTCTTTTATGTTTACTGTTTGTATGGTATAGCTTTTACTTTCAACCTATTTGTATGATTGAACCTAAAATGTGTCTTCTGTAGATTTTATATAGTTGGGATCTTTGTTCTTTTTCTTTTATAAAAATACAGCCTGATAATCTTTCTTTTGATTAGATTGCTTCATCTGTTCACATTTAATGTGATTACTGATATAGTTGGATTTTTGTCTGCAGTTACGAATTTTGTTTTCTATAGGTCTCAGGTCTTTTTTGTTCTTTCCTTTCTTGCCTTCTTTTGAATTAAGTAGATATATTGTAGTGTGATGCTTTAATTCCTTTGCTACTTTTAAAAATATATATTTTGAGTTATTTTCTTAGTGGTTGCTCCAGGGTTTACAGTGTACATCCCGATTTATAAGAATTTCACTTCTGATTTATACTTACTTTCAGCAAAATAGACTTCCTCTGTTAGCTCCATTTCCTTCCCCAACTTTTTCTGCTATTATTGATGTACCTATTATGTCAAACCCAACAACACACTGTTGTAATTTTTACTTTATGTCTTTTGAAGAAGCTGAGACAAGGGAGAGCAAGTACGTATTTATAGTTAGTTGTATTGACCTCTCTATTTTTTATTTTCTTTACATATTTCTGCATATTTGAGTTAGCTCTGGGGTCATTTTCTTACTCCCGAAGAACTTTGTTCTCACCTGCTTCTTTTGTGCTGTTATTGTCTAAATGTATAGCAGTAAATGTTGTTAGCCCAATAATTAAATTATAGCTACAGTGTTTTATTGAATTATTCTTTAAATCAGTTAAGAGAAGAAAGGGGAAGAAATATGCAATTACAGTGTCTTTTGCAATAATGTACGTAATTTCCTTTACTGGCATGCTTTGTTTTTTGGGGCTTCCAATTACTGTTTGGTGTTACTTGCTTTTAGCCTGAAGAATTTCCTTTAGTATTTCTTGTGAAACAGATATTCTAGCAACAAATTTTCTGTCTTTATTTTTCTGGGGATGCCTTAATTTGACCTTTATTTTAAAAACACAGTATTGCTGGATATTAGAGTCATAATTCACAGTATTTTACTTTAGTACTTTGAATATTTAATTCCATTGCTTTCTGGCCTCCCTTGTTTCTAATGAGAAGTCAGCTGTTAATCGTATTGGGGGCTGCTTTGTACTTGTCTGGTCATTTTGCTCTTGCTGCTTTCAAGATTTTCTCCTTGTCTTTGGCTCTCAAGATTTTGCCTGTAATGTGTCTGGAAGTATATCTCTTTGTATTTATCCTATTTAGAATTTGTTGAGCTCCTTGGGGGATGTGTAGATTCATATTTCTTTTTCTTTTATCAAATTTGGAAAGATTTCAACCATTATTTATTTATTTTTTGTTCTTTTTCATTCATTTTTTTTTTTCCTCTCTCTGAGATAGGGTCTCACTCTCTCACCCAGGCTGGAGTATAGTGGCATGATCTCAGCTCACTGCAGGCTCTACCTCACTGCAGGCTTAAGCAGTCCTCCCACCTCAGCCTCCTGAGTAGCTGGAACTACAGGTGTGTTTCACCCTGCCTGGTTAATTTTTAATATTTTTTATAGAGACAGGGTCTCACCATGTTTCCTAGGCTGGTATCAAATTCCTGGGCTCAAGCAATCCTCCCACCTCGGCCTCCCAAGATGCTGGAGGTACAGATGTGAGCCGCCATGCCTAGCCTCATTATTTCTTTAAGTATTATTTCTGCCTCTTTTTTCTCCTAATGGCATCTGTTTTAGTCCATTTTCTGTTACTGTAACAGAATACCAAAGACCAATACCAATAAGGAAAAGAAATTTATTTCTTATGGTTCTGGAAGCTGAGAAGTCCAAGAGCATGGTGCGAGCCTCTGGTGAGGGCCTTCTTGCTGGTGGGAATTCTCTACAGAGTCCCAAGGTGGCACAGAGCATCACATGCTGAGAGGGCACATGAGTGAGAACAAAACTGGATTTTATAAACAGATGCACTCTTGTGATAGCTAGCCTACCTGCGTGATAACCCATTAATCCAGTAACTTATTAATCTACTAATCCATTCATGAGAGCAGAACCCTCATGACCCAGTCACCTCTTAAAAGTACTACTTCTCAATACTTCTGCATTCAGGACCAAGTTTCCAATACGGTGAACCTTTGGAGAACACATTTAAACCATAGCATTCCACCCTGGGCACCCAAAATTTATGTCCTTCTGGTGTTTAAGAATACATTCATTCCATCCCAGTAGCTCCAGAGTCTTCATTCATTCTATCATGCATTCAAAAGCCCAAAGTTCCAAGTCTCATGTAAATCAGATTTGAGTGAGACACATGGTGTTATTTGCCTTCAGGCAGATTCTTTTCAGCTGTGAGCCTGTTAAATCAAATAAGTTACCTACTTCCAAAATATAGTGGTGGAGCAGGCGTAGGACAGACATTGCCATTCCAAAAGGGAGGAACAGGAAAAAATTAAGGAGTAACAGATCCCATGTAAAACGAAAACCCAACAAGGAAAACAGCATTACATCTTACAGCTGGAGAATAATCTCCTTTGACTCCATGTCCTGCATCATGGGCACACGGGTGCAGGGTTGGGCCTCCAAGGCCTCAAGTGGTTCCACCCCGTGGCTTTACTATGCTCAGTCCATATGTCAGCCCTTGTAGGTTACAGTTGGGTGCCTGTGGCTTTCGCAGGTTGGACCTGCATGCTGGTGGTATAGTTCTGGGATCTCAGCAGCATTCCTGCTCCCACAGCTCCATTAGGCATTACTTTAGTGGGGACTCTGCTGCGGCCTTGCTTCTGGCTGCACTAGGCATTGCCCTACGAGGGGCTCTCAGCAATGAGTCTACCCTTGTTGACAAGTCTCTGCCAGGGCACCAGTCTTTTTGGTATATCCTTTGAAATCTAGGTGAAACTACCATAGCCCCACTTCTGTTACATTCTGTACAGCTGCAGAATTAGCACCTTGTGGATGCCACCAAAATTTATAGCTTGTGCCTTCCAGAGTGGTGAGTTGAGCCACACTTGCTGCTACTTGGGTCATGACTGGGGCAGCCACAGAGCATTGCTGTGGGGTGCAGGGAGCAGAGTCCTGAGGCAGTCCTGGACAGCGGGCTGTGCAGAATGCCATGGATGCCATGGGCTCCCACAAAACCATTCTGCACTCCTAGGCCTCTGGGCCTCTGATGGGAGGAGCAGCTTTGAAGATGTGTGAAATGCCTTTTGGAGTCTTTCTCTAATTGTCCTGATGAATAGCCTCTGGGTCCCTTGTATCAATATGAATCTCTTTAGCAAATGGTTGCTAGGCCACATTCTTGGTTTCCTTTCCTAAACAAGCTTTTTAAATTCTACATAGCCAGCCTGAGGAGAGTTTTCCAAATCTTTCCACTTTGCTTTTCATTTGATTATAAATTCTGTCTTTGTCATCCCTTTGCTCCCAAATCTCACTGTAAGTAGCAAAAAGTAACCACACAGTATCTTGAATGTTTTGCTGCTAGAAATTTCTTCCACTCGATATGCTAGTTCATCACTCTCAAGTCCAGCATTCCACAAACCCCTAGGGCATGGACATAGCCTTGAGGCGTGTCAGGCTGTTTGCTGCTTTGTGACAAGTGTGGCCTTTATTCCAAGTTCTAGTACCTTGCTCCTCATTTCCATCTGAGGCCTCTTCAGAATGACCTTTACATATTTCTATCAACATTCTGGTCATGAGCACTTAAGTAATCTCTAAGAAGATTCAGGCTGGGCACGGTGGCTCACGCCTGTAATCCCTGCACTGTGGGAGGCCAAGGCAGGCAGATCACCTGAGGTTTGGTGTTTGAGACCAGCCTGGCCAACATGGCAGAACCCCTCCTCTAATAAAAATACAAAAATTAGTGGGGCTTGGTGGCGCATGCCTGTAATCCCAGCTACTTGGGAGGCTGAGGCAGGAGAATCACTTGAACCTGGAAGGTAGAGGTTGCAGTGAGCTGAGATTGCACCATTGCACTCCAACTTGGGCGACAGAGCAAGACTGTCTTAAAAAAAAAAAAAAAAGAAGATTCAGAGTTTCTCTAGTCATCTTCAGAACCTTCACCAGAATCACCCTTAATGCTCCATTTATGGCAATGCAGGTTTTTTTCTATCCAGCTCCTCCACAGTCTTCCAGCTTCTACCCGTTACCCAGTTCCAAAGCCACTTCTTCATTTTCAGATATTATAGCAAAAATCCTACGTCTTGGTACCAATTTTATGTCTCAGTCTGTTTCTGTTGCTATAACAGAATACCAAAAAATAAATTTATTTCTTACAGTGTATAGGCTGGGAAGTCCAAGAGTAAGGTACTAACATCTGGCAAGGGTCTTGCAGATGGCAAGAAGTTTGTTTTGCCCCATGTTCAGCCATAGATTAGTAGCTTGGATTATTCATTCCCAGTCACTCCTGAGCGAAGCAAGCCTTGAGCATGCCCACAGTCTAGTAAACTGCCAGGGATACTTTCATATTAAAGCCTGGCTTCCTAGGAGTTGATCTTGGGGCAGAAGAGCTTATTGTTCAGCCACTGTTTGATCAGAGGTTATACTTCAGCCCCCGAGTGACAGTGAAGCTTCCTTTTTTAATTGATCTGTGTGGCTTGTGCCCATATCAAGCTCTGATTGCTCAAGTGGATGCAGCCTCCCACTTGGGCACAGCCTTCCTGACCTCTGTGTTTACTGTGAGCTGGCTGTCTCTTTTTCTAGTTCTGTTAAACTTCTGATAGTCCTAATTTGTTGGTTGCTGCTTGTATCCTGGGGCCATGAGCACCTTCTTAACTATGTCAATTCCCTCAGACAGAGCAGAGGAACTTTTTGTCCTTAAGGGCTGCTGTCTCCAGTCTGCATCTCCCCACAGGTAGAACCTTGCACCACTGCACAGAAACTGGGGGCAGGAATAGTGACTCACTTCTTCCAGAGTGACACCCCTGCTATAAAAGGGTGTTGGGAGCATGGGCATTAGCCACTTGTCTTCTTGGCTTGCCCCTATGGATATGGAACCTTTGCCCCACCAGCAAGTTGATCCAGGAGTGATAGAAGCCCAGTGTTTTCAGCCTGCTGCACCTAGAGTAGAACTTTTGCCCCACAAATGAGGGCTGGCTAGAGTAAGGAAGCCCTGGCCCTCTCAGCTGTGCCTCTACAGAATAGAAACTCTACCATAGAGGGCTAGGGAAAATGAACAGTGCCAGTGGCTTGTTCTACCAGGGTGAAAATGCAGCCCCAGCTTGGGAGCTGAGGGGAAAAGGAGCCCCCATATTCTTGACCGGACCTTCTGGACTAGAGCTCTCGAGTAAGTAAAACAGACTAAGACATAAGTCAGAGCTTGGAGGTGCAGGGGAGGTAAGGTGGGAGCAGGTCATGGCTCAAATGCCACTGACAGGCTCTTACCAAGATTTAGAATATTTTCTTGAATGCATGTTTCTCCATTTATTATATACTCTTCAAACAATTTCCAGTTTAAGTGGTTGTTTTAAACAATTTTTTTTCCAGTTAAATTGTTTTTGTTGGGGAGAAATTCTATGGCACTCTTCATTCCTCCATTCTGGAAGTTGTCTCTTGGTTTTGCTCATTAAAAAAAAAAAGATATATCTTCAATCTCTCTTAATCTATACAGGTTACTTTATAGATTCTTAATCTTTACGTTCCTTCTCCATCCCTTTAAGTTTCATACAGTTTACCTGTTGAAGAACCTGGGAGGTTTGATCTGTAGAATTTCCCACATTCTGGATTTTAATGTGTGCGTATTTGTGGTGTAGATCCACACGTTTCTCTGACCTCTATAATTCCTATAAATTGGCAGCTGTCCATGAACTGGATCAGACTCAGATTTGATTCCTTTGGCAGTTCTATACATAGAATTTAATGAAGTTTAGGATACCTCTGAATCACCTGGTGGGCTTGTAATAATAAAATGCAGATTACTGGGTCCTATGCCCAAACCTTCTGATTCAGGAGATTGGAGGTTGGACCTGAGGGTTTGTATTTCTGGCAAGTATCTGAGTGAGGCTGAGGCTGCTGGTCTGGATAACCTACTGTCAATGTTTGGTTGCATCTTTTTTTGTGATCTTAGCAGCCATTTATGCATATTATTTGTATCTATTTGTTCATTAAGGTTTGAAAAATAGTAACATTCTAATTCTTTTTATTTTTTTCATTTATTCATTGGAATATTTTTATAAAGAGATACATGTCCTTATTTCTTATTCAGTTACCCAGAGTTCTCAAAAGACAGGTAACATAAATTCTTGATTTTTTCCCTTTGATATATTTCTTAAGATAATGAATTGGTTCTCTATCATCTCTTAAAGGTGACCAGTTTTTTAAGAATATTATTATGAACTTTTAGAATTTAACGTATTAGTTAATTCATTTCAAGTATTACCATCACTGAAGCTCAAATTATTCCATCTTTGGCCAATGGAAGCCTCTTAAACTTAGCTCCTGAGTCCTAGATTCAGCTATTTCTCTTAGAAGCCCTACTGTTTAAGGGGTGATCATGTTTTCTCTCAGCCCTTTCTGTAGACAGAGATCAGAAGTATGTGCACATATTGAAGATAAAATAAAAATATTTCATAAGTTTATATTGGTGTTTCCAATTCAAACTTGAGACTATGGTGGAGATGATAGTGTGTTTAAATCTTCTTTCTGTATCTCTTTCCTCTGTTTTCAAGGATATGAGTGCTTATAGAACTGGAAAGTCCTACAATTATGTATTTTCATCCTATAGTGCACACACAACAGTCTCAGAATGACAACACCACAATACTACTCAAAACATTAAAATCCATATTTTTGCATACATTCTCGCCCCCTTAATCACATTTAGGACTGGAGATGTCTTCTGAGACTTTAGTTTATTCAGCAACCATTTAGAGCATCTTCTCTGTCTCACACTCACTGCTAGAAAGGGGATACAAAGAGATGTAAGATATGTCCCTGTTCTCTGAAAGCTAAGGGTCAGGGTTATTGGGTTATGTATCATTCTGGTATAGGAAGATGTGGCCATAGAATCTGGGATTCTGTTCTTCTTTAAAAGAAGTTAATGCTAATGTTAATTCTTCTTTACTTGCATGTTTCTTAAAATAAAACCCTTTCTCTCTACTCTTATCAGGGAGCAGCTTCCTTTTGGTGGAGCTCCTTAAATACTTTCTAATCTCCCTTACGTAGTATATTATTAGTCAGGGTTCTCCAGAGAAACAGAGAGAGAACAAGAGAAAGATATAGAGTTTATTTTAAGGAATTGGCTCACAGGATTTTGGGAGTTGGCAAATCAAACATGTAGAATACAGCAGCAGGCTATATACTTAAGTAAGAGTTGGTAATGGTCTTGAGTGTAAAAATTGCAAAATAGGCTAGTAGGCTGGAAACTCAGCATTTCTATGTTACCATCTTGATGTAGACTTGCCTCTTTTTCAGGTAACTTTTATCTTAGCTGTTGAGGCCTTCATCTGATTGAATAAGGCCCACCACAGTATGGAGTCTGCTTTATTTCAAGTCAACTAATTATAAATGTTAATTACATCCACAGAGACCTTCACACAACATCTAGATTAGTGTTATACCAAACAGCTGGCCATCATAACCTATCCAAAGTGACTCATAAAATTAACTGTCACATCTAGGTTAACTGTTTATTGCCAAAATTGATATTCTTTCTAAAAAACTGTAAACTTATATAATTTTATTGCTTGACTGACAAATTGGTTTCATCATATTGGCGAACCTATAAAATAGTCCTATTAAGAAATTATTTTAAAAATAAAGTTATTTCTAAAACATATTAACATATAGCTATATTCATTAAAGCAAAACTGTTTTAACATTAAAAATAGCGTAAATATAATTCTCAGTAAAAGCTTACATTATTTAGTTTCTTAGCTATAATTTGTACTAATATATTTATTAGGTACAATAATTATAATCTTGTTATCTCTCTCTTTCTCTGGAGAACCCTGACTAATAATATACTACATAAGGGAGATTAGAAAGTACTAAGGAGCTCCACAGAATACAGCTCTCTGTATTTTCCTGGAAAAAAAATTTTAAAAATACGGTTGTATTTTATCTTTAATTGCTTCATAAAATTGTAGTCTTTTTCAGGTTGCATTTTGTGATTGCTACATTTGAAATTATTGATTTTTTTCAAGTTACTGTTTTCTATATAAATTGTGATTTTTAAATTTGAGAATGTAATCTCTATGTCGATAATGAGGTACCTGGTAAGTTCAAAGCAAATTCTATTAAATTTTATTTTGTAATAGTTTAATATGTAAATATTCTAGCACATACATTTTCAAAGCTACTATTAAAAAAAACAGTAAACTCGATTTACAGCACCTTTATTCAATAAAATTTTTATGACAAACTTGTCAAATAAATTGTGTCTATTATGGAAATCTTTTAAACATCTTAACCAAATTTAGATGCTGCTAAATTGTAGGCATTCTCAAGTTCATTTTATTCTAGTACATAATATAAACTTATTTAAGTAAAAAAGTAAGTTCGCCATAAAAATTAAATCTTGAATAAAAGATTTCTGTCTTAGTTTGGGCTGCTCTCTCAAAATATGACATACTGGGTGGCTTAAACAACAATTCATTTCTCCCGGTTCGGAAGGCTGGAAAGTCAAAGATCAAGGCACCAGCAGATCAGTTTCTGGTGAGGGCCTGCTTCTTGGTTTGCAGACCTGGTTTGATCTTCTCATTATGTCCTCACATGGCCCTTCCTGGGTGTGTGCACTTGGATGGGGGGTGGTGGGTGGGGAGAGAGAGAGAGATCTGTTTCTTTTTATAACAGCATTAATCTCATCAGGAGGGCCCCACCAACATGACCTAATCTAACGCTAATTAAAGGCACTACCTCTGAATACCATCACATTGGGTATTAGGGCTTCAGCATAAGAATTTAAGGTGACACAAACGTTTAGTCCATAGCTATTTTCAACTGACTTTGAATGTAATGTTTGAATGAAAATCATCCGTTATGTTGATGATTTTGCAAAGTCTAAGCCTCAAAGAATTCTAAGATAGATAACAAAAAGAAAACATGGACTATCATGCTGGAATTTTTTTTTTTTAATTCAGCATCAGCTTTGTCACAAATATTTTAGTTTTTTTTTTTTTTTTGAGACAGGGGTGTACTCTGTTGCCCAGGCTGAAGTGCAATGGTGTGATCACAGCTTACTTCAGCCTTGACCACCCAAGCTCAAGCAATCCTCCCATCTCGTCCTCCCAAAATGTTGGGATTGCAGGTGTGAGCCACCACACCCAGCCTTAGTTCAATTTTTTTAACCCTGTGTGTGTGTATAAACGTTTGTAAATTTTAATTGGTAGAATGTCACATCTTTTGTGGATTCAGTTGTAAAATATGTTTCCCCCAATTTTGATTGGTAATATATTGCAGTTTTGGGCACAGCTGTGAATTATATGTGAACCACAGCCAAGTCCAAGTTTATTTCTGTTTCACCATTTTTTAAATTTAGTAAGAACATTGTTCTTTCTATGATGCTGTACTCAACCAAGGTTTGTAATTGTGTTATCACTGTAAAAACAAATAGAATTGACCCTTATTATTCACAGATTTTGTTTTCATGAATTCGTCTGCTTACTACAGATTGAGCATCTCTGATCTAAAATCAGAAATGCTCTAAAATCCTAAACTTTTTGAGTGCCAACATGATGCTCAACACAATCCTCAAGGGTCATGCGCAAATGAAATACTCATGGGAGCATTTTGGATTTCAGATTTTTGGATTAGGGATACTCAATAAGTATATAATGCAAATGTTTCAAAATTTTTAAAAACTCTGAATTCAAAACACTTCCGACCCCAAACATTTCAGGGTAAGGGATACTGAACCTATAAAATTTATTTGTAACTGCAAAATCAATACTCATGACACTAGGCATTCAACTGAGTGCATGACTGCAAATGGTACAGAATGGTGAAAAATTTGGATTGCTCAACACATTCCTAGTTGACAAGCTGATTTCCTTCAGCTCTCATACGGTAAACAAGTCTCCTTTTTGTGGTTTATATAGTGCCATGATTTTTGCTTTTTTAGGCTTATGATTTCTGTGTTTAAAATGACTACCCAGTGTGGAACTGAAGTGCTGTATATTGCGCCTAAGTGCAAGAAGGCTGTGATGTGCCTTAAGGAGAAAATGCATGTGATAGATAAACTTATAGTGCTGTTGGCTATGAGTTCAGTGTTAGTGACTCAACAGTGAACAGCCATACATTGCTTAACAACAGGGTTAAATTCTGAGAAATGTATCATTAGGTGATTTTGTCATTGTGAAAGTATCATAGAGTGTACTGATATGAATCTATAGCTTACTATACACGTAGGCTATTTGGTATAGCCTCTTGTTCCTGGGCTACAAACCTGTACAGTGTGTTACTATACTGAATTCGTAGGCAATTGTAACACAATAGTAAATATTTATTTATCTAAACATAGAAAATGTACAGTGAAAATATAGCTTGATAATCTTATGGGACCACCTCCATCATATATGCAGTCTGTTGTTGACTGACACATCATGCAGTGGATGACTATATATTAATAAGGTATCTTGAAACAGAAATATACATAAAATGAGGTTATGTTTGATCAGCTAATTAAAATGTAATCAGAGGCTCTCAGGAGCTCTCAGGAACCCAACCCTGAATTTCCCTTATGAGTAAACAGTTTGGTATTCCCTAATTCAGTGTTCATGGTGACTTCATAGAACTTAACTACTGTGAATAAGGAGAACCAACGGTAATTTTGTCTTTGTTGTTGAACTTCTAAACTGATTTTTAAGTAGCAATTAAAGCAATGTCAAGTGTTTCATATTCTACAGAATGAACTTCCAAAAGCTTTACTTTGGTTTCATGAATTAGATGAAATCATCAAACCATTATTGGAATTAACTGATTTTTCTGGTTGGTACATCTCCTGATGCTGACAGAAAGCTGGCAACATTTAACTGTGAGTTTTTCTGTTAATGGAGCCAACCAGTTTTCACTTTACTTTGATGATGTAAAAGAGACGCTTTAGAATCAGAACTAAGTGCATTTTTTTAAAAAGTCATTGGATCTAGATGAAAAGTCATGCTTTAGAGAATAATACGTAAAACACTTTCTCTGTCCTGTCTGCTTTCATTAAATCCGTGTCTTTAAGCTAGCCATGAGCAGGGAGCAGTATTCAGTATTTCTTCTACCTTCATTCAAGACTGGAGGAGTTAGCTGTCCCTACCTGCTCCTGCCTAGGTATACTTTTTCTGCATGGTGCCTGGGTGCTGTCTTTAAGAATGAAGTATCAGTTACAGTACATTTAGTACATTTAGAAATGGGTTACTGCTAGGTGTCTTAAAGATTTAAGCAAGTTGCGAAATTGACAACTGGCTTCATTGCACATGCATCTCACACATGGCTCAATGAGATTATGGCAGAGCCTAAAAGTACAAGTAAGTCTTAGCATATTTTAATGCTATCATTAAAAAAAATCATTAGAAAATGAAAAATCCAGGACAAATGGTAAATTTGTGGGACACTGGGACAATGGCCGTAAATTGGGACTGTCTCAGGCAAACTGACACACTTTACTAGACATGTGTCCTTTTAAAAATCTTCAAATCCCAAACTCTTGATTACTGTTTTCCTGTCAAAAAGGCTGCGCCCTGAATATGAATCACTTGTTTGTGACTGTTTACTAATTTCCACAGTATTATGCACATGGAAAAGAATGTGAAGCATTCTTCTTAGCCAGTTTTATTCATTGTGGCATTTCTTTTTTTCTGGAACATTTTCTATTTATCTTAAAACTTTTATTAAATTTTGCATGCTTTCATTTTTAAACTAAAGACATGTAATCAACTATGGAATTATTTTCTTCTACATTAGTTCTTTTATTATCTTAATAAAAATATACAGTAATTAAAAATGAAACTTGAAAAGAAGGCACCTTTTACATATATTTGATGAAAATGGATTATCTGAATATGATTATAATAATACTTTGTATTGTTACAGAATTAATTAAAAGGATTTACGGTATATCTTATGACTCTACAGGAGCCTTGGGATATAGGTAAGTGACAAGCATTTTTTGAAGAGAGATTTCTGAAACATTAAGTAATTTGATCTCATAGGTTCCTGGCAAAGTAGACAGTGGGGCATATCTTACTTCAGCAATTAACTCTTTTCTCTTCAGTATAACATTTGTAGAAATATCACATTTACATGAATCTTCATGTAACATTTCCCTAATAGCTAACAAATCATATTTCCCAGGGAATTTTAGGCTTATTTGTATAATAATTACAATGAAGATATTGTTTATAAGACATAGAAGTATGGCATGTAGCAAAATTTAGAGCATTAGAAAAAATAATTAAATGCAATATGGTACCCTGGGTTATACCTAGGAACTAAAGAAAGACAGTAGAAAAACAGGTGAAATATAAATGAAGTCTATAGTTAATAGTAATCAATTAGAAATTAATCAATGTTAATTTCTTAGTTTTGACAAATGTCCTGTGGTTATGTAAGATGTTTAACTTTATGGACAACTGGATGAAGGGTGTATAGGAAGTCTATACTATTTTTGTATCTATCTTGTAAATCTAAAATTATTTCAAAATAAGTTTACTTGAAGCACAAAAGTCAGTTTATTGATTCAAAATGTATAGTTTAGAAGTAGATTTTCTGGACCATGGTTTAAAAAAATAAAAAAAATAATTTGAAAAATCCAGATTACATAAAAACGATTCAAGGAAATACATGGCTATAGGTTTCATTTTTCAGTTTATAGGAAGTATGCAATTTTATTTTTTTAACATTGGTGATATGCTTTGGATTTGTGTCCCTGCCCAAATCTCATGTCAAATTGTAATTTCCAATGTTGGAGGAGGGGCCTGATGGGAGGTGATTGGATCATGAGGGCGAATTTCCTTCTTGCTGTTCTTGTGATAGTGAGTGAGTTCTCATGAGATCCGGTTGTTTAAAAGTGTGTAACACCTCCCCCTTCACACTATTCCTCTTCAGCCATGTAAGATGTACCTGCTTCCCCTTTGCCTTCCGCTGTGGTTGAAAGTTTCTTGAGGCCTCCCCAACCATGCTTCCTGTGCAGCTCGAGGAACCATGAACCAACTAAACCTCTTTTCTTTATAAATTACCCAGTCTCAGATAGTTCTTTATAACAGCGCAAGAAAGGACTGATACAATGGGCATGGTGTTTGCGGACATCTCCTCGTACTTGGTTACAGGCTTTCTCTTTGATACTTTAAGCCACTTGTGTTCTTTGGTCCTTTTGTGTAACTTTTTCTGTTATTCCAAGCAGGCCCTTTAAATGGTTCCCAGTACACTTCTTTTTCTTTTCTTTAGTGTATTGTTTAGAGAAAAAAGTCCAATAATGTGACTCAGTGGTTTGGGGTTGAGACCCTGTTAGTGTAGTTTTGTTCAGTCACACTACTTGAGCTTCTAGGTCAAGTAGTAGACATGGTAGATGTATTGTTAACAAGTACGAATAAAGATGAATATAATTCTTACATATCCATTTCTGTAATTGAGCTAAAATAATACAGAATCTATTGCTGTCAGATAATAGAAATTCTCAGTTTCTAAAATGGACTCTAGCATGATAACTATTTTAAATTTCTATAAATATTAAAAGACTTATAAGAAGGAAACTTTGTAGTTTGCTGAAACTCTTATGTAACTTTTCATTAATAAAAGTAAAGTAGCCATGCAGGTCTTGTAGATGGTTTCCTGCTTCTGCTGCCAAATTTAATGATTTTAGTTAAATTTCATAAAGGGAAATATAAATATATTATACTTAAAGGATATAGACACTTAAAACAACAGACCCATGCCTGAATAACTCTTGCAGAATAATTGTCCGGCTTGGAAATTTCTGTGTTGCTTGGTAGTCTTTAGCCAGAATTGGTGTTAACAGTCTCATGTTAATAGAATTATAGTTAAAGAATTATAATCTATTTTTTAGTTGTTTAACATGATTGTGCTAACCTTGGTTGGGAAGTTGAGAAAAAGACAGGATGGCCGGGCGCGGTGGCTGATGCCTATAATCTCAGCACTTTGTGAGACTGAGGCAGGTGGATCACGAGGTCAGGAGATCGAGACCATCCCGGCTAACATGGAGAAACCCCGTCTCTACTAAAAATACAAAAAATTAGCCAGGCGTGGTGGCAGGTGCCTGTAGTCCCAGCTACTCAGGAGGCTGAGGCAGGAGAATGGTGTGAACCCGGGAGGCGGAGTTCGCAGTGAGCCGAGATCGCGCCACTGTACTCCAGCCTGGGTGACAGCGCGAGACTCCATCTCAAAAATAAAAAAAAAAAAAAGAAAGAGAAAAAGGATGGTTTTCTCAGGCCAAGTTTAAATTACATTGATCATGTAATAGTTCACACAAAACAAGCAAACAAGAAAAACTTATTATTCTGTGCTAGAAGAGCATTAAAAGTATTGTTTTTAGGGACATGCTTACCATTCAGCTGATTGTAATTTGTGGTCATCAAAGTGTAAATAAGAATAGCTAGTATATATTGAACTTTTTTTTTTTTTTTGAGATGGAGTCTCGCTCTGTCACCCATGCTGGCGTGCAATGGCACAATCTCGGCTTGCTGCAACCTCCACCTCCCGGGTTCAAGTAATTCTCCTTCCTCAGCCTCCTGAGCAGCTGGGATTACAGGTGCACGCCACCAGCCCAGCTAATTTTTTTTGTATTTTTAGTAGAGACATGGTTTCACCATGTTGGTCAGGCTGGTCTCGAACTCCTGATCTCATGATCCCCCTGCCTCGGCCTCCCAAAGTGCTGGGATTACAGGTGTGAGCCATCACGCCCGGCCTGAACATTTTCTATGTACCAGGCACTTTACTTACATTATCTCATATAATCTTCATAATTACCTATGAGATAGGCTGGAATTCCCTTTACAGATGAGGCTGAGAGAGAAGAGCTGTCTCCAGTCTAATTCTGAGATGGGGAGGCGGACAGAACAAGTGCCTATTATGTACAGTACCTACTGTTTGTTCATGATATAAGCAGCTCCCAGGAAATGCTGTCATGTTTCCATAAACACGTAGTAAACTTCGGATTATTTCAGCTTTTCTAGGTAAGAATATCTGATCACACTGGGTGACCTAGAGTGGATTCTCCTGGGGTGAGCAGCCTGGAGTAAGGACTTGTGTTTCTTGTCTAGCTTTACTCTGGCTCATTCTGCAGTCCCCTAACATGTCAGTTGTTCTCTGTCACCTGATTAATTGCTGAACACTCATTCATTGTGTGCTTCGTTGATCATATGCCAAGAACTTTTGGCAGCTCTGGGGAACATGCTCTCCACGTGCCTCCTGGTAACTGTTGGACAACTAGAAGTTCCTAGCTGTTGTGAAAACTTTGATCCAGAAACTGCAACACATGCCAGAGACCAGGGATGGGGTAGTTGAACAGCTGACAGGTGAAATGTAGCTATTCAGATTGTTAGTTGGTCAGGAGTCAGAAATAGAGTAGGCATGTGACTCTAAAAAGTGGTTTTTGAAGAGGATTATGATGGTTGGCTATGGACTTCATAGTTTGTAGACATAAAATAATTCTAACTTCTTTTTGAGGAAGAGTCATAAAAGTACAAAATCTCCTTTGCTATCTTCTCTTCTTTATGGTCTCTAAAAGTTGACATTTCTCAGGGCTCAGTCCTTAGCCTTCTGTATTTATTTTCCACACGATCTCATATGATCCCATGTTTTAAATGCCATCTGTTCTCCCAAATTTACAATTTCTTTACTTTGGTCTCTCCCATGAGTTCTAGACTTATTTTTATGTCTTTTCAACATCTCCATTTTGGAGTCTAATAAACATTTCAAACTTAGTATGTCTAAAATGTAAATCTTGAACTTTTCTCCCTGGGTAAGTGATATACCCAGTTGTTCCAGGCCAAAAACTCAAAGTCATGTGTGACTTTTTATTCCATATCCCACATCCAGTCCATTAGTAAGGCTTATATGCCTGCCTTTCAAAATGTATCCCAAATTACTCCTACCCCACTCCTCACCCTTACTGCCCTATTGTAAGTCACTGTCATAAGTCACCTAGGTGATAATATCGTCTTCTAACCGGCCTTCCTTATCTCCTCATTGTATCTCTCCAGTCAGTCCTCCATATAGGAGTAAAAGGTGTTTTTTTTTTTTTTTTTAATGTTAAACAGTTTCTGTCATTCCTCTGTTCAGAACCCTTCAGTGGCTACCCAGCACACACAGGATGAAACGTTGTCTCACATGTTCTAACAGGCCTGCTGACTTTATCTCCTGTCACTCACTGTCTTGCTCACTCTCCTCTAGCCACACATGCCTTCTTGCTATTCCTTAGATACTCCCAAGTCCATTTGTAATCAGCTAGCTTCTCCTGGTTCCGTGATCCCACACCCCTCACTCCAACCAGTTTAGCCTAGTACCAGTGGAGGTAGATTTAGAGAGAAGAAAAGTGCATATCCAAGACTCTCTAGCACATGTATCAGTAGAGTCACAATAAAAATATTACAGCTTTAGCATTCCTAGTTTTGGTAATTTGGATTGCTTTCAAGAATAAGAAGGACTGGATTTAGATCTACAGAAAGTCATAGCTAGAATCAATGGGGAAAAGTTACAGAGAGAGATTTCTCCTCAGTTTAAAGAGTGCTACAAAGAGACTTAGACTCCCACACAATAATAGTGGGAGACTTTAACACCCCACCGTCAATATTAGATCAATGAGACAGAAAATTAACAAGGATATCCAGGACTTGAACTCAGCTCTGGACCAAGAAGTCCAGATATGTCAAAGATCAGATGGTTGTAGATGCATGATGTTATTTCTGAGGCCTCTGTTCTGTTCCATTGGTCTATGTATCTGTTTTGGTACCAGTACCATACTGTTTTAGTTACTGTAGCCTTGTAGTATAGTTTGAAGTCAGGTAGCATGATGCCTCCAGCTTTGTTCTTTTTGCTTAGGATTGTCTTGGCTATGCAGGCTCTTTTTTGGTTCCATATGCAGTTTAAAGTAGTTCTATCCAGTTTTGTGAAGAAAGGCAGTGGTAGCTTGATGGGGATAGCATTGAATCTATAAATTACTTTGGGCAGTATGGCCATTTCCGTGATATTGGTTCTTCCTATCCATGAGCATGGAATGAAAACTGAAATTACTTTTTGTTCCGTAAGCTGCAGGATGGATATCATGTTAGCAGGCATGAAAACAACATTAATGTCCTTGTACATCTCCATTAGAGCTGTTGGGTGACTAGGTGCATTTTCATTGAGCAATAATATTTTGAAAGGAATCTTTTTCTCTGAACAGTGACTCTCAACAGTGGGCTTAAACTATTCAGCAAACCATAGTGTAAACAGACATGCTGTCATCCAGGCTTTGTTGTTCCATTTACAGAGTAGTGTAGATTTAGCATAATTATTCATGGCCCTAGCATAATTCTTAATGGCCTCAATGCAAATGAAACAGCCTTATATTCGAAGACGATATCATATAAGACTTTCATAGCTAGAGAGGGAGAGTCAATGCTTGGCTTCAAAGCTTCAAAGGAGAAGCTGACTCTCTTGCTAGGGGCTAATGCAGCTGGTGACTTGAAGCCAATGTTCATTTACCATTTTGAAAATAATACACACTAGAAATATGGATAAACTTCAAAAACATTATACTGAGTAAAATAAGCCAGATACAGAACACCACAACTGATTCCATTTACTGCTCTAGGTTAGTATATCAGAAGTGTGAGAAGAGATAAATTTACTGTATGGTGACAAACAGTGGACAAGTTGTTGCATGCAGCTAAGGGTGGGTTGTGACTGATCTGGAGGCAGTACAAGGGAACTTTTTGGGATAATGGTTGTGTTCTATATCTTGATTCTGGTGGTGATTATATGGAGATATAAATTTGTCCAAACCCACTGAAAAGTACACTTAAAATTTATATATTTTATTATATGTAAACTATTATCTCAGTAACAATGCTTAAAAAAACCCTGGTACACAAATTTTGAAAGTTGTTTTACTAGCAAAAGATTAACTTCTGTCTAATGTTAGAAGACCTTTGTGTAATGCTAAAACTTAGTCATCCTGAAAAATCCATTTAGATAAATCAGTGTATACAATATACATAAAGAATATATGAATTAAAAGTCCCTAAATAAGGAAAGAGAGTAGACGAATTCTCAATATACTGTCTAGTCTGTAGTTTGATGTATTGGAATCCTCGGAATGAATTGGTGTACATTTCCAGTTTCTTGAATCGATGTTTGGTAGTACCCTGGACACTAAGAAGCAGCCAGATAAAATGAAATAATTACAACTGGTTCTTGGTTCTGCTTTCGTGTTCTTAACTTCTTGAGTTGACTTTTATTTCATGTTTTTTAACTAGAAAAACTGGTTAGAAGACATACCAACATACCAATGTCCCTTAGAATCTTTTTTTTTTTTTCGGAGACGGAGTCTTGCTCTGTCACCCAGCCTGGAGTGTAGTGGCACGATCTCGGTGCACTGCAACCTCGGCCTCCCAAGTTCAAGCAATTCTCTGCCTCAGCCTTCTGAGTAGCTGGGACTACAGGTGCCCGCCACCATGCCCGGCTAGTTTTTGTATTTTTAGTAGAAATGGGGTTTCACCATATTAGCCAGGCTAGTCTCGAACTCCTGACCTTGCGATCCGCTAGCCTCGGCCTCCCAAAGTGTTGGTATTACAGACGTGAGCCACCGTGCCGGGCCCAGAATCTATTTCTTCCTTTAGGAATGGATCCCCTAGAGTTTAGCTAAGCACATGGCTCCCTATCTAGAAACTGTGCTTCTCTGCTTCTTTTACAGCAACATGTGGCTGTGTGACTAATGAGAGGTTAATGGTAATGTGTGTAAGATCACCTCTGTTAAGACAAGCCACTTACCCTAGACTTTCTTTTTTCCTTTTCTGCTGGCTGGGATGTTACACCAGTTACAGTAGCCATCTTAGTTGGAAACTACTTTGGAAACCACGTGGAAGATGGCAGGGCCAGCCTGGGTCCACAGATGATCTTGTGAAACACACCTTCCCCTGTCACCCCATATTTTGGCATGAAAAAGAAGAATTTCTTTCTCACTTGAGCTACTTTTGAGTCTCTTTGTTATGGCAGAAAGTTTATACGCTAATATAAAATGGAAAGCATTTCAGAGTTTTAAGTTTTTCTTTATACTGTTTGCTATATTGTCTATATATTGGTATGGTATTCTCAATTAAAGTAGTTTTTAAAATACATATGATTACATGCCAAGAGTTCCTTTTTGATTAATTATTTGAGAGAATGTTTTGCAAATTTCCAAGTTACTTTTAAGCTTTTGGTATTAATAATAGAATGATGTTAATATATGGCATTCTGCTTTTCTAGATTTTTATGGTTGTATTTCTGGACTAGCCTATGATCAGTTTTCGTAAAGTTACACAGACCTTTTTAAAGAAGTTTTCTTTATGAGATACCTAAATACCTATTATGTTGTTGAACTTTATTATTTTTTTGTCTGATCTCTCAAAGGCTTAAAGTTGTAAATCACTGATTTCTTCCGTCAATTTTAATTATTTGTAGTTCTATAAGTTTTTATTTTGGTGTATGTGTTAATGTGTTATGTGTTATTTACTGTCAGCATCTCAATTGAGGATTATACCTTTTATCAGAGTAATATGACTTCTTTTTTTTTTTTTTATTAAATAAAGGGTCTTGCTTTGTCACCAAGGCTGGAATGCAGAGGCACGATCATAGCTCATTGCACCTTCCAATCTCTAGGGCTCAAGTGGGCAATCCTCCTGGCTAGCTGGTACTATAAGTGTGCCACTACACCTGGCTAATTTTTCCTTTTAATTTTTTGTAGAGATAGGGCCTTGCTATATTGCCCAGACTGGTCTTGAACTTCTGGCCTCAAGCGATCCTTCTGGCCTAGCCTCCCAAAGTGCTGGGATTACAGGTGTGTGCCACTGCACCCAGCCATGACTTTCTAATTTATGACTTGTGTTTTGTTTTAGCTGACATTGATATTGCTACCTTAGTTTATATTTCTCCATAAATCTGTGCTTCCCGTTATATTTACACTTTCTTTGTCATTACTTTTAGATATGTTTCCTAAAAGTAGAACATACTTGGATTTTATTTTTTATCCTAAAAAGAACTTTGTCTCTTAACAAATATTTAATGCATTTAAATTTGTTTCCAAATTGTTCTGATTGGTTTTATTGATCTTTTCAGCTTTTTGTTTGAAATTCTTCCTTGTTTTCATTGTGTTTTGGATTTTTTGCTGTTTTGATTTAAAGTTTTATGTTTAATTTGGTTTTCATTTTTAACTTATTGTGCATCTAAGGCTTTGAAAACTAAGGATTATTTTAAATATTTTTTTAACTTTAAATTTATATGACACCTATCATTAACAGTTAAGAATAGGATGGTATCTCTTGATAAATGAGAAATTTAATATGTTTTTACTTATCTGCTTCTCTGTTTTCATTAATATGATCTAAGATTTTTAACTCAAGACTGTTACTAAATTATAATTTTAAATAATTTATGCACAATTTATTTTATTAACTTTTATATGGGCATAAAGAATATGAAAACCCTAAGTTGTCACAACCTTAATTTCTACTTTTTCAAGTATTTATCAAAAGGAATCTTAAACCATCAAAATTATATTCTGATATCCTATTACTTATTATTTTGATTTATTTTCATATTATATCTTTAAAAAATACTGTTTTCATTTTTTCTGTTGCCCACATTCGAACTATTTCTTTGCTCATTAGACTAGGAGAAAAGAAGTAGAAATAGTCAGATGTGAAATTAAGATACCAAATTATGTATTTGGTATTTTCTGTAGCAAAGTCTAAGGTCTGGAACATGTTTAGGATTATTGGATTAATGGATTTTATGGTGATGGGTTTTATGGGGAGAATTACCAGTTATTTAGTAGCTTGTAAGCTTGTGTCCTAAGATGTCCCTGTCAATTACTGCATCAGGTAACACAGGGCGTGGCACTTAGATTCTCATTGGTATTTGTTCAGTGACAGAAGCTGTCCTCTATTGCTTTCGAGTCTCTAAGACTGTTTTCCCCATCTTGAATGTGCCTAGTCATCTGACCTCCTCTCAAATGGGCACCAACTTCATTCTCTCTGTATAATAAGGGACCTTGTATGGGGCTTTCCTAGTTTTTTTCAGAACATGCTTGAGGACCATTTAGGGAAGCAGGGTCTTAGAGGACATTCAGTCTTGTCTTGGAAACAGTGGGGAAGGAAGAACTCTGTAGCAGTTGCTAGGGGTAATATTATATCTTTAAGAAAACAATGCTGTCACTAAGTTACTTTTAGACATGGAAGGCTTCTCTTTAATTTTTTTTTCTTTTTTAGTGGATGATTATGTAGCTAGACTACCAAGAGGTAGGGAGTGAAGTAAAGCTGAGAACAGCCTCTCCAGGATTATCAGGTTAGGGTGAAGTTCTTGGCAAGAGACTGGATTTAGTGTGGTATTCTGGAAAGCACATGGGCTGAGGAGGCAGGAGACCTTTATTCTAATTTTGGTTCTCTGTTCTTGTTTCTAACTGTGGCAAACCATTTAACTTTTGTGAGTCTCAGACTAGATTTATTAAATGAGGAATCTGACTCAAAGATCCTTTCTAACTTTAAAATTCTGTGTCTGACCAGAGGACCAGGGTAGAACAAGGAGGTTTCTACTCAATAGCATTTTTATTTTTAATTTCATTTTGTAAAGTCAAGAGGAATAAACCATTTATCTTACTGCTTTGAACAGGAGGATTAGAAGAAGGAATCATATATGGCTCACATGTTTATGTTCTGACTTCGTATTAGGTAAGTGACATGACGCATGTTGCAGTCGATTGTCCCTATTGTAACACATGGAAATAATCTGGTACTAGAGTGACTCAGAGGAATGTTTGTTGTTGTTGTTGCTTGTTCTGTTTTTGTTTTCTTGAAACGATTTTACTCCATCACCCAGGCTAGAGTGCAATAGCTTGATGATAGCTTACTGCAGCCTTGAACTCCCAGGCTAAAGCGATCCTCCCACCTCAGTCCCCTGAGTAGCTGGGACTACAGGCACGCATCACCAGCCTCGGCTAATTTTTTTATAGAGATGGGGTCTCCCTGTCTTAAACAGGCTGATCTCAAACTCTTGGTCTCAAGCAATCCTCCTGCCTTGGCCTCCCAAAATGTTGGGATTATAGGCCTGAGCACCTGCACCTAGCTGGGAATGTTAAATCACCATTTTTTCCTGGAGAAAACTTGACAGAACTATTTATCTAGATTCCCAGAAGGTTATCACCTTTTCCACTGGGATATGTGTGTGTCTCAAAATTGAGGGTACTGGGAGGTAGGCCTGTTGTGTGCTACCAATCAGCCATTAGGCTGCAGGTCACACTGAACATCTTTCATTGAACTCCTGAGTGGTGAAACGGCTGCTAGCACTAAAGTTGTGTTTCACAAGGGCAGTAACACGATGCTGCCCTAGCTGGCTATCTGTTGTAAGTTGAGCTGGGCATGGTCACACGCAGGGTGGGCAGAGAGAGTTTTCAAATAATGAACATGTCACAGTTGTGAAAGAGCTGGGAACGAGTGCTGACTGAATAAAATCTATGCAGCAAAGGGTGACTCTTTTTGAAGAAAGACTTTGTTCTGCCCGGATTCTGGAGGAAGAGCCACCGGAACAGCACAGAAAAGACTGGACAGTGGGCTTTGGTCGCTTTTCTTCTCTGTAGTCATCACATTGAGGACTAAAAATTAGTTGAAAAGTTTTATTTCCCTCTCTATCAAGAGCTTCCGGGGGTGGGAGAGAGTTGTTTCATTTCAGAAATGTGTTTTGTTTTAGTAAACACGTATCATGAATTGAATAAATGCAAATAAAATTCAAAATAAATTAGAAACTTGAATTTAAAAATATATGTGATAGGCTTTTAAGTGCCACTGTATGGTAGGCTCTGGTAGGGATGCAGAGATCAACATTCAGTAAAGTCTGCCCTCAGGAACTTGGGTGAGGCCAACATATAAATGGCTAATATTTATTATGTTTCATTCAGTTTTTGTGGAGCATCTACTCTATGCAAGGCAGCAGGACTTACAAAGTAAGGCAGAGAAGATTGAGTCTCTGTTCTCAAGGCATTTATAGTCCTGAGGGATATGAATAAATAGGTAACTAGAGTGCCAGGTACATGAGGGCATACAGGGGAGAATAATAGAATGTGTGGGATTGACTGTGTTCTGAGATTAGAGTGAGGCAGCCTCAAGGTGCCTATACTTTCAGATTTCTGCAGTCTTTAAGTCTTCTAGAACTACAGCGTTAACTACTGGAGGAAACATTATTGTATGTTTTTGTAGGTATAGCTGCTTTATATTAATGAGTCCATAGCTGAGCATCTGGAAGGAAAAAAAAATTGTTGATACATGTGCTTTCTGTATTCAGCTGATGATGAAGATGATGATGATGATGATGATGATTGAATTGCCCTCTACTAGCTACAAATTATATCTAGAATTTTAAATTTGAAATTAAAGGGAGACACCTTTTGATCAAACATTGTTCCCTATTAAGTTACAGTAAAAGTCTTTCTTGAACTTTAAATCTATTAAAAAGAGATTGCATGGCCTCCCATAATCATTGAATCCCATGGCTCTTTGAGGTAGGGATTTCCTATTCAGCCCAGTGTCCTCCTATTCAAGTATGAGGCTGCTTTCTCTCTGTCATCATTGAAGTCTTGGTCTTTTTGGACAACAGTAGAGGCCTGTAATATATTTTAAGCTGGATTTGTAAATTGAAGGGGCCCAGGCTGAGTCTGGCCCATGGTGCATGTGGCTTACCTCCATGCCTGAGCCACAAAAGGCCCACTATTTGCTGTTTTTAGGGAGTTAATAAGAGCTTTTGTGACATAGTTCATACACACTTTATTGGCTAAAATCTAGATGATCTGAAGGAAAAAGAATACGTTGCAAAAGTCAAAGTTATGGCTGTGAACTAGAAGAAAAGTTAAAAATATAAAAACTGTCACAAATGGTACAAACGAGAATTAGAAATTAGCAAGAGCACAGAAGCAGAGGTTTTTTAATTATAGCACTCCTTAAGACATTTTAAATTGTTATAATGATTTCAAATAGGTAAACTTTTGGTCTTAAAAGGAATCAAGGGGCCGGGCGTGGCGGCTCACGCTTGTAATCCCAGCACTTTGGGAGGCCGAGGCAGGTGGATCACGAGGTAAGGAGATTGAGACCATCCTGGCTAACAAGGTGAAACCCCGTATCTACTAAAAATACAAAAAATTAGCCAGGCGTGGTGGTGGGCACCTGTAGTCCCAGCTACTCGGGAGACTGAAGCAGGACAATGGCGTGAACCTGGGAGGCAGAGCTTGCAGTGAGCCAAGATTGTGCCACTGCACTCCAGCCTGGGTGACAGAGCAAGACTCCATCTCAGAAAAAAAAAAAAAGAATCAAGGGCTCTACTTTCTGTGTGTAGTTTATTAAATGTAAACACATACAAAATTTAAGGGGAAAAGGTAATCTTTTTATGTGAAACTGTTTTGATTTATGGCTTCCGAGACTTTGAAAGCCTCTTTGCACCTTGATTAAATACACCGAGTGGTTTTAAAACCTAATAAAATTGTTGGGGGGTGGCATAGGCAGATATTTTTAATATAGCAATTAGGAATATCATAAAGAAGATTAAAGCAGTTTGTAACATAAGCCTTGAATAGTATTACTAAATAAAGAAAATGAGGTTTTAGAAATTTGAACACGTTAACTATAAAAAAAGTAAACTTTTTTTCATGTAATACTGAAATCAACTATGGAATTGAAGAAACTATGATTTTTCTTTTTAAAATAAAATTATTTACAGAGGAAATTCATGAATACTTTGTTAAAAAACAAAAAGCATTTATGTCAGGCTAAAGTTCCATTTGACTACCACCCTTCTGTCTCCCCAGAGATCATCATTTTGCTATTTATTCTTCCAAATTGTCTTCTAAATATTTTTATGCATATATATGTATACATACCACAGATGGATATGTTTTTTGTTGATGTTTAAACACAGAATGTTGATTGCTGGTTCATTTTAAATATGGCCTTCCGTTGTTATGTTTTATTTTTAATACTTCTGCAGTATTACTAATAGCAGCTGACACTTACTGCGTAGTTACTATGAGCTAGGCGGGATGCTTAGCATTTTTCATATAATTTAGCCTCATCTTCATAATAACCTTCAGAAGTAAAATAGTTTATTTTATATGAATAAAATTCTACCTTTAGTATACCTTTCATTTACAGTAAATTACTAATGCCAGTAGTTTAGCATTCTTTAATAAGATTTCTACCAAAACATTTGGAATGATTTTTTAAAATTGCTAAGACTGTAACTGCCAGTTCTGTTACACTTTTTATTCTTGTGCAGTTGGCCTTTACCAAGTCCCCAGAGTCGGGTGTCTGCTTGCTAAACCAGAAAGCTGGAGATATGAGGATGATTCTTGCTCAACTTTTAGGAATGAAGTGGTAGTATGTGTCCTATTTGACTGATTTTAAATGAGGAACAGACAACCCCAGACATTTCCTCACTAGTTAATGGTTTGAAAAGCCTATGCCTGTGATGATGTCCATTTTGGGGACAGTTATAGGAGACAAGACTTAGATTGAAGGTGGTTCCCTTTTGAAAGAAGTCTTCCATTGTGCCCTTGGTCATACCAGTATGAAGACATAAAGACGCTGCAATAGGAACTCCAAGAATTTTTATGGGAATTGGTAGAAAGGGGTATTGGGTAGGTTGAGAGAAAAAAAGGTTGTGCTTATGTATATGCTGATTTTGGAGTTTGGATGAGGATATTTTCCACATTTCATGACAAAATAAAGAGCTGTTAGTGAATGGGATAGCTCTCAGAGAGTTTTAAGTCTGAGCTCTGCTGCTTAACTAGCTGTGTGACTTTGAACAGCTTCATGACACTGTTTTAATCAAATAATAATATTCACTTCATACAGCTGTAGGGTCGAAATTACATAAAGTACGTTAGACATTGCTAAGTGTTTTATAAATGTGCTAGTATTAGGTGGTGTTCTTACTGTTTTCATTAACATAACTGTTGTCAAAAGCTTCTACAGTTCACCTCTATACCAAAGACTTAACCTACTTGCTTCTATCCTTTATTACTTGAGAAAGGTTACTATATTAGGGTTCTGTTATTTTCAGAATAGTAAAAGAGGACCTATCACCTCTTTTAACATTTAACAAATATTGAAGGCCTAATATATGTGTGTGTGTGTATATGTGTGTGTGTGTGTGTGTGTGTGTGTGTGTGTGTGTGTATCAGCCAGCATTTCTTCTGGCTGAATGCTAGTAAAGAAAGGATCATTTATATTAATAGTAACTCTGGAGGAGAGAAGAAGGTCCCAGTAAATATCATTTGCCAAAGGTCTCAGTAAATATCATTTCATTGTCATCATTATTCTTCATAGGCTTTTTAAAATCTTTTTTGTCTTCAAGATTTAAAAAAGCATTAATTATTAATATCTGTCCATTTATGCAAGTATTTGTAAATAAATGAATTTGTAAATGGTTATGATGAGACACTGAAAAAAAAACAATAAAAACTTACCTTGCTTTGGTTTGGTTTTGGTTTTGGTTATGAAGTCACAAATAACATTCAATGGGAGTATGAGGTTTTTATGTTTAATAGGATGGAACATGGGTTAAAAATGTTAAGAAGTGCTCATTTCCAGAGTAAGCTCTCATTTTCAGCTGAGGAGACTGAGCTCCACTGAGCTTGCATTTGGTATACTTCGGGGTCCACATTCTAATGGGGAACTGATTATTGCTGGAAACCCAATCAAAAGTGTGGTTTATTCTGGGTTTGTTTAAAATTTTCCTTCCCACTGTTCTGTTTTCCTAATATAAGTATTATAGCAATTTAGAATTCATGGAAAGAATGAGCACCTTTAGCTTCTTACAGTGTCATGAGACTGCATATTTGTTATTCAGTGTTCAAGAAATTAACCATCAGTTGTTTAAGGCAACTAGGAAGTCTACAGTTTAATCTCATTTACTGTTATTTAGTGATATGCCATTTAGTATATGAAAACACTGTGGGTATAGGCTGTTGGTTGAAGCAGACTATGTGTGCTTTGGAGGGGGCACTTTGCCAAGGGAAAAAATCTTTTGATTTTTTTGTTCCCTCTTCTGGAGAGTTCTCAAAATCTATCCTTTTGACTTTTATTGGCAGTTGTCATTTTCATCGTCATCTCCATATTCTTTTATTTTTTTTGACTTACTCTGTGGCAAACCATCTCTAGCCTGAAGTTATACCAATGAAAAAAAAATCTTATTTCCAAGTGACCCATGAAATTCCATTCCATATTTTAAATGTGTCACATTGGAAATGCCACTTTTTTCTCCATTGTATTTTTGTTACCCTAACCCATGCCCTCACCATCTGAGGACTGTGTGTATTTTTACAGTTAATAGCTCTCATACTCACTGGTTTGTGGAAACTGAGCATTTCCCCTTTATCCAGAGGCAGTTGTGGTAAGTGTCTTGTTTTCTTCAGATCCCAACCACGGGTCTCTAAAGGTATCTAAGATCTGTATGGTCACATCTGCTTTTCCAAGTAACAGCTAGAAATATTTTACCATGCCTTCACTATAGCTAGGCTATAATAAAGTTTACAATCAGAGGCTGGGCACGGTGGCTCACGCCTGTAATCCCAGCACTTTGGGAGGGCTAGGTGGGCGGATAACCTGAGGTCGGGAGTTTGAGCTAGCCAGACCAACATGGAGAAACCCCATCTCTACTAAAAATACAAAATTAGCCAGGTGTGGTGGTGCATGTTTGTAATCCCAGCTTCTCAGGAGGCTGAGACAGGAGAATCGCTTGAACCCGGGAGGTGGAGGTTGTGGTGAGCCGAGATCACACCATTGCACTCCAGCCTGGGCAACAAGAGCGAAACTCCGTCTCAAAAAAAAAAAAAAAAAAAAAAAAAAGTTTACATTCAGTTAAATTCTCTAAGCTTCTGGCTTAGAATATTGAAGAAACTTTTACATAGAGTAGATAAAGGATGGAGTAGGAATTTCTGATTTGATTGTGTGTTATTGTGGAAAGAATGCTTTCCCTACAGACTGACTAGGAACAAGATGTTTAAACATAAGCCAGGGTGGAGACCTGTTTGGTCAGCTTTATAGGAGCCACGTTTCCCTACTTAGGATGAGTTTGCCAACTATCCCATCAACCTACCGCTGCCTGATCCTTCAAGTGTCTTTGGAATTTTTACTTAGGGCACTGTTGGGTAAGGCAGTGATATAGTACATATGTAGCAATTAGGCTAGAGGCTGTTTTGCGGAACAGCATGATTTTATCATGCCGTTATAAATTTATGCTGTGCTCTGTGTATATATATATAAAATGTCTTTTTTTCCCCTTTTTCTCCATCCCTCTCTGCTCCTGGCTTGTATATTCACATAACTGGGCAGCAGCAGGACTTCATTTATCACAGGCAGTGGGAGGGGGTACAGAGCTATGAAAGGGTTACTGTTCACATTTCCTGTGTAGTTCCTTCTGATCTTACTGAGTTGTAATTCCTTTCTTGATGTTAAACATTCCCAGGCTCCAGTAACCTTCTGGCCTGCTTGCACTGGCCAAGTGTGTCCCAGGTGATCTTGTAGGCGAACCTCCTGTTTTTAAGACAAGAAATCGCTCCTTCCTTCATGAGATAGGCTAAATATTCATTCCTTTGCAGTCCCAGAAGAAATCCTTTAATTTAAAACAACACCAGAGCAGTAACATATTAGTTTTAAAATTAAAATTTAGCAGCCATATTTGTTGTCAGGTTAATTTTGTAGATTTTTGAATCTATTCATTCGTAGTTTAGTGACTTTCTGGTTGAATGAAACCCTATTGCCATATTAAAGATTACATCTTTTCTTCTTAAAACACACTTTAAAAATGAGTTTTAATTCTAAAAGGATAAATTTTGGCCCTACCATCTTACTTTTAGCCTACTTATCAGTAGATCATTTTAAGTTGCCTCAGATGCAAAGCAGCTTAACTGTAACTACAATATTTCTGCTTTTCTTTACTAGTCAGCTGTTAGAAGTTTGTAGTTGAGCGTTGGGGAGATACTTATTTCCTTTTTCTCTGGTTTTAAAAGTATATACTGGCTCTTCTTTTCCCCACAATTTAAAGTATATAAATTTTTGTGGTTGGCAAAAAGGCTTTCTGTTTTTGCCTTTTCCTCTAAAGTTTTAGAAGAAAATATTACGCCATGGAGCATAAGAATGGGTCAGCAGCTAATTTACAGGGAAAAGGAGTACTTTTGCCAATGCTGCCTTAATCTCAGGTAAAGAGCTTTTGTTTGGACAAGGCTCCAAGGGTAAGTTTATTCTTACTGCTTATAGCACATCTCTTTGTCCTCAGTCATCAACTTGGGAACCTAGGGACTTGGGGACTGAAACGAAACAGTATCTCTTTGAAAGAGTTTCTAGGATAATTTTAAGTTTGCTAGTGTGTAGGCAAAGTAAACTGTCTGCATTGCTCTAAGCAATGAGATAAAATATTTTTAGTGTACCTTAACTGTCTGGAATACAGTTTTACAGGGGGGTGGGTAGATGAATTTTTGGATTAAATCTGTCTAAATCTGCTTTAAAGAGCCAACATGAATTGCTGATATTAATCATTTACCTTTAGTTCCCCAGTGCCTAATACAGAGCCTGTCACACAATAGGTTTCCTTTCTTTCTTTTTTTTTTTTTTTGAGATGGAGTCTTGCTCTGTTGCCCAGGCTGGAGTGCAGTGGCGCAATCTCAGCTCACTGCAAACTCCACTTCCCAGGTTCAAGCGATTCTGCTGCCTCAGCCTCCCGAGTAGCTGAGACTACAGGTGCGTGCCACCACACCTGGCTAATTTTTTGTATTTTTAGTGGAGACAGGGTTTCACCGTGTTAGCCAGGATGGTCTTGAGCCCCTGATCTCATGATCCACCCGCCTCGGCCTTCTAAAGTGCTGGGATTACAAGCATGAGCCACCACGCCCGGCCCCTTGATTCTTTTTAACAGCAAAAGTTTGCCTATTTAAAATCATTTTTTTCTTTTTTTTGAAACAGGAGCTCACTCTGTCACCCAGACTGTAGTACAGTGGCATGATCATAGCTCACTGTAGCCTCAAACTCCTGGGCTCAAGTGCTCCTCCCACCTCAGCCTCCTAAGTACCTGAGATTACAGGCAAATGCCACCAAGCCCTACTTATTTTTTCATTTTGTAGAGACAGGGTCTCGCTATATTGCTCAGGCTTGTCTAGAACTCCTGTTCTCAAGTGATCCTCCCACCTTGGCCTCCAAAGTGCTGGGTAATTTTAGGCAGTGGGTTTTCAATAATGGTTTGTTGAATGAATGAATGAGACTGCCAGATTACTTTTGTAGATTCTATTTTTTTTACAGTATTGCTAATAGTAAAGAGTGATGCATTTAGTACGTACATCTTTGTATTTTTAAAAATCATTTCAACTTTTATTTTAGATTCAGGGGTTACATGTGCCACAAGATTTGTTACATGAGTATATTGTGTGATGCTAAGGTTTGGGTTATGGATGATCCTGTCACCTAGGTACTGAGCATAGTACCCAATAGTTAACTTTTTCAACTCTTGCCTCCCTCCTCCCTCTCTCCTTCCTCTAGTAGTCCCCGGTGTCTATTGCTGCCATCTTTGTGTTCATGTGTACGTAATGTTTCACTCCCACTTATAAGTGAGGACATGCAGTACTTAATTTTCTGTTCCTAAGTTAATTCACTTAGGATAATGGCCTCCAGCTGCATCCATGTTGCTGCCAAGGACATGATTTTATTTTTTTATGGCTACATAGTATTCCATGATGTATATATACCACGTTTTCTTTGATGGACACCTTGGTTGATTCCATGTCTTTGCTATTGTACATAGTGCTGTCATGAACATAGGAGTTCATGTGTCTTGTTTGTAGAACGATTTATTTTCCTTTAGGAAATGGGATTGCTGGTTGGATGGTAGTTCTGTTTTTAAGTTCTTTGAGAACTCTCCAAACTGCTGTCCACAGTGGCTGAGCTAATTTACATTCCCACCAGCAGTGTATAAGAATTGCCTTTTCTCTGCAGCCTCACCAGCATATTATTTTTCGACTTTTTAATAATAGCTCTTCTCACTGGCATGAGATGGTATCTCATTTTGGTTTTGATTTGCATTTCTCCGATGATCAGTGATGTTAAACATTTTTTCATATGTTTGTTGGCTGTTTTTATGTATTCTTTTGAGAAGTGTTTGTTTATGTCCTTTGCCCACTTTTTAATGAGGTTATTTGCTTGTTGAATTGCTTAAGTTCCTTATGGATTCTGGATATTAGACCTTTGTTGGATGCATAGTTTTTGAATATTTTCTCCCATTCTGTAAGGTCTGTTTATGCTGTTGATAGTTCTTTTGCTGTGCAAAAGCTCTTTAGTTTAATTAGGCCTCACTTGTCAATTTTTTTGTTGCAATTGAGGTCTTAGCTACAAATTCCTTGCCAAGGCCAGTGTCCAGAATGGTATTTCCTAGGTTTTTTTCTCGGATTTTTATAGTTTGAGGTCATTGTTCCATATGCATATGACTGTGTGCATGTCTACATCCTTCCTGTTAATCTGTAATGGTAGGTCCTGTTCAGAGTCCTTTTGTCATTGAACAGTTAATTTCCTCACAACATTCTGTGCCCAAGTCCTTAGGTGATCTATACTTGGCTGACCTATCCGTGACACTGCTTGGTCATAGAAAAAAAGATTTCATTTAGTTATCGATTAAAGATAATCTGTTAACATTTCCTGAACACTTATATTTTCCCCCAGGAAAATACTAATGTCCGTCAGTCAACAAATACTTGCAGAATGCTAGTGTAAACAGCATTGTGCCTGGTATTGTGGACTCTCCAGAGATGTGCATCACCTTGTTCCTGCCATCTGAAGTGTCCTAGACTTCTCAACGAAGAGGATATGGACACTAATCAAGTTAAACAGCAACCTAAAGTATGTTAAATATAGTTATGAGCTAAGTGAGAGGCATGGACAAGAATCAGGTAGCTTTGAGGAAGGAGAAATCATTTTTACTTGAATTAGAGAGTGATCAAAGATTTAATGGAAGCTTGAATAGGGCATTAAACAAATAGTTGGGGTTTGAGTATAAAAGAGTAAGGCTATCTGACATTTATAAGTAAGGGTGACAGTTATCACACTTCCTGTGCCGAGCAGCAATGAAGAAACAACTAAAAAAGAGAATGCTTGAAGTGTGTGGTGGAAACTTTTCTTCATCAGTGACTTATTTGTTCCTTATTTTCTCCTAAAGTAGAATTTCAGAAAAGCTTCCACCTAGGACATGCAGCAGCTATTTCAGCTACTATAAGGATCACTTTAGTAGGAAATCCTCCCAGACTTTTCACCCAAGTAAAATTTCAGCAGGAAGACAGGAATAAGATACACTGAAAAGTTATTGTTCATGACTACAGTTTGATAATAAAAGCTTGATTCAATCTCATTGGCAAAAAAAATTTTTTTTTTTTTGAGATGGAGTCTCACTATGTCACCCAGGCTGGAGTGCAGTGCTGCAATCTGCAACCTCTGCTGCCCAGATTCAAGGGATTCTTCTGCCTCAGCCTCCCGATTAGCTGGGATTACAGGCGCCTGCCACCGTACCCGGCTAATTTTTGTAGTTTTTAGTAGAGACGGAGTTTCACCATCTTGGCCGGGCTGGTCTTAAACTCCTGAACTCCTGACCTTGTGATCCACTCGCCTTGGCCTCCCAAAGTGCTGGGATTACAGGCGTGAGCCACAGGGCCTGGCCTCATTGGCATATATACTAGTGCTCACTGCTGAGTTATATCTTGATTTGAATCCTAACATATAAGGAGATATTTCCAAGTTCACTATTTTTTTACACGTAGATAGGTGGCTATCGATATTTGTCACTATAGATAAATATCATAATTTGATAGGAGTTTCTATTAACCTCTTAAAGTTTCTTTTTTTTTTTTTTTTTTTTTGAGATGGAGTTTCACTCTTGTCGCCCAGGCTGGAGTGCAGTATCACGATCTCGGCTCACTTCAACTTCCACCTCCTGGGTTCAAGCAATTCTCCTGCCTCAGCCTCCTGAGTAGCTGGGATTACAGATGCCCGCCACCATGCCCAGCTAATTTTTGTATTTTTGGTAGAGACAGGGTTTCACTCTGTTGGCCAGGCTGGTCTCAAACTCCTGACTTCAGGTGATCTGCCCACCTTGGCCTCCCAAAGTGCTTACAGGTGTGAGCCACTGTGCCCGGCCAACCTCTTAAAGTTTCTTTCACAATAAAGCATGTACTAATATTACAAACTATTTTAGTCCTATTTTTTGTTTTGTAAAGGAGATTTTAAAATGAATATAATTTATATTGAGACCCTTTGATTATATTTACTTATTAAAAGCAAACCCATTAGTGCATTTTAGAGTCAAACATCTACTTGTATTATTTTATTATATAGCTAAAGGAAAAATAATGCCACACAGAAACGAAACCAGTTTTTCCAAAACAGTAAAGATGGAATCTTGAGACAGTCTGCTCACTTTAATTTTTATTTTATATTTTAGTCTTCTGGCCAGTAGCAAATTGATGTGACCTTGTGCATGTTTCTCTGAATATCCACAGTTGTTCAGCTGTATGAATTGCTGCCAGTGTGACAATGAGCCGGAAGCTATATCCAACTTGCTTCTCACACTGTATTTTTGTAAAGACCTAGATTCTTTCAAGATATTACTAAGTGATCCGTGATTAAAGGTTTTGGTGGTTTGCTAATTTTAGGAAAAGTGGGAGCAATCACAATGTATATTACGTAGTGTATATTGGTATTTTATTTAACCCAGTGTTTCCCAAATGTATTTGAACTTGGGAACACCCACCCCCTGTCTTTCTTCCTTCCAAATTCCTTCCTTTCTTACTTTATTTTTAAAGAACACTTACTAAAATCTCTTATAGAACAAGTTTCAGGAATGTGCACTATGAAACTTTCATACACACATGCACGTTATTTAGATGTGTTGCTTATGTCTTTTTCTATTAATCTCCAACTTTTCTGGGGCATAGGTTGGGAGGAAGAAGGAAAGTGAGTAACTTACAAGTTTTACTAGTTATTCTGATGTCAAGTTTAGTGGGAAAGAGGCTGAAGCTTATATCTAAAATAAGGTTTGAGATTGATCTGAGTATTTTAAGAGTTCTTACTATCTGTATCTTCTATAGTTTGTTGCTCTGTACAAGCAGGAGTTGACAGAGCATAACAGAAGTTACCTTTATGGGAAAGAGTAAGGTGGGTTGGAGGTGAAATAAGACTTTTCGCTTTTGTAACCTTAAGAAGAAAAAGCAAATTAAAAGACCTAAACTGATGGAGAGAACCAGTACTTTACAACAGAATTTCTTATTTCAAGCTTTTGTAAGTACTAGCCTCTCTGGTAGTTTTAAACGCATTTTGTTTAGAAAGTACCAAAATTTGTAAAACTTTTTTTTTTTTTTTTTCTTTTGGGATGGAGTCTCACTCTGTCACCCAGGCTGGAGAGCAGTGGTGCAATCTCGGCCCACTGCAACCTCCACCTCCCGGGTTCAAGCGATTCTGCTGCCTCAGCCTCCTGAGTAGCTAGGATCACAGGCGCACGCCACCACACCCGGCCAATCTCTTGTATTTTTAATAGAGACGGGGTTTCACCATGTTGGCCAGGCTGGTCTCGAACTCCTGATCTCAAGTGATTCACTCACCTTGGCTTCCCAAAGTGCTTGGATTACAGGCGTGAGCCACTGTGCCCAGCCCTATTCTTGTCTTCTAATACAGGCAGGTTAGAAGGGATTCTATCAAATTTAAAATTTAGCACTTTTTGTTTAAAAAAAATAAAATGCGATTATACAATCAAAGAACATTAAAGCTGGTAGAAGTTTCACAAATCATTTGTTTCAGGCCAGGCACAGTTGTGCACACCTGTAGTCCCAGCTACTCAGGAGGCTGGGGCGGAAGGATCGCCTGAGCCCAGGAGTTCATGGCTATAGTGCGCTATGATCATGCCTGTGAATAGCCGCTGTTCTCCAGCCTGGGCAACATAGCGAGACCTCATTTCTAATAATTTTTTAAAAAGGTATAATAAATTAAAAAATTTTTTTTTTTAATTTTTTTTTTTTATTTATTATACTCTAAGTTTTAGGGTACATGTGCGCATTGTGCAGGTTAGTTACATATGTATACATATGTAAAAAAAACTTTTTTTTTTTTTAAGAAACAGGCTTATATAAAGTAAGATAAATCTGGTAAGATAAGATTAATATCTTTTGTTCTTTATCTTGTACATACCTGTTATTAATATACTATGCCATCATTGTCTATTTAAGTGCTAAGTGAGTAAGTATATATTATTTTTCTCTGTATCTTTGGCACCTAACCTTGCACTGTGCCTGGTACATAGTAGGCATTCAGTAAATGTTTGTTGATGTGAGTGTCGGGGGTGGGAAAACTTAATTTTACAGTCAATCCTAGGGGAATACGTTAATGGTTGAAATCTTAAAAGGATTATGTTATTTTGAAAACGTCTTTAAAATATAGCCTATTTTATTTTTATATTTATATCTATCTTGTCTAAGAAAGGATTTAAGGTGGTATTACTAAGTACACTTAGTACAGTGGGATCAAATAAAATTTAAAATAAATGAGTAAAAGAACAAAATTGGAGGATTTATACATCCCCATTTCAAAACTCAATCTAAGGTGACAGTATTCAGGACAACGTGGCCGTGGCATAGGATAAGCATATAAATCAATGGAGAGGAATTGAGAGTCCAGAAATAAACATTTACATTTTTGGTCCATTGATTTTTGGAAGAGCTGCTAAGACAAATAGAGAAAGGGTTATTTTTTCAACAAATGGTGCTGGAAAAATTGGATATCATATACAAAAATTAACTTCCTCACAATAACAATACACAAAAATTAGCTGACAATGAATTAGGGGCCTAAATGTAAGAGCTAAAATTATAAAACTTCTAAAAGAAAGCATAGAAGAAACTTTATGACCTTGGATTAGGCAGAGTTGTTAGGTATGACACCAGAAGCATGAGCCATAAGATAAAAAATTGATGAATTTGACTTAATTAAAATTAACATTTTTATGCTACAAAAGACATTGGGAAGAAACTGAAAAGATAGGCTGCAGACTGGGAGAAAATATTTGCAAATCATGTGTGATAAAGGACTTGTATCCAAAACATGTAAAGAATTATAAGTAAATAATAAGGCAAACAACCCAACTTAACAGTGAGCAAAAGAACAGAATAGACACTTCATCTGAAAAGACATGAGAGTGATTAATAGCCACATGTAAGCACAGTGAGCATCATTAGTCATTAGGAAGATACACATTAAAAACACAATGAGATACCACAATGAGATTACATCCCCTAGGATGGCTGTAATAAAAAAGACAGTATATAGTGTCTAGGATGTGGAGAAACAGGAACTCTCATATTATACATTGTTGGTAGGAATGTAAATTGTTATAACCACTTTGGAAAATAGTTTGGCTATTTCTTTTAAAGTTAAACCAACTTACCATATGTAGTAAGGTTCTCCAGAGAGACAGAATGAATCAGGTATGTGTGTGTGTGTGAAGAAATTTATTTATTGAGACGGAGTCTGGCTCTGTCACCCAGGCTGGAGTGCAGTGGTGCGATCTCGGCTCATTACAAGCTCCGCCTCCCGGGTTCACGCCATTCTCCTGCCTCAGCCTCCTGAGTAGCTGGGACTACAGGCACCTGCCAACACGCCCGGCTAATTTTTTTTTTTTTTTTGTATTTTTAGTAGAGACGGGGTTTCACCGTGTTAGCCAGGATGGTCTCAATCTCCTGACCTCGTGATCCGCCCACCTCGGCCTTCCAAAGTGCTGGGATTACAGGTGTGAGCCACCGCGCCCGGCCAAAATTTATTTTAAGGAATTAATTGGCTCAGAAAGAGTTGCAGTTTGAGTCTAAAGGCAGTCAGCTGGAAAACCAGAAGAGCCAATGTTGCAGATGAAGTCTGAAGGGAGTCTGCTGGGGACTTCCCTTTTGCCCAGGGAGGTCATCCTTTTGTTCTATTCAGGCCATCAACTCATTAGATGAAGCTCCCCCATATAATGGAGAACCATCTGCTCTACTCAAAGTCTAACAGTCTAAATGCAGATCTTGTCCAAAATTACTCTTGCAGAAATGTCGAGAATAATGTTTGACCAAATATCTGAGTGCTGTGGTCCAGCCAAACTGATACATAATTTTTAATCATTGTGCCATATAAACTCAGCAATTCCACTTCTTGGAATCTGCCCAAGAGAAATGAAAACATATGTTCACACAAAGACTTGTATGTAATTGCTCTTGGCAACATTATTTGTAATAGATATTAATAAAAACAAGAAAAAATGCAATGTCCATAACCTGGTAAATGGATAAACAAAATGAGGCATATCTATACATTGGAATACTATTCAGCAATGAAAAAGGAAGAAAATATTGATATATGCTGCAGCATGGATGAAACTAAAAAATATAGTGTTGAGTGAAAGGAACTAGACTCAATAGACTACATATTATATGATTTCACTTATGAAATTTCTAGAAAAGGGAAACTGATTGAGTTAGCAAGGAGATTAGAGGGGAACTAGGGGTTGGAGCAGGAATTGACTGCATATGAACTCAAGGGAATTGGGAGAGATAATGGAAAACTGGATTGTAGTGATGATTGCATCCATTTAGTACATTCTGGTCCTCTATAAATGGACTAAAACGTCATTGAACTGTCCCCTGTTCAATGGACAATGATTAATTTTATGGCATATAAATTGCACTTCAATCCATATCAAAATTATAAAAGTAGTACAAATGGAGTAAGGATGGGACACACATTATATCTTATAAAAGCTCCTATATTTTGCTTGAGGTGGATCATGGATTTTGCTCTAAGCTCTCTAAGAAGACATCTCTCAATATGAAATTTCTTTTCTGTTGTTCACAAGATCAAAATTTATCAATATTTTAGGAGAAGCCTAATAATTATATTCAAAGGAAAATGTATTCTTTTTGTTATAGTGCAGTGTAATCAAGTCTGTCCTTAAATAACATCCTCATAGTAAATAACTGAAGACTCTCTTCTGAAGACCTGTTTCTTGAGCCCCCTTTCTATACAGTCTGGTAGCCTAACATCAAAGGCACATTGATAAATACAGCCCTGTTGAGTGAATAGGGAGGAGATCAGCAAAAGTACAAGGCCAGGAATGCTATTCTTTGGTCGTATGACTCAGTCCCAAAAATGGAACTACAAAAGACCTCGAGTAGCCAAAGCAACATTGGGAAAAAGAACAAAGCTGGAGGCATCACACTACCTGACTTCAAATTATACTACAAAGCATTTCCAAACCTCAAGAAAAATATAAATATCCAGGCACAGGAAGGTCAAAGGTCATACAGCCTACCAAGACCAAATCATAATGGAATAGAACACCTGAGTACAGCAATAATGAGTCACAAAATTGAATCAGTAATAAGAATTAGTCCATCAAAGAACAGCCCAAACCCTGATGCTTTTCCTGTTGAACATTTAAAATAGTAATAATGTCAATTCTCCTCAAAATATCCCAAAGAATATTAACCAATAGTAACCAAAACAGCATGGTACACACATAAAAACAGACACATAGGACAGTGGTACAGAATAGAGAACCCAGAAATCCATGTATTTACAGCCAGCTGATTGATGAACATGCTAAGAGCACACATTGGGGAAAGGACATCCTCTGAAATAAATGGGGCTAGGAAAACTGGACATCCATGTGCAGAAACTAGATACCTGTTTCTTACCAACATCAACTCAAAATGGATTAAAGACAGACTATGAAACTATTAGAATACACAGGAGAAACACTTCATGACATTGGTCTAGATAAGGTTTGTATGGGTAAGACTTCAAAAGCACAGACAAGGAAAGAAAAAATAAACAAATGGGATTACATCAAACTTAAAGCTCTATACAGCAAAGGAAACAACAGAGTGAAGAGACAATCTGTAGAATGGGAGAAAATATTAGCTAACTACACATCTGACAAGGGGTTAACATCCAGAATGTGTAAGGAATCTGAACAACTCAATAGCAAAAAGCAAGCAAACAATCTGAATGCTAAAGTGGGAAAAGATCTGAATAGATATTTCTCAAAAGAAGACATGCAAATGGCAACAGACATATGAAAAAATGTTCAACATCACTACATCAGGGAAACGCAAATCAAAACAGTAATGAGATTATCATCTTACCCCAGTTAGAATGGCTATTACCAAAAAGACAATAACAAGTCCTGGCAAGGATGTGGAGAAAAGGGAACTGTTAATTTACACTGTTGGTGGGAATGTAAATTAGTACAGCCATAATAAAAAACAGCATGGAAGTTCTTTAAAATATTAATAACAGAACTACCATATGATCTAACAGTTTCACTGTACGGCTTATATATCCAAAATAAGTGAAATCAGTATGTTGTTGAAGAGATACCTGCCCTCCTATGTTTATTGCAGCACTAGTTACAATAGCCAAGATATGGAATCAACCTAAGTGTTTATTAGTGTATGAATGGATAAATAAAATATGTCATATATACACAATGGAATACTATTCAGCCATAGAAAAGAATGAAATTCTATCATTTGCAGTGAACATGGATGAACCCAGAGGTCATTATATTAAGTGAAATAAGCCAGGCATCTCATTTATATGTGGAATCTAAAAACGTTTATCTCATAGAAGTAGAAAGTAGAATAGTGGTTACCACTGGGTGGGGAAGAGATAGGAGAGATGAAGAGAGGTTGGTCAACAAGTGCAAACCTACAGTCACATAGGAGGAATAAGTTCTGGTGTTCTATGGTACAGTAGGGTGACTTTAGTTAATAATAACATATTTCAAAATACAAGAGAAGCTTTGAATGTTCTCATTAAAAAATGACAAGTATCAGAATACCACACTGTATTCCATAAATATATACAATTATTATGTGTCAAAAATAAAATAAAACTTTAAAAAGATGTCAGTTTGGTCACACACATATTTACGTAAACATAGTTTATCATTTCACTAACAGTCTCTCTTTTATATTTCATCACTTATCTCACATTGGTATTTTTTATGTTGTGTTTGAAAATCACTGCTGTAGAGTACCATAAAGGGTCTTAATTTTCTATTTGTAATCCCACTCTTGCTTCAATCATGAGAAAGTGACTGAATAACTGTGTTAAATGAACTGAAGGAGAGCCTGAGCATGAATCCTTTGGCTTGATTATCTATGTACAATAGTTTATTTAGTAAGACGAAAATGGTTATAATTGCAGTGATTTAGTTGGAGTATATTGTGTTTGAAAAATTGTTTGTTTTAGAATATCTTAGAGAAAATTGGCCTCTCAGAAATAATTTTACCTTATAATGAACTTTGCAAATTGCTTCTGCAAAATCACTAGGTTCAGGTTTCTGCTTTCAGTTAGGTTGTAGAAGGTGGTAATGGGACATTGTGGCTTCTGGAACAACTAAAAAAAATAATAATAAGTTACAAAAATCAACGTTGTAATAATATGTTACTACCTAATAAAATGCCCCAATATTCAGTGGTGTGAAACAGCAAGTCTCATTTAGCTCATCGTTCTATGGGTTGAAAATTCAGGCAGGTCCCAGCTTGGTGATTTTTGGTTGCATGTTTCGTTGACTGAGATCACTGGGTGGTATTCTGCTGGTGGATGGAATTCTCTGGAGGATTCAAGATACATATATACAGGGTGCCTGGGCAGAGGTGGAAGGCTAAGTCTACATGACCTTTCTAGCATGGTAGTCTTAGCATAGTCAGACTTATTATTGTGGCTTCCGGCTTCTAGAGAGAATTTTCGTGGAGATAGAAAGTGGACGCTGCCAGCGTCTTAAAGCCTAAAACTGAAAAATGGTACCATATCACTTCCACTATATTCTGTTGGTCAAAGGAGTCACAGAGTTCTTCCAGTTTTAGTGAGAGAAGACATAGGCATGACCTTCCAGTGGAAGAAGTATCAAAACATTTGTGGCCATCTTTAATCCACCACAGTCCACTATCTGGTCACAAATGATTCAGTCTCTTCCTATGTTCCTTATTTACTCACCCACCTCCAAGAATCCCAAAATTATTTTCCAACTCTTCTTTACCCTGAGTCTTAAAGTTCAAGAACTTGTTATTTACAACAAGTACACTGTTCAGGAATCTTCTCAGGTGTAGCTGAAGAGACAACTACCCAACAATATAATGAAGAGGCAGTCATAGAATAGCTGCAGTAAACATTCCCATTCACAAATAGGGAAACAGGAAACATACAGCTTTACTGGTCCATAGAAATTTTGATATACTGATGTTAGTTCTTTTATTAGGCTATTCTTGCCTCCTGATAATGATTCTCCCTGGCTCGAGGTTTTGCTCTCTCAATTTAGAGTCATCCTTTTTCTGTAAGAAATGGTCATTTTTTGCAACTGAGTAGCCTTTTCAGCCTTTCTGCCTGTAGAAATTTGAGAGTCCAAAAGCCTGTTTTCATTTTGCACTATCTCTGTCCCTTTCAGTGCAAGCTGATATAATGTTTTTTAAAACTTTGTGGGCTTCCTGTGTATCAAATTGTAGCCCGCTCCATTAATCAGAGGCCCACCCACATTTATTTTAGAGAGGCATTTTTTTTCTTTCATACTGAGTCAAGGTATTTTGAAACAACACCCATAATATTCCTATGAGCTTTTCTGTCTATTTAAGAGTCCAAAGTGCACATCATCAAGATTCTTAGAGGCCTTTTGCCTTAGAACAGAATCTAAGTGTCATACTCTTAAGATTCTTAGAACTGAACTAGATACGATTTTAGTCTTTCAGTCTCAACAAGGTGTTTTACAGCCATGCTGTAGAGATTTTTATCCTGAAACCACGCTTTACTGGTAGTAGGCCCCAAGCCTTAATAGTAATTCTGTAACTCTGAAGCTTTTTCTTACATTTCTCTCTAGAGATAATGGGGATGAGAAACTGTTTAGTTTTGAAAAGATCAAGTCCTGGTTCTTTAAAAATTTTCCTCTAACTTCTACTTGAAAATGAAACAGTTCTTTCATCAGTTTGTGTATCCATAACTTATAGATAGCTAAAGGAGACCACCACTTTCAACCTTTCGCCTAGAAATCTTCTTAGCCAAATTTACCACTTTATGGGGGTATATTTTGTCTTTTTTTTTAAACAGTCTCGCACTGTCGCCTGGGCTGGAGTGCAGTGGTGCGATCTTGGCTCAATGCAACCTCCACATCCCGGGTTCAAGTGATTCTCCTGCCTCAGCCTTCTGAGTAGCTGGGATTACAGGTGCCCGCCACCACATCCAGCTAATTTTTTGTATTTTCAGTAGAGAAGGGATTACACCATGTTGGCCAGGCTGGTCTTGAACTCCTGACCTCATGATCCATCCGCATTGGCCTCCCAAAGTGTTGGGAGTACAGGTGTGAGCCACTGTGCCCGGCCTATTTTGTCTTTTCTATTTCATGTGAGGAACAGTGTTACAAACTTCCCACTGCATAAGAAGAGTTATTCATCTATCCACCATAAGGTTTTCATTAATGTTGTTCAAACCTTCACTAACAGTCTTCTTAAGTCACTTCCAGCTTCTGCTCACCTCTGGTCCCAAAGCCAATGCCACATGTTTGTTTTTTTTTTGTGTGTGTGTGTGTGTATGTTTTTTTTTTTATTATTATATTTTAAGTTTTAGGGTACATGTGCACGTTGTGCAGGTTAGTTACATATGTATAATTGATTCTTACATCATTATGAAATATTTCTCAATACTGCTAGTATTATCTCATGTTTTGAAGTTTATTTTATTGGCTAGTAATATAGCTCCCTCCAGTTTTCTTAATGATTAGTATCTGCATGGTATCTCTTTGGATTCTTTTACTTTTTTTTTTAATTTTTTAAATTTTTTTTATTATACTTTAAGTTTTAGGGTACATGTGCACATTGTGCAGGTTAGTTACATATGTATACATGTGCCACGCTGGTGCGCTGCACCCACTAACTCGTCATCTAGCATTAGGTATATCTCCCAATGTTATCCCTCCCCTCTACCCCCACCACACAACAGTCCCCAGAGTGTGATATTCCCCTTCCTGTGTCCATGTGATCTCATTGTTCAATTCCCACCTATGAGTGAGAATATGCGGTGTTTGGTTTTTTGTTCTTGCGACAGTTTACTGAGAATGATGATTTCCAATTTCATCCATGTCCCTACAAAGGACGTGAACTCATCATTTTTTATGGCTGCATAGTATTCCATGGTGTATATGTGCCACATTTTCTTAATCCAGTCTATCATTGTTGGACATTTGGGTTGGTTCCAAGTCTTTGCTATTGTGAATAATGCCACAATAAACATACGTGTGCATGTGTCTTTATAGCAGCATGATTTATAGTCCTTTGGGTATATACCCAGTAATGGGATGGCTGGGTCAAATGGTATTTCTAGTTCTAGATCCCTGAGGAATCGCCACACTGACTTCCACAATGGTTGAACTAGTTTACAGTCCCACCAACAGTGTAAAAGTGTTCCTATTTCTCCACATCTTCTCCAGCACCTGTTGTTTCCTGACTTTTTAATGATTGCCATTCTAACTGGTGTGAGATGGTATCTCATTGTGGTTTTGATTTGCATTTCTCTGATGGCCAGTGATGATGAGCATTTTTTCATGTGTTTTTTGGCTGCATAAATGTCTTCTTTTGAGAAGTGTCTGTTCATGTCCTTCGCCCACTTTTTGATGGGGTTGTTTGTTTTTTTCTTGTAAATTTGTTTGAGTTTATTGTAGATTCTGGATATTAGCCCTTTGTCAGATGAGTAGGTTGCGAAAATTTTCTCCCATTTTGTAGGTTGCCTGTTCACTCTGATGGTAGTTTCTCTTGCTGTTCAGAAGCTCTTTAATTTAATTAGATCCCATTTGTCAGTTTTGGCTTTTGTTGCCATTGCTTTTGGTGTTTTAGACATGAAGTCCTTGCCCATGCCTATGTCCTGAATGGTAATGCCTAGGTTTTCTTCTAGGGTTTTTATGGTTTTAGGTCTAACGTTTAAGTCTTTAATCCATCTTGAATTGATTTTTGTATAAGGTGTAAGGAAGGGATCCAGTTTCAGCTTTCTACATATGTCTAGCCAGTTTTCCCAGCACCATTTATTAAATAGGGAATCCTTTCCCCATTGCTTGTTTTTGTCAGGTTTGTCAAAGATCAGATAGTTGTAGATAGGCAGCGTTATTTCTGAGGGCTCTGTTCAGTTCCATTGATCTATATCTCTGTTTTGGTACCAGTACCATGCTGTTTTGGTTACTGTAGCCTTGTAGTATAGTTTGAAGTCAGGTAGTGTGATGCCTCCAGCTTTGTTCTTTTGGCTTAGGATTGACTTGGCAATGCGGGCTCTTTTTTGGTTCCATATGAACTTTAAAGTAGTTTTTTTCCAATTCTGTGAAGAAAGGCATTGGTAGCTTGATGGGGATGGCATTGAATCTGTAAATTACCTTGGGCAGTATGGCCATTTTCATGGTATTGATTCTTCCTACACATGAGCATGGAATGTTCTTCCATTTGTTTGTATCCTCTTTTATTTCATTGAGCAGTGGTTTATAGTTATCCTTGAAGAGGTCCTTCACATCCCTTGTAAGTTGGATTCCTAGGTATTTTATTCTCTTTGAAGCAATTGTGAATGGGCGTTCACTCATGATTTGGCTCTCTGTTTGTCTGTTGCTGGTATATAAGAATGCTTGTGATTTTTGTACATTGATTTTGTATCCTGAGACTTTGCTGAAGTTGCTTATCAGCTTAAGGAGATTTTGGGCTGAGACAATGGGGTTTTCTGGATATACAATCATGTCGTCTGCAAACAGGTACAATTTGACTTCCTCTTTTCCTAATTGAATACCCTTTATTTCCTTCTCCTGCCTAATTGCCCTGGCCAGAACTTCCAACACTATGTTGAATAGGAGTGGTGAGAGAGGGCATCCCTGTCTTGTGCCAGTTTTCAAAGGGAATGCTTCCAGTTTTTGCCCATTCAGTATGATATTGGCTGTGGGTTTGTCATAGATAGCTCTTATTATTTTGAAATACGTTCCATCAATACCTAATTTATTGAGAGTTTTTAGTATGAAAGTTTGTTGAATTTTGTCAAAGGCTTTTTCTGCATCTATTGAGATAATCATGTGGTTTTTGTCTTTGGCTCTGTTTATATGCTGGATTACATTTATTGATTTGCGTATATTGAACCAGCCTTGCATCCCAGGGATGAAGCCCACTTGATCCTGGTGGATAAGCTTTTTGATGTGCTGCTGGATTCGTTTTGCCAGTATTTTATTGAGGATTTTTGCATCAATGTTCATCAAGGATATTGGTCTAAAATTCTCTTTTTTTGTTGTGTCTCTGCCCGGCTTTGGTATCAGAATGATGCTGACCTCATAAAATGAGTTAGGGAGGATTCCCTCTTTTTCTATTGATTGGAATAATTTCAGAAGGAATGGTACCAGTTCCTCCTTGTACCTCTGGTAGAATTCAGCTGTGAATCCATCTGGTCCTGGACTCTTTTTGGTTGGTAAGCTATTGATTATTGCCACAGTATCAGATCCTGTTATTGGTCTATTCAGAGATTCAACTTCTTCCTGGTTTAGTCTTGGGAGAGTGTATGTGTCAAGGAATTTATCCATTTCTTCTAGATTTTCTAGTTTATTTGCATAGAGGTGTTTGTAGTATTCTCTGATGGTAGTTTGTATTTCTGTGGGATCGGTGGTGATATCCCCTTTATCATTTTTTATTGCATCTATTGATTCTTCTCTCTTTTTTTCTTTATTAGTCTTGCTAGCAGTCTATCAATTTTGTTGATCCTTTCAAAAAACCAGCTCCTGGATTCATTAATTTTTTGAAGGGTTTTTTGTGTCTCTATTTCCTTCAGTTCTGCTCTGATTTTAGTTATTTCTTGCCTTCTGCTAGCTTTTGAATGTGTTTGCTCTTGCTTTTCTAGTTCTTTTAATTGTGATGTTAGGGTGTCAATTTTGGATGTTTCCTGCTTTCTCTTGTGGGCATTTAGTGCTATAAATTTCCCTTTACACGCTGCTTTGAATGCGTCCCAGAGATTCTGGTATGTTGTGTCTTTGTTCTCGTTGGTTTCAAAGAACATCTTTATTTCTGCCTTCATTTCGTTATGTACCCAGTAGTCATTCAGGAGCAGGTTGTTCAGTTTCCATGTAGTTGAGCGGTTTTGAGTGAGATTCTTAATCCTGAGTTCTAGTTTGATTGCACTGTGGTCTGAGAGATAGTTTGTTATAATTTCTGTTCTTTTACATTTGTTGAGGAGAGCTTTACTACCAAGTATGTGGTCAATTTTGGAATAGGTGTGGTGTGGTGCTGAAAAAAAATGTATATTCTGTTGATTTGGGGTAGAGAGTTCTGTAGATGTCTATTAGGTCCGCTTGGTGCAGAGCTGAGTTCAATTCCTGGATATCCTTGTTGACTTTCTGTCTCGTTGATCTGTCTAATGTTGACAGTGGGGTGTTAAAGTCTCCCATTATTAATGTGTGGGAGTCTAAGTCTCTTTGTAGGTCACTCAGGACTTGCTTTATGAATCTGGGTGCTCCTGTATTGGGTGCATATATATTTAGGATAGTTAGCTCTTCTTGTTGAATTGATCCCTTTACCATTATGTAATGGCCTTGTCTCTTTTGATCTTTGTTGGTTTAAAGTCTGTTTTATCAGAGACTAGTATTACAACCCCTGCCTTTTTTTGTTTTCCATTTGCTTGGTAGATCTTCCTCCATCCTTTTATTTTGAGCCTATATGTGTCTCTGCACATGAGATGGGTTTCCTGAATACAGCACACTGATGGGTCTTGACCCTTTGTCCAATTTGCCAGTCTGTGTCTTTTAATTGGAGCATTTAGTCCATTTACATTTAAAGTTAATATTGTTACATGTGAATTTGATCCTGTCATGATGATGTTAGCTGGTTATTTTGCTCGTTAGTTGATGCAGTTTCTTCGTAGTCTTGATGGTCTTTACATTTTGGCATGATTTTGCAGTGGCTGGTACCGGTTTTTCCTTTCCATGTTTAGCGCTTCCTTCAGGAGCTCTTTTAGGGCAGGCCTGGTGGTGACAAAATCTCTCAGCATTTGTTTGTCTGTAAAGGATTTTATTTCTCCTTCGCTTATGAAGCTTAGTTTGGCTGGATATGAAATTCTGGGTTGAAAATTGTTGTCTTTAAGAATGTTGAATATTGGCCCCCACTCTCTTCTGGCTTGTAGGGTTTCTGCCGAGAGATCCGCTGTTAGTCTGATGGGCTTCCCTTTGAGGGTAACCCGACCTTTCTCTCTGGCTGCCGTTAACATTTTTTCCTTCATTTCAACTCTGGTGAATCTGACAATTATGTGTCTTGGAGTTGCTCTTCTTGAGGAGTATCTTTGTGGCGTTCTCTGTATTTCCTGAATCTGAACGTTGGCCTGCCTTGCTAGATTGGGGAAGTTCTCCTGGATAATATCCTGCAGAGTGTTTTCCAACTTGGTTCCATTCTCCCCATCACTTTCAGGTACACCAATCAGATGTAGATTTGGTCTTTTCACATAGTCCCATATTTCTTGGAGGCTTTGCTCATTTCTTTTTATTCTTTTTTGTCTAAACTTCCCTTCTCGCTTCATTTCATTCATTTCATCTTCCATCGCTGATACCCTTTCTTCCAGTTGATCGCATCGGCTCCTGAGGCTTCTGCATTCTTCACGTAGTTCTCGAGCCTTGGTTTTCAGCTCCATCAGCTCCTTTAAGCACTTCTCTGTATTGGTTATTCTAGTTATACGTTCGTCTAAATTTTTTTCAAAGTTTTCAACTTCTTTGCCTTTGGTTTGAATGTCCTCCCGTAGCTCAGAGTAATTTGATCGTCTGAAGCCTTCTTCTCTCAGCTCGTCGAAGTCATTCTCCATCCAGCTTTGTTCCGTTGCTGGTGAGGAACTGCGTTCCTTTGGAGGAGGAGAGGTGCTCTGCTTTTTAGAGTTTCCAGTTTTTCTGTTCTGTTTTTTCCCCATCTTTGTGGTTTTATCTACTTTTGGTCTTTGATGATGGTGATGTACAGATGGGTTTTTGGTGGGGATGTCTTTTCTGTTTGTTAGTTTTCCTTCTAACAGACAGGACCCCTCAGCTGCAGGTCTGTTGGAATACCCTGCCGTGTGAGATGTCGGTGTGCCCCTGCTGGGGGGTGCCTCCCAGTTAGGCTGCTCAGGGGTCAGGGGTCAGGGACCCACTTGAGGAGGCAGTCTGCCCGTACTGAGATCTCCAGCTGCGGAGGAGCCAAGATGGCCGAATAGGAACAGCTCCGGTCTACAGCTCCCAGCGTGAGCGATGCAGAAGACGGTGATTTCTGCATTTCCATCTGAGGTACTGGGTTCATCTCACTAGGGAGTGCCAGACAGTGGGCGCAGGTCAGTGGGTGCGCGAGCCGAAGCAGGGCGAGGCATTGCCTCACTTGGGAAGCGCAAGGGGTCAGGGAGTTCCCTTTCCGAGTCAAAGAAAGGGGTGACAGATGGCACCTGGAAAATCGGGTTACTCCCTCCCGAATACTGCGCTTTTCCGACGGGCTTAAAAAATGGTGCACCACGAGATTATATCCCACACCTGGCTCGGAGGGTCCTACACCCACGGAGTCTCGCTGATTGCTAGCACAGCAGTCTGAGATCAAACTGCAAGGCGGCAGTGAGGCTGGGAGAGGGGCACCCGCCATTGCCCAGGCTTGATTAGGTAAACAAAGCAGCCGGGAAGCTCCAACTGGGCGGAGCCCACCACAGCTCAAGGAGGCCTGCCTCCCTCTGTAGGCTCCACCTCTGGGGGCAGGGCACAGACAAACAAAAAGACAGCAGTAACCTCTGCAGACTTAAATGTCCCTGTCTGACAGCTTTGAAGAGAGCAATGTTTTAAGATTTTATTACAGAATTCCACTTCCCTTTACTAGATTCTGTTATGGTTCTCTAATTCTGTGTAAGAAAATACCTAAACACATCCCCTGAAGACACAGCCATTTTATTGTACCTCACAATTTGTGGGCCAGAGAAAAGGGCAGGTTCAGCTGATGGTTATTCTTTTTCATGTAGCATCACCTGAGGTCACTTGGTGGCCTTCAACTCGAGAATGAGCTCAATGCGGTCTGGAGGATAAAAGACAGCTGTAATCACATTTCTGTCACTTTGGCAAAGATAACCCAAAACCTAGTTTTATCTGGGACTGTCTACCAGAGGACTTGCATGTAGCTTCTCTAGTATAACAGTCCTACAGTAGTTAGATTATGATGACAGTAGCACAAAAGACAGGAAGGAGGAAATAGATAAATTTTATTACAAAGTTTTTATATTTTGTATGTGACGTGGTATAATATTTGAAGTTATGTTGTGGCAGGTTAAATGTGCATATTTTAAACACGAGCACAATCACTAAAGCTACAAAGATACAAGTATATTTATAATAGGCCAGTAGTGGAGATAAAATGGAAAACTAAAAAGTATTCAATTTCAAATATGGCAGGAAAAAAAGGGAAAAGGGAACAAGAACAGATTGGGAGAAATAGGAAATAACAAGATAATTCATTCAGATCCAACCATATAAATAATTACATTAAGTTTAAATGATCTAAATATTCTAAAGACAGCAATCATCAGGCTGGATAAAGTAGCAAGACCTAACTATACTGTCTACAAAATATTCCCTTCAAATATATACAAAGTGGTTAAAAGTAAAAGAGTCATGTGTTTTTTGGCTGCATAGATGTCTTCTTTTGAGAAGTGTCTGTTCATGTCCTTCGCCCACTTTTTGATGGGGTTGTTTGTTTTTTTCTTGTAAATTTGTTTGAGTTCATTGTAGATTCTGGATATTAGCCCTTTGTCAGATGAGTAGGTTGCGAAAATTTTCTCCCCTTTTGTAGGTTGCCTGTTCACTCTGATGGTAGTTTCTTTTGCTGTGCAGAAGCTGTTTAGTTTAATTAGATCCCATTTGTCAACTTTGTCTTTTGTTGCCATTGCTTTTGGTGTTTTAGACATGAAGTCCTTGCCCATGCCTATGTCCTGAATGGTAATGCCTAGGTTTTCTTCTAGGGTTTTTATGGTTTTAGGTCTAATGTTTAAGTCTTTAATCCGTCTTGAATTGATTTTTGTATAAGGTGTAAAAAATGCTCATCATCACTGGCCATCAGAGAAATGCAAATCAAAACCACAATGAGATACCATCTCACACCAGTTAGAATGGCAATCATTAAAAAGTCAGGAAACAACAGGTGCTGGAGAGGATGTGGAGAAATAGGAACACTTTTACACTGTTGGTGGGACTGTAAACTAGTTCAACCATTGTGGAAGTCAGTGTGGCGATTCCTCAGGGATCTAGAACTAGAAATACCATTTGACCCAGCCATCCCATTACTGGGTATATACCCAAAGGACTATAAATCATGCTGCTATAAAGACACATGCACACGTATGTTTATTGTGGCATTATTCACAATAGCAAAGACTTGGAACCAACCCAAATGTCCAACAATGATAGACTGGATTAAGAAAATGTGGCACATATACACCATGGAATACTATGCAGCCATAAAAAATGATGAGTTCACGTCCTTTGTAGGGACATGGATGAAATTGGAAATCATCATTCTCAGTAAACTGTCGCAAGAACAAAAAACCAAACACCGCATATTCTCACTCATAGGTGGGAATTGAACAATGAGATCACATGGACACAGGAAGGGGAATATCACACTCTGGGGACTGTTGTGTGGTGGGGGTAGAGGGGAGGGATAACATTGGGAGATATACCTAATGCTAGATGATGAGTTAGTGGGTGCAGCGCACCAGCGTGGCACATGTATACGTATGTAACTAACCTGCACAATGTGCACCTAAAACTTAAAGTATAATAAAAAAAAGTAAAAAAAAATAAAAAAAAAAAAAGTAAAAGAATCCAAAGAGATACCATGCAGATACTAATCATTAAGAAAACTGGAGGGAGCTATATTACTAGCCAATAAAATAAACTTCAAAACATGAGATAATACTAGCAGTATTGAGAAATATTTCATAATGATGTAAGAATCAATTAATTAAAGAGACATAATTTTAAATGTCTGTAAGCCTGATACTAACAGAGCCTTAAAATACTTGAAGCAATAATGGACAGAACAGAAAAGAGAAATAGATAAAGCTATTACAGTTAGTTTTCTCAACACTTCTCTTTCTCACTTTTCTTTCAGTTGCTAGAACAAGTAGGCAGAATATCAGTAAAAAAAAAAAAAATCTGGAAGAGTACTGTAAAGTAGAAAAAAATCAACAAAACCACAAAACCAAAAGTTGTTTCTTTGAAAAGAATAACAAAACTGATAAACCCCTACTAAGAAAAAAAAAGAAAGTTCAAATTAACAATATAAGAATAAACAGGAAACATTAATAGAGATCCAGGAAATATATAAGGGATAAGAAAATATGATGAACAATTTTGTGTCAATACATTCGACAGTTTAATGAAATAAACAGATTCCTTGAAACAACCGTTTCTCCTCTTTGACATGACTAACTGCACTAACGTTCTTGTTCCATCTTCTCTTGAATTTGTTCCATTATTTAGTACTCTCCCTTGAAAAATACAGCATAAAAATGACTCAAAAGAAGTAAAAAATCTGAATGCTGCTATATCTGTTAGAGGTATCAACTCCTTAATTAGAAATCTCCCCACCTCTAGTGGCATTCGTCAACTGAACTGGGTCTCATTATTAAGTCCTTGAATGTGTCTAGAAATTCAAAACCACTGTAGCTGGCGAGTTCTCCCCTCAACCCAACCCCCATATAGTTTTCTTCATACTACTTTCTATTTATTTACTTTACATCCCTGTTGGTGGAGTTTGAAGGGACCAATTAATTATATCACTTTTTTATTCTTACCTCTGAACTCTTTAAGAAGTAGACTTAAGATAAGAACGAAAATGTCAGTTTTGTTTATAGAGAAACTAGGTAAAAGAGTACACCTAGCTTTGCATCTAGTCTTCCTACCCCTTCAAATTGGATTGACTTAACTTGCCCTGTAGTGTTTACTATGTAGATGACTGGACAATGAATTTGCATTTGGACAAGCAAGTTCTGAGAGTCAGAGACTGTTGACACATGTGGCCAGTCTTTTGCCGAAACAGATGTGTCAGAAAGAGGGAGAGAGATTGGTGTTTTGTCACCTACAACTTAGGTGACGCCCTACTCTTATGCTCTCTTTTTCCAAGCAGTCGTGCTCCCAGTTCAGATGGAACCCACAATTAGTCCACTGCTGACTTACTTTCAGTTCCTTATGTCATTTGGACCTTATGCTCTATTGTGAACAAGTTATTAGAACTTTGATCTTCTCTCATAACTCTTTTCCCTTCACTTCCCTAGAAATTTAAACCTGGCATTCAAAGGCCGCAATTTGTTTGTTTGTTTGTTTGTTTGTTTGTTTGTTTTACCATCTCAAGAAAAAGCATGGCATTTAAAAAATCTAGGTTTTAAAGGAGGCTTGATGTGTACCTTTGCTCACCAGTATCAATTCAAGGCTCAGCATGCCACCTTTGTTCCTTAGTTCCTTTTCTTATAACTCTTTCACTACCATCTCCCTTTTCTAATTCCTGTTACTGGTTGACTTCCAGGACACTGCTCCAAATTCTTCAATGATGTCACCACCAGGCTTGAAAGTAATGTCAACCCACACTATGTGACTATAATCTGTTTCTCCAAATTCATATTTTGAGTTTCTGATACTCAGAACTCATAGTGTTTTAACTGTCTCAGTTATGCCAACCAGAATTGTTCCAATATCTTAAATACTAAAAGCCCCTCTTTTCTGTTTTCTTCTTCTCTGGCAATTTTTTTCTCTTAAAACTCTTAAATTCAAGTATTTTTTCCATTCATATGCTTTCTCTTCATCTCTTTTTCTCCCTTCTTCTCTCCTCCTCCCTTTCCCTCTGTCTCAATAGATGGTCTTGCCATTGGGTCTGAATTCCCTCAACTTTACTCCCTTACACACAAATGTTTGTATTCATCACCCATCCTTTCCTCTATTTCTAACCATAGAGAAACAACTGTTTCTTCTCTTTAACATGACTAACTGCACTAAAGTTCTTGTTCCCATCTTCTCTTGAATTTGTTCCATTATTTAGCACTCTCCCTTGTATTTCTTCCTGTTACTAGCATTAAAAATGAAAAAAAAACAGCACCAATGACAAAAACCTTGTTAAAGATTCAGCTTCACTTTCAAAGTATACCAGACTTCTTAGAAGACTAAAATTTATTGGTTAATTCCACTTTTTCTCCTTAAATTGGAAGTCTTTGTTTACTTTTATTGCCTTTCTGAAACGTATTCCAAAGGTCACTAGTGATTGGTAAGTTCTCAGTTCTTCTGCCTTGAAAAGGCAGGACAGGGCGCTCTCTTCTTTTGCTCTTCTTTCGTGACTTCAGTATTTTGTGGAAGGCCTCTTCTAAAATAAACCTTTTAGGAGATGTGCAAACTGTTCTATTGACTTAGTGCAGCAAACAAGACTACACAGATGATTCTGAAATGATGCCTCCTTAGAGAAAATTTGTATAAGATTTTTATTATAGGTTGGAGATACGAAATTCTAGGACAGGATATCAGAAATGACGCAAGTCATCGGATTGATTGATTTCTTAAGTTCATGGTTCATGTAAACAATGCATGATTCTGATTGGAAAGAAAGGTCTATTGTGGTCTAAGAATCCTATGTTTGTAACCATATCACTGAATGTTGGTGATGGTTTCACGTCTCAGTCTTGCATAATTGTTTAGGCTGTTATTCTGCTTCTCACTTTCAAGTATATTTCAGAGAATTTTAAACTTTTTACTTTTATTGCAGTTACTCTGATTTCTTCTCATCTTGACTACCGTAGTAACAAAATAGATCTCACTGCTTTTTGAATTTTCTCATGGTAACTTACACTTGAAAACCAGAGCCATCTTTTAAAATACAAATTTGAATGTGTTTTCTGCCAAACACCCTTGGTGCCTCTTTATGTATAAAATAAAGCCCCATGTACTGAATCTAGCATTCAACCTCTTACAGTATAATCTCAGCCCCAAATCCTAGTCCTTATCGATCTCCCTCCCCATTTCTCTCTTTCTCTTTGTATTCAGTCCATAAGGCAGAGCCTTCCCACATTTTCCCTGTAGTAATTATCGTGCTCCAAAATCCCGTAGCGCCTTGTGTCACTTGTAGCACTTACTACATCGCCTCGATACAGAGTTTTTCATGTTTGCCTGTTATTGTGGTTTGTATTTCTTAAGAACAAAAACTGTCTCTTATTCAATTTCATAGCTCCCTGTTCCCCATGATACTGAGTAGGGCACAAATGCCAGCTAAATTTTAAATAATTCAGTTTAAATCAGGCTTAAATATCTAATAATATATTTTCTAGAATTTTTAGCAGGTTGACATAAAAATATGTGAAGACAATATATCTCCTATTTTAGAAGTCTTTGAGCACAGCTTGAGATTTTTATTTTAGGTTCTTAAATTATACGTGGTATAAGAACTGTAAATTTTACAGAACTTCGTAGAACTCTTTTATGGTCTTTCAGGTGCAGTCATCTAATTGGCTCCTATAAGGTACCTAGAAATTCTTTATAATTTTGTTATTTCCACTACATTTGTTTTCAGATAAAAATGAATGCCATTTCCCATCCAGTACTGAAGTGTTAAAGTTAGAAGACATTTGCTAAGTCAAATCACTTCAGGTAAGTCTGCTCACATCTAGCTTGGTACCAGCTTAAGATTTATTTAAAATGCAAAGAATTAAGTTTACTAACTTGGACATCTCAACTCTCAAATTTCTCAGCATATCTTCTAGTCACCTTGTATATTGAATCACTGGTCTTGGGAAATAGTGGAAAGATGATTTCTTATTAAATTTCACATGCTTATAAAAATAAAATGTTCTGGCCAGGCATGGTGGCTCATGCCTGTAATGCCAGCACTTTGGGAGGCCGAGATGGGTGGATCACCTGAGATCAGGATTTCGAGACCAGCCTGACCAACAAGGTGAAACCTCTTCTCTACTAAAACTACAAAAATTAGTTGGGCATGGTGGCAGGCGCCTGTAGTCCCAGCTACTTGGGAGGCTGAGACAGGAGAGTTGCTTCAACCCTGGAGGCCGAGGTTGCAATGAGCTGAGATCACGCTACTGCAGTCCAGCCTGGGCAACAGAACGAGACTCCATGTCAAAATAAAATAAAATAAAATAAAATAAAATGTTCAGTTTTAAACTCTTGGTGTTATTTGTCTAAGTGAGACTAACACCTTAAAATCATCCTTGTATTTGTATCAAGTCTAGTCGTTAAGTCCTAAGTGCCAAACAATGCTTTTGCGTTGTAGCTAATATATATATATAGTTTTTTAAGGCTTTATACAACTTTTCTAAGTTATTTATATGTTCTTATTTAAAGAAATATTTTGTTAATTAACTAGCACTTGAACCTTAAATGTTTATTAACTGTTTGTGTAAAAAATCTTTGAAAGGTCATCTTAATCACCCTCAACTCTTATAGTGATCTCCTAATAATCTTTCTGTATTCATTCTCTCTTCCCCTGTCCTGTGTTCATTGTTAGATAAACCTGCATATAGAACCACTTTTAGTAATTTTAAAACGCTTTAATGGCTTCCAACTCCCTCTTGGATGGAATCCATGTTCGTTTGCCTAGCATTCAAAGCCTCCCACGAAGATCCTGAAAATGTACCCCACTTGAGCCAACTGGGCTTTTCCTATTCTCTGAACTCTCATTGTTCTTCATGCATCTGTCTTAACTTGTACTGGTTTTCCTGCCTGTGATGTCCCCTGCTGCCCTGACACTATTTCCTCTGCACGTTGAAACCCTGTGCAAGCCTCTCTATGACACGTTCTCTGATTACTCCAGCTAGAAGCACTAGCTCTTTCTCTCTCTGCCAGTGTCATCTAATGTTTTGTTTGTATCACCGTTGTGGCATATTTTACCGTGTAGCTTTATTGTTTGTGTTTATGTTTGTCTTATCTCCCACCCTAGATTGTAAGGACTATAAAATCCAAGATCTTGTCTGATTTTTGTTTCCTACAGCTTTCACCATAGCCTTTAATAGTGCTTAGTAAATATTTATGTAATAAATTAAGAGTGTGCTGGCTTTTTCTCTCATCATTTCCTTTGTCTTTCATCCTTATAAATGCATATGTTCCATATTCTTGGCAACCATTTTTGTTCTGCACTCCTGGTTGCCATCTTCTCCTAGGAAAATACTGACCTTAGTGCAGTTAACAAGATACAGTCAGTTCCTGACCCAAGAAATGCACTGTATTCCAAAAGTTCATGTCTAGTTCTGTTGTTTGGAATGCAGAATATATTTTTCCACAAAAACAATGTTATAAATAGTGGTTAGGTTCTCAGCCAGCCCTCCCAAGACTATTTAACTCACTGGTACCAGCACCACTTTCACTATGGGCAGCCATGGTGTACAATGCTGTTTTGTGGAGAGATTGTAGCTCTGGATATGGAGATATATCTCCCATGCTCTAGAAATAGGACAGAAAGTTTCTGGGCAGGTTGAACAGTAGGAGAGTCTGAGCTGGACCTCTGACAGCATTGGATACTCTCCCATCAGAAGCTTCTTGGTTTTCAGTAGTTACAGGAGAGACTTTTACCTGTAGGTTGCTGATACTCTCATGTCACCTAAATTGAGGGCAAAGGGACACTTGCTCTTCTGATCTTTCCCACAGTTGATTAGGATGGTAAATGGGGTTTTCTCTATCCTTTCACATGGGTGGGTTGTTTTTAAGTCAGGTATTGAAAGATCAGGGACTGTTTCACTAATTCCTCCTTTTGGATGCTATACAAACTTATGGGAATTGAATATATAAACATGGAAAATACTTCTATCTATAGGGAGAAAAACACATTTACAGGTATCACCCCTGTATTTGACATCACATCAGTTTTTGTGGACAAGGGATTATCATTTACATAGGCATAATGATGCTTCTAGTGAGAAACACGTCAGTATGCACATAAACAACCCTCAAGGTTGACGATTGAGGTTGTCATGCTGTAAGAAAAAACACTTCATAAATTTCAGAGAATTTAATTTATTCAGTCATAAGTATTGAGCACATGAGTGTCTACTTTATGCTTAATACTGTGGTCAATGCTAAGGGCTAGGAAGTGGGAACAAAAGATGTTATAGTTTGCCTTCAGGCCAGGAGCAGTGGCTCATGCCTCTAATCCCAGCACTTTGGGAGGCCGAGGTGGGTAGATCACAAGATCAGGAGATTGAGACCATCCTGGCTAACACGGTGAAACCCCGTCTCTACTAAAAATACAAAAAATTAGCCGGGTGTGGTGGTGCATGCCTGTAGTCCCAGCTACTCAGGAGGCTGAGGCATGAGAATCACTTGAACCTGGGAGGCAGAGGTTGCACTGAGCCAAGATCGTGCCACTGCACTCCAGCCTGGCAACAGAGTGAGACTCCATCTCAAAATAAATAAATAAATAAATAAATAAATAAATAAAGTTTGCTTCCCTGGGAAGTCTGAAATATAGGGAGCAAAATATTAAACATTCACATTGAAAACAATATATGATTAATTGCCATAAAATGCTTCATAAACATAAAAAATGCCTTTTGGATTATCAGAATGGAATATCATATCCCCATGGTTGTAAGGATACTGGTGGGATTTCACTTAGCTTTAGAAGAATAGTGCTAGAGCTAGGCCAGGCATGGTGGCTCACGCCTGTAATCCCAGCACTTTGGGAGGCCAAGGCGGGCAGATCACCTGAGGTCAGGAGTTTGAGACCAGCCTGACCAATATGATGAAACCCCATCTCTACTAAAAATACACAAATTAGCCAGGCATGGTGGCGTGCACCTGTAATCCCAGCTACTTGGGAGGCTGAGACAGGAGAATCGCTTGAATCCGGGAGGCAGAGGTTGCAGTGAGCTGATTGTGCCATTGCACTCCAGCCTGGGCAACAAGAGAGAAACTCCATCTAAAAAAAAAAAAAAGAGCTATAGAGGAAATGATATTCCAGGTTGGATTAACCGCATGAATAGAGAACTGGCAACACAAGCAAACAAAGCATTACTGAGCGGAGCAGAGTGGTTAATTCATGTTGGCTGAAACAATGGGGGTGCGGGGCAGGGAATTAGACCGCTGGTTCAACCCTGGCAGTAGATAAGAGTCATCCATAGATATTTTTAAAGATATTAAGTCCCTAGATCTTAGCCCAGAACTAGTAAATAGAGTTTCAGGGGCATGGAACATAAACCTGTTTGTTTTTTAAAGCTCCCCTCGTGGTTCTGATATCATCCAGGGTTGAAAATCCTTGAATTAGAAGAATGGGCCAAATTTAGGAGAACCATGAATGCCCTCCTGAGGAGTTGAGCCTCTGTCCCTCAAGCACTGGGAAGACTATAGAGGTTTCTGAGACAGGTGACATGATCAAATTGGTGTTTGCCAAGATAAATGATTTGTCAGCTACATGTGAATGGAAGAGAAATAAGAAACAGCTTGAATTAGAGCAGTGGTCGTGGTAATAAAGAGAAGAGCCACCTTTTTAAGTGTAGTTAGATGTGTGGGAGCTGGTGATGTCAGCCTTGACCTCAGCATGATCTGTTTTATAAACTGATTATACAGTTTCACCCTCATTAATTTGATCTCTTTACTCATTCAGCCTGGCAACTTAAATAGTAATTTCAGCCAGTTTGCATTTAATGGAAGGAGACCATTGTCTACTCATGTACCCGTCTAACTCATAATAGTAAGTGAAGTTATGTGTATGAGGAATATGACCTTTAACATAATCATTATAAAGCATTTAATAACCTCCCACATATGCAATAACACAACCCCAGTCCTGTATGATTGTGCCAAGAGCCAGAATCACATGTATAAAGTAGTTATTAGCACACAGTTCCCTAGCATTAAGTTGAAATTTGAAGAAATGTTCTAAATCATGTTATGCATTTTAATATTTTTAGCATTAAATTTGATAATTACATAATTTTCTGATGTTAGACCCAAGCATGCCTCCTGACTACAGCACCTGTTCTTACTCTGAATTTATGCTTCTCTTTGGCAAGGAATGCAGCCCCTCACCCTCCATTTGGGCCCATCCCCTGCTGGTGTCAATCCATTAGCACCCCTGCCCTAGGCTCATCCAAAGGGATAACTGGGCCAGCAGAGAGGAGTTGTAAAGGAGTCAGAATTTCTTTTGTGGCACAGACACACAAAGGATCTTGGTGGTTCTTTTGCTTCTGGTCCAAGAGGAACACGATAGCTGCTAAGGTACACACACTGAGGAGTCCCAAGTCTCACCACAGGTGAGAAACATTTCATATCTCTTTGATGTGTTTAAAATTTTTTTATGTTTGGAGGCAATGAACCACATTAATTAGAGAGCAGAGAATAAGTTCAAAGCATAAAGGTTTGACGTGACCTGCCTCCTTTTAAAAAAAAGCTCAACATCATAAAATATTTAAAAACAGTGACTTTTTTGGCAATTCTTTAATAGTACACATGTGACAACAGTTTCTACCATGGTCTTCGTCCATGACAATACGTTTATTGTTGTTTTATTAATATCTCCACATCCTATGAATTACATTTTTTTTTGAGACGATGTCTTGCTCCTCCCCTAGGCTGGAGTGCGATGGCGCAATCTCAGCTCATTGTAACCTCCGCCTCCCAGGTTCAAGCGATTCTCCTGCCTCAGCCTCTTGAGTAGCTGGGATTACAGGCACCTGCCACCATGCCTGGCTAATTTTTGTATTTTTAGTAGAGACGGGGTTTCACCATCTTGGCCAGGCTGGTCTTGAACTCCTGACCTCAGGTGATCTGCCTGCCTTGGCCTCCCAAAGTGCTGGGATTACAGGCATTAGCCACCATGCCTGGCTGAGTTACATTTCTAATAGCTATTTAGATTTCTGCTAATCACCCAAATGCTTAACCAGAAAGTGGATGGTTTGTTTAGATTTGAGGGATTCTGTAGTAGAGAGGGAAGAGAAAGGGGGTAACATTTATCAAGTGCCCACTTTGTGCCATGTTCTTTACATGTATTTTTCCACTTTAACTCCATTTTGCAAATGAGCAAATCGGGCTTTAGAGGTTTAAAAAAACCGAAGTCATAAGTCGAGTTGGCAATAGAAACTGGATTTGATTACAGGTCTGGCTGTCTGACTGTCTCATCATCCTGGTCTTAGAAATCTTCATGGCTTTTATTTGTGAGGTAAGATCAGTGAACTCAGAATTAGGAGGTTTGAGTACCGGCTTCACCTCTTCTATAGTTTGGATGTTTGTCCCCTCTGATATGGTTTGGCTGTGTCCCCACCCAAATCTCATCTTGAATTGTAATACTCGTAATTTCCACATGTCTAAGGAGAGACCTGGTGGGAGGTGATTGGATCATGGGGCAGTTCCCCCATGCTGTTCTCATGATAGTGAGTGAGTTCTCACAAGATCTGATGGTTTTATAAGGGGCTCTCCCCTCCTCACTCCTCATGCTTTCTCTTGCCTGCCACCATGTAAGACGTGCCTGCTTCCTTTTGCCATGATTGTAAGTTTCCTGAGGCCTCTCCAGCTACATGGAACTGTGAATCAATTCAACCTTTTTTCTTTATAAATTAACCAGTCTCTGGTATTTCTTTATAGCAATGTGAGAACAGACTAATACACTCTCCAAATCTCATGTTAAAATTTGATCCCCATGTTTGAGGTGAGACCTAATGGGAGGTGTTTGAGTCATGGGCGCAGATCCCTCATGAATGTCTTGGCACCCTCCTTGCTCTGTTCGTTTCCACCAAGAGCTGTTAAAAAGAGCGTGGCACCTCCTCCCCTCTTGCTTCCTCTCTTGCTATGTGATCTCTGCACATGCAGCTCTCCCTTTTGCCTCCAGCCATTAGTGGAAACAGCCTGAGGCCCTCACCAGAAGCCAAACAGATGCTGGAACTATATGCCTTCTGTACAGCCTGCAGAACCATGAGCCAAAGAAGGCTGTTTTTCTTTATAAATCACCCAGCCTGACATATTTATAGCAACACTAAATGGACTGAGACAACCTCTGTCACTAACAACCTTGAACAAGTTATTTAACACCACTGAGCTTGAGTTTCCTCATCTGTAATATGGAGATAAAACCTGCTTTACCAACCATTTGGTGTTGTGGTGAGAATAATAAGCTAGGGAGTTTCCAAATGATTTCATAGGTATGAAAACCAATAGAACTTTCAGAGATGTTTAATTCAAGCAAAATACAACAATAACAACAATAAAGATTAAATGAGATGATTTGGACATATTTTATGGTATTTTACTTCCTAGCATTGCTCTACAAACTTACTAAAAGTAATGTTGGTCAGATTTGTAAGTTCCAAACACTGTGGTATTCCAAGCTGTCTCACTGTGCATTTAATACCTCAGTGTAGTAGATAATGTCCTGGCAACATATCAAGTACCTGTTTTCACTTGCCAGAAGCAATCATTAGTTTCTATACCATAGCAAATAGGTCTGAACTCTGATAGATACTGAAGAAATGTTTGTAGCCAATGAGACTACTAACTAGAGATATGGCTTATTGGATTAGAGTTGATATTAACATTCTCAGAACAATTTTTCTTACATTTTTGAAGTTTTAGAACACACCTGAGGAATAAAGACATTTCGTGAAACTGTTTTTACAAAACTGCTTTTCAAAAATGTTTACAAGTTTCTGAACAAGTTTTATAGGTTACAATATGGTGAGTACTGCAAGACAGTTATGAGCTATTAATATCAACTTACAAATGCTTCAAATATATGTATACAAGAGGTAAGAAGTTTGGGGAACTCAATAAATTGTAAGGATAGTGCTGTGAATGAAGTGACAGTGAGCCTGAGAAATGTTAAAGTCATTTTCCTAGCCTTACACAAAACCTTTACCCAGTTAAAGCTCTAAGTCTTTTCTACATGGGACACCAAATAACGAGTAGAGGAGCAGTATTATGCTTCAGATACACAGATACGGATCAAGGAGAGTGCACCCATTTGGGCTTGGATTCCTGAGTGCGTGCAACTCTTCTGCATCTGCCAACTCGGTACATCCCAAAGAGGGTTCCCCAGTCCTCAAGTGCTGATTTCTTTTTTTTTTTTTCTTTTTCTTTTTTTGAGATGGAGTCTCACTCTGTCGCCCAGGCTGGAGTATAGTGGCGCGATCTCGGCTCACTGCAATCTCCGCCTCCCGGGTTCACACCATTCTCTTGCCTCAGCCTCCCGAGTAGCTGGGACTACAGGCACCCGCCACCACACCCGGCTAATTTTTTGTATTTTTAGTAGAGACGGGGTTTCACCATGTTAGCCAGGATGGTCTCGATCTCCTGACCTCGTGATTCACCCACCTCGGTCTCCCAAAGTGTTGGGATTACAGGCGTGAGCCACCGCGCCTGTCCTCAAGCGCTGATTTCAGTGTGGCTCCCAGTGCCCCCACTGTGCCTGCTTTCTATATCTGGTAGATGGGTAGCTGCAATTGGGGCCAGGTCAAGTGAAGTGTAAGGGGCAGTAGACATGGAAAACAAAGAAAACATACAACAGAGATTGCAAAAATCTGGACCTCTTGACAAGTTTGGTTTATAAATGTGTTTTCTGTAGCCTGCATAGCCTGCGTAATGTTTTTTATTTTAATTATTATTAATTTTACAGACAGGGTCTCACTCTGTCACCCAAGATGAAGTACAGTGGCCTTATCATAACTCACAGTAGCCTTGAACTGCTAGGCTCAAGCGACCCTCCCACCTCAGCCTCCTGAGTTACTGGAATTACAGGTGCAAGTCATGATGCCTGGCTCTTTTGTTTTTAAAGCATAAATTGCTTGTTAACAAGTATTATTTTGACTAGTAACTGATATAATTTGTTGTTAAATAATTTAATGCACAAATCCATATTTCCACATTCTCTTGGAAACTGGCAACTTTGGTCCTGCTCTTGCATGTGGCAGTAACCAGCTAGAGCTAAGTAGAAGCTGCCTCTATTAGATGGGAGGCTGTGCTTTTACATTATAGGTTGTAACCTATAACACCCCTGGCTGTTGTTTTTCTTTGAACAGAATTTAGAGGAAGGTTTAAATGTTACTTATACCACCATCTGTGTTAAAATTGGAAATAGCAAATTGATTGGATGACATATTTCAATATAAGTGAGAGATGGTATTAATTTTCTAGGACTACATAAGCAAGTACTACAAACTGGGTGGCTTTAAATAACAGAAATTTATTCTCTTATAGTTCTAAAGGCTAGAAATCTAAAGTCAAGGTGCTGGCAGGACCATGTTCCCTCAGAGGCTCATGGGGAGGATTCTGCCTTGCCTCTTCTGGCTTCTGGTAGCCCCAGGCATTCCTTGCCTTGTGGTAGCATGATGCCAATCTGATTCCATCTTATGAGTGTCTTCCCTCTGTGTCTGTCTACATCCAAATTTTCCTCCTCTTGTGAGGATACCAGTACATTGGATTAGGGCACACCCTAACCTGGTATGAACTCATTTTAACCTGATTATATCTGCAGAGACCCTATTTCCAAATAAGGTCATATTCACAGGTACTGGGGGTTAGGACTTCAACATATCATTTTGGGGTCATAATTCAACCCATAACTGATGGCATATTTCTTTGTAGAGTGCAGAGTAATGGTTAAGGGCAGGGTTCCTTGAGGCAGAGTGCTGCATTCAACTTCACAACTTATTTGCTATGTGATCTTGGGTAAGCTGATTACCCACTGCCTCAGTGCTCTCATCTATGCAATGGGATAGTGGCACAATCCTGTAAGGTTATTATAGGATTGCAGTAAGGACAAAATAAGTTAACATATATAAAGCACTTAGTACATTGCCTGGCACATACTATATGCTCAATAAACTGAACTATTGTTATTATTAGCTCTTATTCATATGTAATTTAAATGTATACAAGGAGTACCAGTGCCAAAAACTATTATTTAAGATAGCATTATGAAACCATGGAAAAACCAGGGATAGTAGGTAGAATTGTTGCATGAAAAAATAAAAAGAGAGAGACTAGAATTTTAATAAGTTTTTTTTTAATGCATACAACTGTAATACTTTAAAAATGTTAGCCTGCTCACTCTTTTAGATTACCTGCCTGGCCCCTATATGCACTTGAAGCTAACTGAAGACCCAAAGAACTTCAAACCCAGAAGCTTAGATATTGCCTGTTGGGTTGCTGAGCACAATGGCCTGTAGGTAATAATGAAGGAAGTTACTCCAGGGAGAGTGTCCAAGGAACACTGACTTCTAAGTCTTCCTACTTGTCTCCTTGGGAGCACGTTATTACCCTCTACCTTCTCCTTATAAATCTTTAGATTAAAATTATCCTGGTCCCCAGTCTCTGGGTCAGAGATTGAGACTGAATAATTCTTTGAATTTAAATTATACGTTTCCTCCCAAGGGAACAAATATTTTGAGATATATTATTTCATTTTTCCACATAGACTTTACATAAAATAATTACACAACTTGATCTTTATTAACAATCTGAGAGCTCTGATAGAGAAGGTGTAAAGAATTGGCAAGAATGTTTGACGTACCTGGAAGAAAACTGTTCAGTAGGTTAGTGGCTATTGGGTTTTTCGTACTATAGAGTATACATACACTTCATTCTCAAAGATACTGCTACCTTGAAGACGTGAATATTCAACTAAAGTCAAAGGATTTGACCTAAATGGTGAAAGGGACACATGCAAACGTTATTTCTGATTTGCGATTTTATTGGAATAAAAGAAGTTAGGGTATTTAATTTGGGGCAAAAAAAAGTGTTATTTCTGTTGTTCAAGTATTAGTAATTGGAACATTTAGATTCAATGATGTGTTCATCAGGACTGCTTCAGTTGCAAATGAAAGAAAGCCAGCTCAAACCAGTTTATGAAAATAAAGGAAACTTAATTGTTTCTGTAACTATGGTTTCCAGAGGTGCATCTGGCTTCAGGCATGGTTTCAGCCAAAAACTCAAATGATCTCATTTGGACTCCTTTTCCTCTGCTGGTTTCATTATTTGTCATTTTTCAGACAGGCATGGTCAGTAAGATGACCACTAGCAGCTCAAGATGGTTGTCCATCCAATTTAGCAATCTCAACAGAAAGAGAACCTGTCACACCAAATGTCTACCTACCTGCCTCAGAGAAGATGTGGATTGACTCTCTTTGACCTCATGTGTCACTGTGGCCTGGGAATGGGGTAAACTGGTGGGCCACCCTTGGTATGTTTTCCCAGTGCTCCAGTAGAGGGGCATAGCCCAGTGACTGCAAGCCCCGTGAGGGTCTCACAGAGTAGGAGAGGCTTTCTCCAAAGGAACCAGAAGAAAAATGGGAATGTGTGCTTAGCAGACCAAAACTGTCCTGACTTCAAACCATTAAAAATGGTATGTGAAATCATTCAGATGGCAGTTTCTGGTTTTAGGAAAGAACCATTTGCTTTTTTTTTTTTTTTTTTTTTTTTTTTTTTTGACTGAGTTTCTCTCTGTCGCCAGGCTGGAGTGCAGTGGCATGATCTCGGCTTACTACGACCTCTGCCTCCTGGATTCAAGCTTTTCGCCTGCCTCAGCCTCCTGAGTAACTGGGACTACAGGCACTCACCACCATGGCCGGCTAATTTTTGTGTGTGTGTGTATTTTAGTAGAGATGGGGTTTCACCATGTTGGTCAGGAGGGTCTTGAGAGGTGACAACATGCCAGCAGCCCTCGCTTGCTCTCGGCACCTCCTCAGGCCATGGCGTCCACTCTGGCCACGCTTGAGGAGCCCTTCAGCCCACTGCTGCACTGTGGGAGCCCCTCTCTGGGCTGGCTGAGGCCAGAGCCGGCTCCCTCTGCTTGTGGGGAGATGTGGAGGGAGATGCGCGGGTGGGAACCGGGGCTGCGCACTGCACTCGCAGGCCAGTGTGAGTTCCAGGTGAGCCCAGGAGTGTCGGCCCTGGGCAGTGAGGGGCTTAGCACCTGGGCCAACAGCTGCGGAGGGTGCACCGGGTCCCCCAACACTGCCAGCCCACCCACGTCGTGCTTGAATTCTTGCCGGGTCTCAGCCACCTTCCCGCCAGGCAGGGCTCGGGACCTGCAACCCACCATGCCTGAGCCCCGCACTCCCCCCCCACCCCCGCCCCCACCAAATGGGCTCCTGCCAGGCCTGAGCCTCCCCTACGGGCACCGCCCCCTGCTCTGCGGCACCTGCTCCCATCAACTGCCCAAGGGCTGAGGAGTGTGGGCGCGGGACTGGCTGCAGCTCCACCTGCGGCCCTGGCGAGGGATCCACTAGGTGAAGCCAGATGGGCTCCTGAGTCAGTTGGGGACTTGGAGAACTTTTATATCTAGCTGGAGGATTGTAAATGCACCAATCAGCACTCTGTGTCTAGCTTGGGGTTTGTAAATGCACCAATTAGCACTCTGTGTCTAGCTAAAGGTTTGTAAATGCACCAATCAGTGATCTGTGTCTAGCTAATCTGGTGGGGACTTGGAGAACTTTTATGTCTAGCTGGAGGATTGTAAATGCACCAATCAGCACTCTGTGTCTAGCTCAGGGATTGTAAACACACCAATCAGCACCCTGTCAAAATGGATCAGTCAGCCCTCTGTAAAATGGACCAATCATCAGGATGTGGGTGAGGCCAGATAAGGGAATAAAAGCAGGCTACCGCAGCCAGCAGCAGCAACCTGCTTGCATCCCCTTCCGTACTTTGTTTGTGAAAGCTTTGTTCTTTCACTCTTTGCAATAAATCTTGCTGCTGCTCACTCTTTGGGTCCACACTGCCTTTATGAGCTGTAACAATCACCGCGAAGATCTGCAGCTTCACTTCTGAGGCCAGCGAGACCACGAACCCACCAGGAGGAATGAACAACTCCAGACACACCGCCTTAAGAGCTGTAACACTCACTGCGAAGGTCTGCAGCTTCACTCCTGAAACCAGCCAGACCACGAACCCACCAGAAGGAAGTCCGAACACATCTGAACATCAGAAGGAACAAACTCCGAACACACGACCTGTAAGAACTGTAACACTCACTGCGAGGGTCCATGGCTTCATCTTGAAGTCAGTGAGACCAAGAACCCACCAATTTCAGACACAGTCTTGATTTGCCGACCTTGTGATCTGCCCACCTTGGCCTCCCAAAGTGCTGGGATTGCAGGCATAAGCCACTGTGCCTGGCCACCACCTGCTTTCTTCTATTAAAATCTTAGCATAAAACAAAGGAAATAGAAACAAAAATTCCAACTCTTTTTGTCAGAGGTAGATCTCATCAGTTACCTTAAACCATAAAATCTGAAACAGAAAGCATATGATACAGTAACTTAGTACCAGAAGGGCAAAACCAAAGCACCTGCAGAGGAGACGACAGTGATATCAGGAGGTTGAAGGAGGAAGGGAGGCATGGTGCTAAAAACAGATGTTCAGCTGAAAGTCTGTGAAAGGACCAGCTGAACTCCCAGGTCTTCACCTCACTCCAGCTGGACAGCAATGTTCCCCAACTCCACGAGATGAGGGGTTTGTTCTCTGAAAAAATTGGAACTACAGAGAATCTAGACCAGGACTCGGGGACAGTGGAGGGTAGAGTTAACTGAATGTCTGGTCTGATCTTAGAGCAGCAGGCAAAACAAATGTCAAAAAAAAAGTGCTTTGAATAAGAACAAATAAGACTTTTAAATATCAGTACTCAAATTGATAGCAGGGTTTGCAGAATGTTTGCTTTTTTTTTTTTTGTCCAAACGTTGTGATTTGAAGTGACAAAGTTTGGGTCCTATTCTCTTTGAATGTTTGGCCCTTATATTTATATTTATAAATAAGTGTACCACTGGATCATGATAAATAACAAAGTTTCAATGTAGAGTATTAGTTTTTGTCTTCCCTTTCGTCAGTGAAGAAGACAGAATCCTGAATGTTATTTTCTTCTGAAAGTTAGAGGAGACATCAAAAGTTGAAATTTAGCAGGCATATTTTTCAGATTTTAATTACTAGAAAAAATATTATTTTTAGGATTCAATGACTATTATTGACTATGTAACTAATAAATGTTATTATGGTACTTTTAGATTAAAAGTCTATTCCAAATTGCATTTTGATTTTTCAGATGTTCTAAATTCTAGTGTGTAAATATTATAAAAGTATTGACATTTTGAAGTGGGTGGAGTTCCGTCGCCTCTCTTTGGATTAGCTTCTAAAACTTAATGAAATAGAAAGTAAGTGTCTTTTCCCACTGAAAAAAAGGTTACATTTTATTCCTTATTGTACGGAGACCCAAATAAAATAGACAAATCAGAAATAAGAGTGCCAGAATTTTTTCTTGCCAATGTAACTTCTTAGAATTATGCTGAATTGCTTTTGCTGTAAAAACTGGACCAACTAGTCTATTATGGATATTTTGTAGAGAATTTCTGTACTTTTTTTTGGCTCAGTGAGGTCAAGAATTTTAAGTTAGAATTAAAGAACTGGAAGGCATCCTCTTATTCATTTCGCAAATGAAAGAACTGAAGTCCTGAGAAGTCATGATTTATCCAGGATCACACAATTAATAGTGAAGGTTGGATGAAATAAGAGCCTCCTGGCCATCAGTTCAGTGATCTTTGTAAAAGACCCTTCGGGTTTATTTTCACCATCACTTTACGTGCAATGTCTGTAATTTACTGCATTAGGCCAGTTAGCACATTATAAGTTTGTGTTTAATCTGCTAAAACTAAGGGAACATCTAGGATTAGGAATACTGACAGTGACAAAAATCATGGATGGCAGGAAGCATATTGAAGAATCTTTAGCTAGGGTGGGAAATGTTCCTTCATTAGCTTCTGATCCTGCTGTCTGGGAGGAACTTCTTTGTTTATTGTTCTCAGGACCTGATTCTGCCTTCTGGAAGGTTCTTCCTTGCCCATTTTCCTCCAAGGTCATATATATGTGGACATTGGGGAACATGCCCTTTGTGGAGACTATATAGCCTTTGTTTCCTTCTTTCTGTTCTTGCAATTCAGGGAGCTTGAGCATTGTTTTAAGGGTCAAACAGTCAAAGGCTTATAGGTATCACTTGTGGGGGTTTTGGCAATGCCATTCCTCCAAAACTGAGATGGCTTTTGACCTATCTTGTAGTTAGTAACATGTGCTAGCATTGGAGTGACTGTGTGGATCAGGCTGGCAAGGCAGCCTTGGCTGAAATCTCTTGTCTTGGCACGTTAAGTGATAATACTCTCTTCTACTCTCAAAACTACCCCAGTTTAGACAACGTGTATTATGGTCACTCTAGTCAATAAGCACACCAAAAATTCCCAAGTCTAATATATTTCTTTGTTTCCTTATTTTTATTCTCTTCTCTCTCAACTTACCGGAGACTCTTGTATGGCCATCGGAAAATTAACCTACTTAACTTGATTTGCAACAAGGCTGAGTCCCTCTGTTTGCCTGAGAAAATATAATGGGCCAGTTTTTTTCAGTCTTCTTTTTTACCATGTGAATTCCAGAAGCAGTCAGCTCTTATAATCCTAGGAGCTCCCCAAATTTCTGAATTTTCTATTTCCATTCATTTCTGCCCTCAAATCTGTCAGTGCTTGCCTGTGCACATTTCTTATTTATAATCTTTGATAAGTGCAACAAGTAGTACTTTGTTGTTCCTTTTTTTTTTTTTCCACCCTGTCGCTCAGGCTGGAGTGCAGTGGCACAATCTTGGCTCACTGCAACCTCTGCCTTCCGGGTTCAAGTGATTCTCCTGTCTCAGCCTCCCCAGTAGCTGGAACTACAGGCACCCGCCACCACGCCTGGCTAATTTTTGTATTTTTAGTAGAGATGGGGTTTCACCATATTGGCCAGGCTAGTCTCGAACTCCTGACTTTGTGATCCACTCGCCTCGGCCTCCCAAAGTGCTGGGATTACAGATGTGAGCGACTGCGCCTAGCCGTACTTTGTTATTCTAATATTGTTCATCTCTTTTCTCCATAGACATGGACTTGGTAGACACTTGTTCTGCTTTTGAAGTTGTATCAGGCATTTTTAAAAATTGAGCTATAACTTACATACAGTAAACTCACAGCTCTTGTGTTGAGTTCAGCGAGTTTTGACAATTATGTACATCCGTGTAACTACTACCCAAAATATGATATCAGACATTCCATTGCCCAAGATGGATGTCCATTTCTAGTTAATTGCCTACTTTAAACCTCTGGAGGCAACCACTTTTTCACTTCAATCACCAAAGATTAGTTTTGGCAAGCAGTATTTTTAGTAAGTGTTTTATGACTGTGTGACATAAGTACCTTTCTATCCTTTTCTCAGTTTCTTCATCTCCTGCTGTTTGGCTGCTAAGCAGTCACCATATGTTTTAGTTTTTTTAATGTCAGCATCCCCCTCAAAAATACCATTTTTCTTGTATTAGGGAAAGCCAGCTATTATGATAAATGTACCCAAATTGTATAACAGCTTAAATCCAGTTAAAGTGCATTTATTGCTAATGAAGCAGTGCATTGAAGGCATTCTTGATCATTTGGTGACCTTCCATAATGTGGGCCTTGGAGTCCTCTAGCAGCTGGGGAAAGAGCATGAACATACCTTACCTGCTGCTTCTGAGGAACCTTAACCTGGAAGTTGGCATTCAGTCATTCTCACTGACATTCTATTGGGGAGAACTACTCACAAGGCCACATGTGATACAAGGTTGGAAAGGCTTGGAAAGGGAAAATTTTGACTGGGCAACCACTTCCCAGTGACAGCTCCCACACTGTGAAGGGGATAGCAAATTTTGGACAGGTTAATGCGATAACTTTTATTTTGTTTTAATAACATAATACTATATTGCATCTCTTTTTTGTCTTCATGTTATTTCTTTGTCTTTGTATTATACATTCTTTTATACTTTCTGGATAAACATTTTCAGTATTTGAAACTTTAAAAAATAGTATTGTTATCTCTGTAGTAGAAATGTTCAAAGCAAAAGCAAGTAATCTTCCCCAGATTATTCAGTGAAATTAAAATTAGTTCTGGGCATCAACAGATATAATCTAACTCTTAAAAGACAAAGCTGCCCAGTATCACCATTTCTGTTCAATATTGTGTCAGAGATCCTAGCCAGCAGAGTAAGTCAGGGTCGGGGGTGAGGGGTGGGGGACAACTACAAGAAAAGATGTAGGAATGGAAAAGGAGAAAAACACTGTCATTATTGGCAAATGACTTAATTGTCTATATAGAAAGCTCCTAGGACTCAACAGCTAAATTCTTAAAATTAGAGAGTTGAGCAAAGTTTTTAAATGTAAAGTCAATATAGGGAACCCAATTGCGTTTCTATAGACGAGCAGCAACAACAAAACAGAAAATTTAAAAACCACTTTATTTTGAAATAATTAACATCCTACATAGCCGTAGTATATTTATCAAAACTAAGAAATTAACATTTATATACTAATATTAACTAAACTACAGCTTTTATTTTGATTTTTCCAGTTTTTCTACTGATACTTTCTTTTCATTGCAGGATCTAACCCAGGATACCACATTGCATTCAATAGCCATATCTCTTAACCAATTTAAGGCAGTTTCTTGATCTTTTCTTGTCTTTCAGGGATTTGATACTTTTGAAGAATAGTGGTCAAGTCTTTTGTAGAAAGGATATCAATTTGAGTTTGGTGTTTTCTCATTATTATATCACATCATGTCAGGCAGTAAATGTTATCAATATTGAAACCCACCCAATTATCCCATAGATAGTTTTTTGGATAAACAGAAATTGACCATTCTGGTCTTAAAGCTGGAAACTTTATTTTATCTGAGTTCCTTTCTCAGGAAATGACCTTCAGGCCTCTCAAAATAAGTATCAAAGAACTGAATCTCACCAGATCACCACATCCAAACAAGGAAATGCCGCACCCCTCATTCATCATGATTGCCTCCTTGCCTCTCTAGAGTTCCTATTTTCTCACACATCGTTACATTTCTTCCCTGGTATGTAAGCCCCTAGTTTTAGTCGGTCAGGGAGATGGATTTTAGACTGAGCTCCCATCTCCTCGGCTGCAGCACCTGATTAAAGCCTTCTTCCTTGGCAACATTCATCGTCTCAGTCATTGGCTTTCTGTGCAGTGCAACATCAGGACCTAGACCAAACCTCTGGTGTTTCAGTAACAATATGACTTGTTACTGGTCATGTTAACCTTGATCAGTTGGTTAAGATGGTATCTGCAAGATTTTTCCACAGTAAAGTTACTACAGAAATGTAATTTTTAAAAGATATAATTTACATAGCAACATACTACAAATAACTTTTGTAGAAATTTAACAAGTTATGTCTAAGTCCTTTATTGAGAAGTTACAAACTTTTATTGAAAGACATTAATGGATTAGAAGATTTAATGTTGCAAAGATGTTAATTCTCTCTTATTACACATAGAATCAAATCCCTAACAGATTTTGAGATTGTATGATTACTATTAATATTATTATTTGGATGATACTTGACATTGTAATTCTGAACTTAAATGGAAGAGCAATCATCCCAAAATCACATACAGATTCCTAAAGAAGGTGTTTTTCCTCCTATCAAGGAAGTGCTTTTGCTGCCTTTATATAATGACAATATAAAACCATAGTAGTTAAGCCAGCATATGGTATGAGGATATACAAATTGGCAGATGAAAATAATAGAAAATTTACAAACAGATCCACCTATATGTGGAAGCATGATTCATGACACAACAGGTGTTGAAGATCATTGGGGGAAAGGGTGCGCGTAACAGCTTTCAGTATATGGTGCTGAGGCAATAGAGTGTCCATATGAAAAAGATGGAAAGTGGATTCTTACCTCATCATACACAAAATGGGAAAAGTTAAAATGTTATGTTAGTAATTATAGTTTAATTATAAAATCTAAAATTATGCATTTAGAAGCAGAGCTCGGGAAAGAAATTGAAGAAGAAAATGAAACTGTCAAATGAAAACAACATTGGAAGGAGTACAAGAGAAAAAGATGATACAGGAAAAACAGTGAGGTCATGGAAATTAGACATGAGAGAGGTGAGCAAAGTCAAATATACATTTAAAAGAGTGACATAACACCTGAGCTTTAAAATGTCAGTGTTTACAATATGACAGAAACACTGCATCACCTATTAACTTTGCTCATCCTGCTGAGTTACATGCCAGAAATCATAATGTGATCTACAGATTATTTAATAATGTTTCTACTGACAATTCAATTATGCCATCATTTGTAGAAAGCAAAGGACTGGAAATCACTTAACTTGGAGGGGGATGTGCTATCACTTTCTCAGTTTGGAGAAATTTATCAAAAAGGCTTAACTAAGACTTATCAAATGAGTGTTACACTTATTATTCTTTTACTTAGGGGCACCCTGTTTAACCTAACATACTTAGAAAGGGTTGTTTAAAATATTATTAATTCCATTGTGTACTTGGCAATGTACAATTTTTAGACAATGGTTTTTCTTTTTCT